>NC_000002.12:239559943-239887891 GCF_000001405.40 Homo sapiens
TGTTTAAAAGCAAGATCTCAGATAGCCACATGGAAGGGCCGGGCCACCAAGCGTGCCGGACCAGGACATTCCCCCAGGACGGGAAGATGGCAGGACATGCGGCTGCCATACCTTCCTTGGCAGGTGACGTTTCAGAGAAGTCAGGGAAGATAGGGACGGGGCCGAGAGAGGAGAGTCTCCCTGGGGTGAGATGCACGGCCTAGCGTGTTAGAGGATTTGGGCCCAGGAGTGGAGGCAATGGTGTGGATATGTGTACTGGTGATTCCATTCTCTTCTCTGTGGATCTGTGGGTGTTTGCTCCATGCTTCTAAACCGCATATTGAGGTGTAAAAGAATATCGGGACAGTAAAGTACATTCGCCCTGTGTGTATAGCTTCACAAAGGTTAACGTGTTTTTACATTTTACAAATTTATGTTTTTACCCCGGGGTGACAAGATTTAGAACATTTACCATGCCTTCAGGGTTCTCTTCTTTTGCACTTTTTTTCTAACAAACATGTAAATTTTTCTTACTGAAGTACTACATTTTTATGTGTTATACTTTTATGTGGCAACTTTTATGTATTTATGCTTCTAGTAGAAATTTAGAATCAGAATTTTAAGTTATAAACCTTTCCCTGGATATTAATTGTTGGTTAGTGATAGTGACTCCTTCCCTGTTATAATTATACAAATGTTTCCTCCTAGTCTGGCATTTTCTTTTAACTGTGTTCATTCTTCAGAAGTTTAAAAGCTCTATGAGATCAACTGTGTCAATATTTTCTTTTATACATTTTGGATTTCATATCCTGATTATGAAGCCCTTTCTCACCCAAGTATTAAAGAAACTGATTTTCCCCTATTTTCTTCTGCTGTTCCTATAATTGAAACTATTTTGACATTTTATTCATCAGGAATTTGTTTTTGAGTATGATATGAACAGGAATTTAGCAGTTGTTATACTGTTGATTTTCCCAATGCTATTTATTTGTGAGTTTCCTCACCGATTGGAAGGTACTTCTGTTACCTATTCAACGGTCATTCTGGGGTACGCTTTCAACTGCCTCCCTGTCCCATCGGTCCGCTTGTGGTATCTAGCTGCAGTATCTCATTGCTTTGAATAATACTGCTCTACAGTTTGATTTGTTAATAATAGAAAGTCTCCTGTGATATTTTTAAATTTTCTTGGCATTTTTATATATTTATGCTTTCACTAGAATATTTATTTATTTAATTTTTATTTCAGTAGCTTTTGGGGTACAAGTGGTTTCTGGTGACATGGATGAATTCTACAGTGGGGAATTCTGAGATCTTAGCGGACCTGTCACCTGAGTGGTATACATTGTACCTAATGTGTACTTTTTATCCCCAGCCCCCTCCCACCCACCTCCTTTCTGAGTCTCCAGAGTCCATTCCATGCCTCTCTATGCCTTTGTGCACTCATAGCTCCCACTTATAATTGAGGACATAGGGTTTTTGATTTTAAAAGACACCACATCTTTATTAGTGGAGTTTCACATCTGGAAACAAGATGTGTGTTTGTTTAGGCAAAGCCTCAGTGTGTCCTCCAGGAGAGCTTAATACTGTTCTTCCCACAGGCCACGTGTGCTTCCCGCAGAGCGTGTGGCCAGGCAGCTCCCAGCTCTCCTTTGGGTCTGACACCGCCTCTGTTTTGCACGCTGTTGGCGGGGAGCCGAGCGCTGCACGTCTGGAGCCTTGCTCTGGTGCTGTGGCCACCCGGTGCCTTCCTGGGAGCCAGCAGAGCTCGGCCCGGGGATGTGCCCTTGCTGGTACGGCCCTGAAAGGTCCCCTTGCCCCTGGGGGACACAGGCCTGCACTGGGCAGTGGGTGGGCTGTGGAGCATGTGTGGATTTCAGCCCACTCGGCCCTGGGGAAGTCTCTGCTGCCTGGACTCACTGGGTCTGCCCCATCACTTGAGGACAAGCACGCATGAGTTGGCTTGGGCTGCTGTGAGGAAGCACACAGGCTGGGCGGCTTGAACAACACATGTCCATCCTCTCCCAGTCCTGGAGGCTGGAAGCCCAAGGCCGCAGTGTTGGCAGGCTGGGTTCCTCCTGAGGCCTCACTCCTTGGCTCACAGATGCTGTCTACTCGCTGTCCTCATGTGGTCATCCCTCTCTGTGTATCTGTGTCCTAATCTCTTCTTAGAAGGACATAGTGGTATTGGGTGAGGGTCCACCCAGTTACCTCATTTAACCTTAACGACCTCTTTACATACCTTGTCTCCAAATACAGCCCCGTTCTGAGGTGCCAGGGTTAGGACGACAACAGATGAATTTTGGGGGGCACACAATTCAGCCCATAACAAATACTGAAGGCTTCTCAGTGGCTCCCTTGAATTGTCTGTGTGTGAATAATATCATCTATAAGTAATGGTAATGCTATTTCCCCCTTTCTAATACTCTATGAAGAAAAATCATTTCTTTTCCTTTTTTTTTTTTTTTGAGACAGAGTCTCAAGCTATCACTCAGGCTGGAGTGCAGTGGCACGATCTCGGCTCACTGCAACCTCTGCCTCCCGGGTTCAAGCGATTCTCCTGCCTCGGCCTCGTGAGTAGCTGGGACTACAAGCGCGTGCCACCATGCCCAGCTAATTTGTGTATTTTTAGTAGAGATGGGGTTTGGCCATGTTGGCCAGTCTGGTCTCCAACTCCTGACCTCAGGTGATCCATCTGCCCCAGCCTACCAACATGCTGGGATTATAGGTGTGAGCCACCATGACCGGCCAGAAAAATAATTTCTAAACAACCTTGTAAATAAGGCAAAAGAGTGGCTACCGTCCTTTCCCTGGCATCTTGGAGCAGGGTCTAACCAGCCCGCCAGAAGAGTGTGTAATTCTTTGTGGGGATGTGTCTATATTTGACACAGCTGTTTACTGAGCAGTGCCAGGACTTTGTGAAGTTACCCGTTAACTTGTAGGTTTCATTAACATGGAGGTTTCGCTCAGCAGGGATGCAAATGACTCCTGACTCTTAGCAAAGTGAACGCCAGACCTGCACTATTATTGCCCGGTGCGACATCAACCAACACTAGTTCTAACCTTGCAATCTTAGTTCCACATTCTCTTCTCATTGCTTGTAAATATAAGCATCTCTTAAAGCGCTCTTTGAGAGCTTTGCCATCTGTTGGTTCTCCCGTTCATGAGTTAAATAAACCTTTGACACGTGCCCACTGTTTATTTGTAGGAGCGTCTTTCCTTAAATCATTCTCTGGCAGATTATACATGCATCCTGTGTTTAAGGCTAACCCAAGGAGCATTGATTTGACTCTGAAATTATAGCTGCATTTGTTTCTGGAATAATTTTCTTTAAGCGTTGTAACAATCCCTTACGATTCACAGATTCCACGTGTCCCCCGGTTGGGCGCTATGCTGTACCTGTGTCCCAGGAAAGCAGACATACTCTTACTGGTGAGCTTCTCTTGTTCATGTTTGGTCTTGGTAACCCCTCTCAGCTAGTGACCTTGCTGCCTTGGCCTGAGCCCGGTGAACGCTGCAACATGGCGGACTCAATGGCGTTTATTCCACTGTGTGAAACGGCTTTCTTCTACTTATTTATTATTATTTTTTTTTACCACAGTAAATCTTTTTGACCTGCGTTGGCTGGTGGCAGGTGTGTGGGAGATGGTGTTGGATCCCGTGCAGGAGACGCAGAGCAGGAGGCTGGAGGAGGAGGGCAGAGCTCTGGGGACTCTACCGCATGGAGAGGAATGACAATGGGTCCAGAGGGTAGGGATGGGCAGGTGCAGAGGGGATGGCGGCAGAAGGCAGAGTAGCCATCACTGGCCAACCGCTTCTTCCACACCTCTCAATCTCCAGGCACGGCCAGACCTCAGGACAGAAGAGGTCAGATCTGCCAGGGCACGTGAACATTGGGGAGGCCGTGGAGTCCCAGGGTGACTGCAGCTCCCCTAAGAGCCTGCTGCCCACGAGGTGGCCTCTCTGCACTCCCCAATTCCAGGGGTTATCTGTGACCCCTCTCCTCTCCTGCCTCCTTTCTTGCTCTCTCCCCTCTCAGCTCTCTCCTACTGTGTCGGCCACGTCTTAAAGTCAGTGGTAGACGCAGTAGAGGTGAAGGTGGTTCATGACTCCAGTACGGCATGAAACATGGCTTTCCTCTTTGGTTTCTGAGAACTGTGCACTGTGGGGTGAGCATTTACACAGAAGCTCTTGCTGTTTTCCTTCTCTATTGTGGGCTCAGAAATGAGAATGAACAGGGTCCCAAAGGGCACCTCTCTGTTGTCCCCTCCCTTTCTCCAGATCCCTCACAGGGCCTGCTCCATGCCCAGAGGACTCTGGGTCTCCACCAGGAGAATTGTAGACCCTCTGGGGAGGATCGGGATGGTCTGAAGAGGCTGCTGGGAAGCAACCTGCCAGCTTCAGGGCTCAGGCGTCTTGTCCAAGATCTCAGAGGGTGTCACCAGCAGAGGGAACAAAGCCAGGAGGTGGCACTTTTCCTGGTCACCCTCATCCCAGGCTGCCTCACACAGGTGCCAGGGTCAGGCTGAGGGCCTAGGGGAGGTCCATCTCCCTCTGACTCCCTTCTCCTTCCCCCCTTCCATGTGCCCCTGAAATTGCATGAGGCCTGAATGGATAATTAGGAATAATCCCTCAATTTTAAGGCCAGCTCCTGAGCAACCTGCATTCCCCTTTGCTATGCATCCCAACCTACTTCCAGGTTCAGGGATTGGGACGTGGACGTCTCTGGGGAGAGGCATTATTCTTCCCGCCACATAAGCACAGAAACCAGCAAAGGCAACATCATTAACTGTGATGGGTGCTGTGGAAACGATAAGCTTGGTGTCCTGAAAAAGCCACAGACAGGACATCGGGAGGGGCCGTTTGACACTGACGTGAAGACCCAGTGACTAGCTTCTTTCCGGGGTGGGTGCTCCAGCACAGAGATATTTGGAAGATGGTGATCCAGAGCCCCGGTTAGGAGTGTGGCTGTTATTTTAAGCACAGGTGTGAACCCCGCATGGTTCAAGTAGGAGAGTCACTGGGTCTGGTGTTCATTTCTCTCTGGCTGTGGGTAGAGAACAGACTGCTGGGGACAAAGGCTCAGTACGTGGTGCTGCGAAAGCTCATAACAAGCGGTAAACTTGACCTGGTCAAAGGCCAGGAGCAGCCTCCTGGAAAGAAGGTGCATAAATAGGAGTTAATGAACTGGAGAAGAGAGGATAAGAGTTCTTGGCAGCAGGACTGGAAGAAGAAAAGGGAGCAAGGCCTGTGGAATGCATGTAGGAGGTGCAGAGAAGGGATGAAGAAGGTGTGAAGGAGGATGAAGAAGGCATGAAAAAGGCATGTAGAAGGCATGAAGAAGGTGTGAGGAAGACATGTAGGTCTGAAGGAGGCGTGAAGAAGACATGAAAAAGGCATGTATTAATAGAAGGTGTAAAGAAGGTGTGAAGGAGGGATGCAGAAGGTGTGAAGGAGGCATGTAGAAGGCATGTGGAAAGCATAAAGAAGGTGTGAAGGAGGCATGAAGAAGGCATGTAGAAGTCTGAAGGAGGCATGAAGAAGGTATAAAAAAGCATATATTAATAGAAAGCTGAAGAAGGTGTGAATGAGGCATGAAGGAGGAATGTAGAAGGCATGCAGAAGGTGTGATGAAGGCATGAGGAAGGCATGTAGAAGGGGTGATGGAGGCATGAAGAAGGCATGTAGAAAGCATGAAGAAGGGGTAGTGGAGGCATGAAGAAGGCATGTAGAAGGTGTGAATGAGCCATGTAGAAGGCATGTAGAAGGTGTAATGAAGGCATGAATAAGGCATGTAGAAGGTGTAATGAAGGCATGAAGATGGCATATAGAAGGTGTAGTGGAGGCATGAAGAAGGCATGTAGACAGCATAATGAAGGTGTGACAGAGGCATGAAGAAGGCATGTAAAAAGCATAAAGAAGGTGCGAAGGAGGCATGAAGGCATGTAGAAAGCATAAAGGAGGTGTGAAGGAGGCATGAAGAAGGCATATAGAAGCCTGAAGGAGGTGTGAAGAAGGCATAAAAAAGCATGTATTAATAGAAGGCGGAAGAAGGTGTGAAGGAGGCATGAAGAAGGCATGAAGAAGGCATGTAGAAGGTGTGGAGGCATAAAGAAGGCATGTAGAAGGTGTGGTGGAGACATGAAGGCAGGTTGAAGGTGTGATGGAGGCATGAAGAAGGCATGCAGAAGGCATGTAGGAGTGATGGAGGCATGAAGAAGGCATGTAGAAGGCATAAAGAATGTGTGAAGGAGGCATGAAGAAGCCATTTAGAAGGCATGTGGAAGGTGTGAAGAAGGCTGGGAAGGAAGGGAACACAGCTGGAATGGAGAGTGGGGGAGCATGGTGCCAAAGGAGGCTGGAGACCCCACAGGGCTGGCAGGACAGGTGCAGTGCAAGCTTGTCCCGGTTTCCAGGGGACGAAGCCGACAGGATGGGGCTGGCTTCTTGAGCAGGTCATGTGGCTGTGGCATGGGAAACTGACGGCAGCAATGTTAGGAGAAAGAGCGCGGCCAAGGTGAGGGAAGATGGGAGCTTGTGTTGAGGAGCAGGCAGTGGAGATGAAGAGAGACAGGCAAATGGGAGAAGAATAAATCAGGAGCTGAAGTGAGAGGATTCGGTGTTGGATTAGCTGTGGGAGGGTGTGTGAGGAGGGTGTGTGTTGAGGCTGACTCGTGCCCCACCTGGCTCAGAGCACTGGACACCTGGACTGTGGTCCTAAAGGACCACATCGAAGGTGGGAGGTGATGGTGAAGGTACAGCGGGGGTGGCAGGCAATTCAGTTGGGGACATCAAGTTTGAGGTGCTTTTGTAACATTGAGCGGGGTTTGGGTAGTCGGGTCTGGAGCTCACAGGAGACTGGACTAAACGTAGAACCTGGAGTACCACGCATGTGGTGCTGATGGAAGCCACAGGGCTGAGTGAGCTTCCCTGGGGAGGGAAGGCAGAGTGGGAAATGGAGATGGCCCAGGCTGGCCCTGGAGGAGCAGCTCCACTGGTGCCAGGGGCAAGAGAGCCAGCTTTGCCAGGGAGCCGAGGAGAGGCCTGGGGTGGCAGGGGGCTTGGTCTGAGTGTGGCTGTGGACGATGTGGGTGGACAGTGCTTCCAGAAGGAAGGTATAGGCACCAGGTTTGGAGATAAGGACTGGAAACATCTCTGACTCAGGAGCTGGGCGGCTTGAGAGTGTCAGGGGCCTCTCCATGGAGTTGTGAGGCAGACATTAGATTGGTATGAGAAGGAAGAGACTGGAGAGTGATCAGGAGCTTCTCTTTCCAGAGGTTTGGCCGTGAGGGAAAGTAGAGGGCCCAGATGTGCCTGGTGGGGAATGCGGGGTGAAAAGAGGGTTTCATGTAAAAGCCAGGAGGAGAAGCACGTTGCAGGAAGTTGTAGAATCTGCAAAGTGAGAGGAGTGATTCGGCATAGAGACGTGAAGCTTGTGGCTTACTGAGGCTGCCCGTTCCACTCCCAGACAGTTCATGCCTTAGGCTTCCTTTACAGCAAGTAAGACAACTGCCACCCCCGCCCCTTCTCACCACCAGTCCTGGTTTTCCACCATGAGAACAAAAGCAGGCCCCACGGGACAAGAGAAATCCCTTTTTCCCAGGATACAGACCCAAGATCCCCAACCATTCTTTATAGGATGCCCTGTTATCTTTTTTTTTTTTAAAGCATTTTCCATTTTCAGCCCATTTTTTTTTAAACTGATGGAGCTTTAAGTCATCAATTTTCCTTGAATAACCACAGGGACATTGGAGGAACATTCCAGCAACAGGCATGATTCTCCTTGTGGGGTCGACGAGCACATATTTGGTTTGTTGGTTCCAATTTTCCTGGTTCTGAATAAATTGCTGACTTTTGGCATACCTAATAACTGATAGTCAGCACCTATTCCAAATTTTCACAGCAACTAATTACGTTTCTAAAGCACTTCCCTGATAAACTCCAGAAAGTGCTTGTGCCTGGGCAAAGCGGAAACCCTGAAAGGCTGGATGCACCGGCCAGACCCGTTTGGCCCAACAAGAGGACCCAAGGGGGTTACCTGGGCCGGAGCGCAACGCCGTGGATCTGCACCCCTTGTTCTCTCACCAGCAAATCGTGGGGTGTCAGTGAGGTTGGAGGTCATCCAAGCTGACGCCCATTTATAGACAAGAAGTGTGGCTCCAGGTTAACTCCCCACCCCGGCCCCCGAGTTGGAAATGGAGCCTGGTCCTTCCAGGGTCCTGAGAACGGCATTCCTGTGGGTCTCATCTGTGTGCAGTTCTCTGCCCTGCAGGTCTCACCTGTGGTTCTCTAGCTTCTGAACCTGGAGTTAAACCGCAGGAGGGCAGGTCTCAGCCACAGGGTTCCTGCTTGGCTGTCAGTGCCTTGTCCTGTACAAGCATGCTCCAAGAGCTCGCTGAATATCGCTGGACGCATGGAGAAACAAAGTTGGGGTGGGATGATTCCTGTGCATGCTTGTTTTCCCTGCAGCAGATGGAATATATTTCCAGAACCATCTGCTTAGAACAATCAACGTTTCCAATGACCCATAGCCAATGTGCCTAGAATTCCTTGGCTATTCCCTGATCTGATAATTGGGACAAAACCAAGTGAACACCCCGTAAGACAGTCCTACCTGCCCTTGCTGCTTTCCACCACCGTATCAAGGTCACAGATTCATTTAAACAATCCCAAAGGGCACACGACCTCAATTTTTATAATTTCCTTACTGAAATTCAAGAGAAACTTCCTAGCTGTTCCCCATTATCCTTTTGTTGCTTGGAAAAGTTAAAGTTTAAATGGCAATTCTCTTTAGAATTTAATATCTGTTCCCAAACATTCTCGGTTTAATTGCTAACTGATTCTTTAGAAAATTGAATTGCTATATTACATTGTTTTTATGCACCAATGGCCTGGGAAATGTTGGCAGCAGTCCTGCCAAAGATAACGACGTCTATGTATCAAGCTGTGAGTGCTTTATTAGAAAAGTTCCTAGCAAAGATTTTTCTTGTTTTTAATTTTTGCTGCTTTTAATTTTTATACCCAAGACTTGATTTGGATCAATAGATGTTAAAACCAGGATTTTAGTATCTAAGATTCTCTCCACCTTCCTTTAGAGCTGTTGCCACTTATCTTTTCAAACGTGTAAGGAGCATGGCCAAAAGACTGGGGTGACTTTGTGGTCGAAAGAGCATTGAAGTGGCTGAGACCCAGCCCCCAGCCCCACGCGCCCCACTGGGAGTCTCAGCCTTGGAGAGGTCGCCTCCCACCCTGAGACGTCAGGTCCTATCTGTAGCGTAAGGGGGTCACACGTGAGGACTGCCCGCATTTTCAGTCCAGGATTCCACCTGGATGAACCATTCATTACTTCCAGGAGAAAACACCTGTGGATGCTGTTCCAAAGGGCTAAGAGGAAGCAGTGCACAATAGACCGGGGCTGGCCACTTAGATACTCAGTGAATGTGGGGAACTGGCTTATTCTTCTGCCTCAAGGCAAATATAATGTCACTTTCCAAATTAAAACACCTCTCCTGGCTGCCTGACGTCAGCAGGTGCAATGCTCCGTAGGAGGGTGCGCTGAGCAAATGGCACCGAGTCCCCACCTTTCCTTGCAATGCCACTGGGGTGCCTGCCTCAAGAGGCTGAGTTGCCCGCCTCCCCCTGCCCCACACCTCCTGGAAATGGGCTGAACCTGTCCCTTACTCGACCCACAGAATGCAGGGAAGTGAGGCGTGCCAGTTCTGAGTGTAGGCGCCCAGGGCCTTGCAGCCCCATCGTGAGGACGAGCCGGGGTGAGCCTTCTGGAGATGAGAGGTCACCTGGAGAGGGTGAAACCACCCTAGACAGCTACCGACCAGAGGACCTGGCCAGGCTCAGTGAGAGCCCAGCAGAGATGAGGGAACTCTGCTGCAGATCAGCAGAACTGTTCGTCTCCTGGCGGATGTGCGAGAAATGACTCACGGTTGTTGTCTTAACCCACCGGGCTCTGGGGGCGTGTGCCACCCAGCACTAGCTCACCGACACACTGGGTGTCACAGACTCTGCTACTAGCTCCAGCTTCTGGTTTCTTCTCCTGCCAAACGTTTCCTACCTCCCACTCCCCCGAATCAAATCCTACCCTCTGGGCAAGCTCCGCTCCTAAGAGCCCCCGTTCTCTGTGCTGTGCCTCTCCCTTCTCGAGATGTCCCCTCTCTGACGTCCCCTCCCAGGTCTGCTTTCAAATCCATTCTCATTCTCCAGGAGGCTCCTCGGTGTCACCTCCTCATGGAAGGCCTCCCTTTCTGTCCAGCAGAACTGGCCAGCCCCTCACACAGCTGTTGTCTCCTGCTCACAGAGAGAAGACCGTTCAACTCTCCACTGGTCCTGATTTCTGTGTTTCCAGGCCGTCCTCTCTAGGCTGCAGTCTGGAGGGTAGGAACCACGTTGTACTCACTGTTGGATCCCTGTGACGTTGTGGGGCGTTCAGCAGGTGCTCAGAGCCTGGGGACTGTGGGACTCCTGGGTAGTGCTGGAGGCCCAGGGTTCCTCCGCAGTGATTCTTACAGGCCCCGCCGGGGTCCTGAGGTCTCCCCTTTCGAGGTGGCTGAGTGGCTGATGCAGGGGAGGAAGGCTGACCCAGGAAAGGACATCGGGGCTCTCGATGGCTTTTCTGAGGTTTTGTAGCTGCATCACTCACTTCTCTGGGCCTCAGCAGCTGTTGGGGTCACCCTGCACCCACCCTACGGTTCTCCATCCACCTTTTCACTCCTGTCATTGCTGCAGCAACCACCTGTGCACAGGTGAACCGACAGCCCCTCCTCTCATCAGCAACTCACAGCTCCCTTCTGGGGGTGCTTCCCTGCTGTGGATGTCCCCGCAGCCATGCAGCCATCTTCACACACCCAGCCCAAACAGGCTGGTGCCACCCTTACCCAGTGGGGTCCTGGAGCCAGAGGATAAATGAGCTTTTTGCCCCGTTGCAGCCTGCAGCACTGACCCTTGGACTTGTTTTCCCTCCTCCCTTGTTTTAATTTTCTCATTGCCCTGGGGTTGCTTCCCCAAATAGACAACTTACTCCCAAGCTTTATCTCCAGGACCCGGGGTTACCAAACACTGTGTCCAAGATGGCTGCTTAGGTCTCAGAGCCAGAGGAGGCCCAGGCACAGAGCAGGCAGTGCACGTGCTCTGGGGCCAGGTGCAAGGGATTCAGGTCCTGGCTTGGTCACCTCTGGGCAGGCCTGATTTCCCCAGCCTCGGTTTCCTCCTCTCTAAGGTGGGGACAACTCCTGGCTGATGTGAGACCTTGACTGCAAGTGTCCAGCTCTCTGTGCCACTGCAGCACTGCCTCTGGGTTCTGGGGATCCCGGGATGGGGGCTGTCCTGCTCCTTGTCACTGTCCTGCCCCCAGCACAGGGTCTGCACAGAATCAGCCTTCACACATCAGCAAGGGCTGAGTGAGTCCAGGGATGCGGCTGCTCCTGCTGGCCTCTGAGCACAGCCTTGGCTGGGAGTGGGGCCTGAGTGTGGCCACACAGCGACCACTGTGTCCTGGCCTAATGTTCTGAGGTCTCCATGTCTAGGCAGCAGTGTTTCAGCCATCAGGATCCAACTACCAATGACCTTTCTGGGTTTCCATTCTCCTGGCAACTCGAGCCATCATCCCTGTACTGGAATCTGCCACCTGCCGTGAACAGGGTGGAGGTGGGAGAGGTGCACATAGATGCTCTCCCTCCCTCCCCTGCCCCCCAAACTCTAACCTGGAAAATGGAAAAGAGAGAAATTACCCTTTTTTTTTAACCTAACTTGCTCCGTGACTGACTTAATTAAAAGGAGGATGAGGGCTGCCTGTCACAGGGAGGCTCCTGGGATGAGTGGGGGGCTCAACCCGGCATGGGTGAGCCTCTGATGGGAAGAGGGAGAAGAGGCCAGGGTCACCTGGCGTCCCTCAGAGCAGCCACCTGGAGGGAAGGTCACCCGGGCTCTTAGTCACATCTGTGGCCACCTCTGAAAACACCTAACTTCTTTTTACAAACTGGGAATGTCCACTGAGCTGGAGTTGTCTGTTGGAACTGTAACGTCCACTCCCAAGTGCTTCTCAAACTATTATATTTTGTTTAAAGAAGATTCTCTTCATCCAATATGCTTGTGAAAATAATGAGGTAAAGTATACATAACATAACGTTTTACCATCTTTGCCATTTTCTTTTATATTTTTTATTTTTATTTATTTATTTTTTTGAGACGGAGTCTCGCTCTGTCACCCAGGCTGGAGTGCAGTGGTATGATCTTGGCTCACTGCAAGCTCCGCCTCCCGGGCTCACGCCATTCTCCTGCCTCAGCCTCCCGAGTAGCTGGGACTACAGGCGCCCACCACCACGCCCGGCTAATTTTTTGTATTTTTAGTAGAGACGGGGTTTCATCATGCTAGCCAGTATGGTCTCGATCTCCTGACCTCGTGATCCGCCTGCCTTGGCCTCCCAAAGTGCTGGGATTACAGGTGTGAGCCACTGTGCCCGGCCCCATCTTTGCCATTGTCAAGTGCACTTTTCAGTGGCATTAAGCACGTTCACATTGCTGTACAACTGCCACCACCATCCAGCTCCAGAACTTTCCCTTCTTCCCAAACTGAGACTGCGTTATGAAACGCCCACTCCCCATTCCCTCCCTGGCAGCCTCCATTCTATTTTCTGTCTCTGGGGATCTGGCCCCTCTAGGGACCTCCTACAAGTGGAATCACCCAGTACTTGTCCTTCTTGTGTCTGGCCTCTTGCACTTGGCATCAGGTCCTCAAGGTTCATCCACAGCGTGGCAGGCATCAGAATCTCCTCCTCTGAGAGGCAGAGGGACATTCCATGGTACGGACGGATCGCATTTAGCTTGTCCACTCACCTGTTGATGGACACGGTTGCTTCCACCTTTTGGCACTTGAGGACGATGTGCTGAGAACAGGGGTGTGCAAATGTCTGTTTGAGTCTCAGCTTTCAGGTATTGTGGGTCTATACCTAGAAGTGGAATTGCTGGATCATAGGATAATCCCATGTTTAATTTTTGGAGGACCTGCCACACGGTTTCCCACAGCTGAGATGTGTGTGCGTGTGTTTTTAATTAGAGAAAGAAGCTGTGAATGTGTGATCTGGGGAATCGTATCAGCATGTGCTCTAAGCATGTGCATCCCTGAGTGGTTTTAATGTGAAAACAGTTACATATATTTTCTTCCCTCAGCTTGTGAAGAGCAGTTGCTGATTTCACAAGGTTAGGACATTTGCCATCTGATATTATAAGTGGAGTTTGAGGGAAGCCTGTGGACAGGAAGTGGATCTGGAGATGGGGATGCTGGGCACATGGCCTCCTTTCGAGAAGCCCCAACCTTTTAAAAATCAAGGTCATGTTTAAGTAATAATTCGCTGGGAGCAAAAGTCAGAAGGCATGAAAAGGATTCAATGGGAAGAAGCCTCTTTCTCCCAGCCCCATCCAATCACCCAGACACCTCCCTTCCCAGAAGCATCCGGTGATACCAGCCTCTTGTGCCCCTTCCAGATCGATCTAAGCAGGTGCAATCGAGAATGTACATACTTTTCCTTTATTTTATTTTTTTTAACCACATATACAATACCCTATTATATACCTGGCTCGAAACTTTCATGGTGAACTTGGAAGATTTGTTTCTATCAGTTCATAAAGAGCTACCCTGTTCTAAGAGTTGCATAGCTCTCCATTATCTGTCAATCATTTTAAGGAAAAATATTCTTTAAATATGATGTTTCTGATTGTAATGAGGACCGAGGCTCTAGTTGCCTGACGCTTGGAGAAAGCAACTGAATAGCTCAAAAGCAGCTTCTGGGAAGGCTTTTCTTGGGAAAATTGCCTTGAAATATAGCTTTAAAAACCTTTTTATTGAAATACATATTTTTATTGGAATATAGTTTAATGCAGAAAAAAAAGCATGTATCGTAAGTGTATAGTTTGCTGAAATTTTATAGCCTGAACATCTGTGAAGGTGACATTCCCGTATGAAAAAGGGCATGATCAGCACCCCAAAGCTAGATATTTTTGGGGAGTTCTCCGGCCTGATTGATGTCTGAAACACTGAAACTTCAGCCCCAGGCCAGGCTTGTTTGGTTCCTGAGGTATTTGGGGAGCCAAGGATCAACTGATCTGAGGTCTTCTGCAGGCAGGACTGGGATGCTGGCTTCCAGGAGGAAACAGGCCCTGGTGTGTGGGCCCCACCCTCTCCCAAGAGCTGCTCTGGAATTTCCTAGCTGTGTGGTCTCAAGAATATTACTTACCGGCCCTGGGCCTCTGTTTTCTCATCTATAACATGGGAGTAACCATGGGTGGCAGGGTGCCAAGCCCCTGCTAATATCTCCCTGAAAGAGACATCACACTGTCCTGCCTGTCAAAGTCAGGCTTCTAATGAAGCCCTCCTCAGGGTCATCTTGAACAAGCTCAGGGACAGAAGCGGATGCCCTGGGAAGCTCTTAGAAGGGTCCGTGACCCAGAGTCCTCTGCCTCCCGAATCCCTCCCTGAGTTCTGATGCCGGTGTTGGGCAGGGCCTTCTCATCCCTGCAGGGCTGAGAGCAGAAGGTGGAGGGGAACCTGTGGTTATGAAGCATGGTAGGGCTGATCTGGGCTGATCTGGGCTGACCTCAGTTGTCCAGGGCAGGTCCTGTCTGCTGTATCGCTGTCCCCTGGCCCCCACTGTGGAGTGGCCCCAGGTCTCAGGCCCCCCTGACTAACTCAAACCTCTGGCATGTTGGCACCTTGCCCTGGCTGTCTCCAGCTGGCACCTCCCTGCTGCAAGCGTGGCCCCCACCCACTTCACTCTCACCCTGCCCCTTGGCTGCCGCCCTCATGCCCTGCCCCTTCAGGCTCCAGAAATCAGCTTTTCAGCTCTTTTTTTTCCTGGGAAGACTCAGGGTGAGCTGGAATTCCCCAGAGATTAGTTAAAAAAACATCAAAGCGCACTTTGTGCTCTGGTCAACATCTGGCTGTGCAGCTGCTGTCAGCCCGACGTTGCCAAACAACTGGGGGCTTGACTTGGAATGCGCCGCGGGTCAAACGCTGCCAGGCCTGGGCTGTGCTTGGAGCAGAGGTGAATCCAAAGTCAGCAGGTGGGGGGTTTCCCTGGGCAGGGAGACCCTCTGTGGCCCTCCTGCATTGCTGTTGGTACTGGGTCAAAGGGCCGGGGCACGTGTCCCCCAGGACTGAGATGCTCAGATAAATTGTAGGTTGGGGAGATGGTGCAGATGTCGGGATCAGAGCTGGAGGGAGGGTGACCCCAGGCACCAGGACATGGTGGACAGGACTTTCCCCACCCTTTCGAAAGCCTCTGGCGAACCCTAACCAAGTTCCTCATGGTAGGAAACAGGAAGAGCCAGGGGCCCTTTTGGAAACCCAATAGGAAAGCAAAAATCCTGGGTGGGTGAGGCCCCCTTGCCTCCACATTAAAGGGGCAGTGGTGGGACAGCAAGGCCCTGTGCGGGACAAGGACCCTGATGTGGCTGAAGAGTCTGGATGCAGATGACAAAGCTCTAAGCTCCCAGGAGAGTGAGGTGGACAGGCCCCCAGCCCAGCAATGACCTGGGGCCGATCAGCCAAGCCCTCAGAGTCCATTGTCACACAACACAGGCTGACGACACCCTTGGGTGGGTGAGGGTGAGCTGTGCAAATGTCCATGGAAGGGCTGTGGCATCTGCCACACCGTGCAATTGTTGAATGTCACAGTGTTAACTGGGGCCACTGAGCAACCAACGCAGAGCCCTCTGCATCCCAGAGGGCTGCTCCAAGAGGACGCTGTGCCACATAGTAGGCAGGGCAGCCCCACACTGCAAGGACGCTCAGCGAGAGCCACACCGGCACATCCGCCAGCCTTCATCTCTGTGTCCTGCCGCTGCTGCTGTCTCTGGCACCAGCGCCACATTGTATGGGAGAAGCAAACTGACTCCACTTTCTCTGGTTTTGTCTAGCCTGGGATGATAAAGCAAAAATCTGACTTTCAGCTCGCTAGAGGCGACTGGAAGCCTGCTCTGGGTTGGGGAGGTTCTCAGCTTATCTCAGCACAGGGGACTTGGCATCCACAGGAGGTAGGGGAACTGGGCTGCCAGCCCCGTGCCCTGATTCTATTGCTGCGTGACAAACCAGGCCAGACTTCAGTGGCTGGAAACAGAGGGAGCTTGGATTTGCTCTTAAACCTGAAGTTTGGGCAGGGCTTGGAGAGGGCAGCTCACCTCTGTTGCACTCAGTCGGGGTGACGTGGAGGCTAGGGGCCAGGATGGCTGGAGACTCAGTCACTCACTGGTCTGGGGTTTGATCCCAGCTGCTGGCCAAGGCCTTCCCTGGAGCTTCACTGGGGAATCTGCATCACTCTCCGTGCAGCCTGGGCTTCCTCCCAACATGGCGGCCGGGTTCCCATGCGGAGCCTCCTGCAGGAGAGCTGTGAGTGGAAGCCACATGACCTTTTATGCCCCAGCCTTCCTAACCACACAGTCATTTCCAGCCTGTTCTACACTGAGGCAGTCACAATGGCTGCCCCAAGCTTAAAGGGAGGGGACTTGGATTCCACCCCTTGGTGTGGGGAGTGCAGAAAGTTACTGAAAAAACAGGTGGAATAAAAAATACTGCTGTGGTTATTTTTGAAAATAGCTTCTGCCCTGTTTCCCCAGGTCACTCAGCCAGTGGCCATGAGCTGCCCTGGAGGGACATGAACTCCCAGGGACTTCAGCTGGGAAAAGTAGCTCTGGTGGTCCAAGGTCAGTGGTGTGGGGTATTCTCAGCAAAAGCACAGGGAAGTTGGGGAAGGGGCTCAGAACCCCTCACAGGGACCTGGGGGCTCTGGGCAGAGCACTGATGGCTTCTGCTACGGGGTAATCACACTCGATACAAATGGATCAGACAATTGTCCTGCCCCTTGTGTCTCATGATCACAAGCAGGAAGGGTGAACCCGGTGTCTCCGTGCTTCCGGGAAAGTTGGTGAAGGAAAATACAAACTCAAGAATGGCCAGAGCGTCATTTCTCAAAGGCAGCCAGCGCTACCCCATGTGTCTACTCCAAATCTTAGGTCTCTGACCTCCAAGTCCAAAGCTCAGCCGCCTGCCTTACATCATGCCACCCCTTGTCCATAACTTGACTTTGGTCCTGCAGGGGTTGGAAATGCACCATTTTGTGTACATGCTGGTCCTCATGCATGTAAAGTGAGGATGCCTGATTATCCACTGAATATCTTGTTTAAATAAAGTTTTGCTAATACCTATGTAGATATACTTCAAGATCTTTGTTGGGCCACTAAGATTGGTGTTTGGGTGTAGAGACTGGGGAAGCAACAGGAAAGATTTATTTTTAAGGATGAGCAAGGGATTCCTGGAAGGTCGCCTAAGAGAGCTCCAGATTGTCCTCCTTGAAGCTGCAGCAGGAAGCGGGTTTTATATGTTTGTTGTGTCTGCGTCATGGGATAGACTTTTCTACTGTAAAATGAGATTTTTTATGCTATGCTAAACACAGATGTTTTTCTCCTCCCGCCAACACTTCACAGGCATAGGGACCCCTCCCAATGTCACTGTGAGCTGTGAGCACTGAGATGGCTCCGAAGGCAGGAAGAGAGCTCGCTGGAAGTCCCAGGGGAGCAGGGAGAGAGCCAGGTGCCGCCCAGATGCTACACATGCCCTGTGGCTCTGCAGGGCGTTCTCTGGAAGAGTCAGGCCTCCTCCAGCTCCACCAGCATCATGGAGGCTGCTAAGCTGCCTCAGTTTCCCCAGTGCAGCTGTGACATGGGCCTGAAGGGACGTGGAGAGAGGCAGCTGATGTCTCCGCGCTGGCTGTGTCACTTGTGCTGGGTGGTGACCAGGGGCCACACCCCCATCCAGTCACATTAACTTACATGAAAACCTCCAGGTGATGCCTCCAGGGGCCACTAGGCTCCCTCAGGTCCCTGGACCAAGGCTGTGACCTACACAGATAGATTCTGCCAATTTCTCCTTGAGGGTCATGATGCTCTCCTCCTGGTCCATCTCAGAGTCTTCACTGGAGAAAGAAGTTTCCATCTACAAAGTGTGCTCCATGGAGACATGGCTCACCTCATTCCAGACTTCCATCTCCTTGGAAAAGTGACAAAGGATCTCAGAGGTAGGAGAAAGGCCCTGAAATCCCAGCACAGGCACTCGGGCTATGAAGGGTAGGAGGAGCGGAGCTGGGAGCCTGGGCTTTGAGGCCTTGCGAAATCCCCCTGTGCCACCGCCCAGCCAGACACACGAGCAACCCACCAAGGGGCGGGTGGATGCGGCCTTGGAATTCAGAGTTCCCGTTTGTAGAAACGAAATGTTTATTTCATGATGCAGTTGGGGGTAGAAAATGGGGATAAATCTCTAATTTCTCAGATTTCCAGAAATCGGGATTTTCCCTAAGTACCCCTGGCCTTGAGCTAAATCCCGTCACTGTCTTGGGCTGTGTGCTGACGGGAGCCAGGGCCTTGTAAGGCCCAGACCCTCCTCCTTCTCTCCCGTATTAGTCAAGGTTCTCCAGAGAAATGGAGTTAGAGATGCATTGCTATAAGAAATGGAATGGGCTCGCATGATTACAGAGGCTGAGGGGTCCTACACCCTGTCGTCTGCAAGCTGGAAAGGCAGGAGAGTCTGTGCTGCAGCCCTAGCCAGAGCCTGGAGGCCCGAGAACCAGGCACGCCGACGACAGCACACTTCCAGCCTGAGAGCAAGAGAAGGTCAGTGTTCCAGCTCCAGCAGGCAGGCAGAGGGAGGGTTCTCTCTCCACCTTTGTGTTCTACTCAGGTCTTCAATGGGTTGGATGAGGCCCATCCACATTGCGAGGGCGTCTGCTTCACTGAATCCACCATCGTACCTGCTTCTCTTGGATGCCGTCCGATTGCAGAGACGCTGTTCCCTTGAGGGTTCCTGCCCCACCGTGTGTGCTGGTGCTAGGATGTCTGCCCTGGTCCAGCCCTGCACCCCTGAGTCAGAGGCTCTTACTCTGGGTTCAATTAAGAAGGTTATTTGGCCCCCACACAAAGCTAAGACTTTCACCTTGGCATTTGTTAGGAGTAAGTAATAATTTGAGTTCTATGTGTTTTATTCTTTATCTCATGTCCAACTTGTTCTGAACCTGCATGGGGAAGAGGTGCTCTTAGTATTAAGCACTCTCAAAGGCCCTCAGTTCCTGGAGTGAGGAACTTTGAGAAATAAGAGGTGATGGGGTGAGGAGGGCAGAACACACAGTGAGAGGGCTTCACTGGGCGCGACGTGTGGCTTTGGGCCTTTCGGCTTAGATTCCAAACAGCACGTTTGACCTTGAGGTCTGCAATGGTTCTCCTGGGTGAGGCCTGGACCCCTGTGGCCCGGGCATGAGACCTTGAGCTCAGGCCATGCCATGCCTGACCTTGAACCTTGCTGATCAAGGCTTCGCCCACAGGCGAGGGGTATTCCAGGGAAGCAGGAAGTGTGCAGCAGGCACTGACCAAAGATGTGCCGCCCTCTGCAGAGGGACGAGGGGCCAGGCTGGGCCTTAAGGAAGCCCTGACGTATGCCTATCCTGGTGACCTTGCTCCGGTGGCCACCCTGTCAGGGCCCCTGCAGCCAGATGGAGCCCAGCAGTGCAGAGGCCTCTTTTCAGAGGCAGGTGTGTCTAAGGCTAGCATTTGGTTAAAGAGGATGAAGGCTCTGCTGTACAGGCCTTTTAAACCCTAGGTGGATGTATATTAGTCTGTTTTCACACTACTAATGAAAACATACCCAAGACTGGGTAATTTATAAAGGAAAGAGGTTTAATGGGCTCACATTACCACATGGCTGGGGAGGCCTCTCAATCATGGCAGAAAGTGAATGAGGAGCAGAGTCACGTCTTACATGGTGGCAGGCAAGAGCGTTTGTGGAGGGGAACTCCCCTTTATAAAACCATCAGATCTCAAGAAACTAACTCACGACCATGAGAACAGTATGGGGGAAAATGCCCCCATGATTCAATTATCTCCACCTGGCTCCGCCCTTGACATCTGGGGATTATTACAATTCAAGGTGAGATTTGGGTGGGGACACAGCCAAACCCTATCAGTGGAGAAAGGCCTATTTGCTGCTTTTACTAAAGTTCCTCCTTTAGGTCTGTGGGCAGAGGTTTCACCCTGAGGCAGCTGCTCTTGTGTGCCTTAGAGAACCAGGAAGGTGCAGGACGCAGGTGGCCGTGTCAGGACAGGAGGCAGAGCAGACCAGCTGCCCTGCACTGCTCTCTGCACTCCAGCCTGGGAGGGCTGTGCACAGGGGGACTTCAATGTCTGTGCTTTGTCTCCCAGTTCTGGGTAATGCCCAGAGCGCAACTCCCAAGTTTGTTCTGGACTTGTTCATTGCAGAAGCTCCAAGCAGAGTCTGAATCTGTGTATTTTAGAGATCTAAAAAGTGGCTTCCTTCACAGGAGGGTGGAAGTTTCTAAATGTCACAGATAAGGAATCAGGGCCTCTTTATGAGGGGGCGGAGGGCTTCCCCTCTGCACTGAAGTGTCCTGATCTGTTACAATACAACTAGGTCCTGGATGAACAATGAAAAATACTTTTCAAACATTGCTGGAGTTGCAATAAAGTGAGTGAATGCCTAAAGAAAAGAGAAAAACAAGCAGTGAGTTGAGACGAGAAAGGTAAATAAGAAAACTGGGCCGGGCACAGTGGCTCACGCCTGTAATCCCAGCACTTTGGGAGGTCGAGGCGGGCGTATCACGAAGACAGGAATTCGAGACCAGCCTGGCCAACATGGTGAAACCCCGTCTCTACTAAAAATACAAAAATTAGCTGGGCATGGTGTCGGGCGCCTATAATCCCAGCTACTCGGGAGGCTGAGGCAGGAGAATCGCTTGAACCTGGGAAGCGGAGGTTGCAGTGAGCCGAGATCGTGCCACTGCACTCCAGCCTGGGCAACAAAAGCAAAACTCCGTCTCCAAAAAAAAAAAAAAGGAAAGAAAACTTTGGTTGCCCTGTGGAAACGCCGAAGAAGCCCTGGGCATAAGAAATGAAGTTTTAGGCCTGCAGTTCGTGTGTCAAACCAGGTCTCAGAGAGGCCTACAGCGTGGGCAGAGCCTGAGGCCCCAGAAGAGCCCAGAGGGCAACCTCTTTGAGAGGTGAACCTGTGACTTAGGGTCTCTGGGTTCCTGCAGACTCACTTTGGCCAAAGCTGAACTCATAATCACAAACCAGAAAGCACGCAAAGAAATCACCTAAAATGAGTTGGAGTCTGTATAAACGAAAAGAAAAAGCACAGAATCCAGTAGATATGTACCCTCCAGCACTTAAGAAATTAACATCATCAGATATACAATGTAAAATAACTACCTGTGCAATGCCTAGGAAGTAAAATAAAAGAAAGGAAAAGAAAGCAACAGAGGCCATCGGAAGCACCCATGCAGAGAGGAAAGGGTGCCGCACAGAACACAGCCTGAGGCCCTGGGGTTCTGGAGTCAAGTGCCAGTTCACCGCCCAGGCCTCCCCAGGGCCAAGTCTGTGTCTCAGCTCCAGGCACTGCCTCCTCTGTTCCCTGGATACCGGGCACTTGGAAGCCCCCACTGTGGACCTAGCATAGCCCACACTGTGGGAATCATCTGCTGGGCCTACTCTCTGCACTGGCACCTTCACCTTGCTGGGATCTGGGGCGTTTGTGCCTGCTGGGTGGCACCTCCGGGGTAGGACTGGAGGGTGCCGACTACCCCTCACTGGCCCGCCTTTGGTGTAGTCGCCCAGCCATTGCCGCCTGCCAGCATCACTGTCTCGGCGAGCGGATTGGACGAAGGCTTCCCCATGCTGTGGATTCCTTCCAGTCCCCGGGCATGCTTGGCCCATCTGGGTGAAGTCAAGGAGCTCTGACTCCGAGTTGGATTTGGGAGAGGCTTGGCTCCCATTCGCAGGGATTCGGTACCTGCTGCCCCTTCGCAGTCCATCCTGCCGGCTGTCATCTGCTCCTCGGCCGTGTCATCAGCCTCCTCCTCGGTGGGGGACCTTTCTGAGCTCCTCCCCAAGGTCTGCAGGCAGCTCCTCACGTGACAACACTGCAGAGTCTCCCACCTCCCAGCCACCCTGGAAAGGAGCTCACAGGGTTCTGCGCTGATGCTGGGGAAGTTTGGGCTGGTTCTGAGTGAGGGATGGGATAAGGCAGGGGCTGGTTCTGAGTGAGGGATGGGATAAGGCGGGGGCTGGTTCTGAGTGAGGGATGGGATAAGGCGGGGAGCAGGGAGCCAGGTGAGGGGCTTTGGGTGGTGCGTTCACAGTAGAGTCTTGTGAATTTGGCCTTCTCACCTGGTCCTGGAGAGGGAAGGCAGCCTGCAGTGTTTTCTCCAGGAGTGAACGTTCTCAGCATTCCATTTGTTGGCTTGATCACCAAGGAGGAAATCTTCCGAGTTTCTTCTGGGCCAACTTTTATCACTAATCTGCAGAAAGCTCTGAATGGACGCTTTTTGCTCTTTTTTCATTATGGTTATTGGAGCTGTGAACAGGAGCAGCTCTACATACTTTTTGCTTCTCACTAAGTACCATGAGTAGGGTGACTATTGTAATAGAAACATGTACAAGAAATTATAACTAGGACTATTGGCTGTTTTAAAATCAAGGCAACATTAGTTAACATTTCTCAAATTTTAGTTCTGCAGATTATAAAATTAATGTAAACTTTTTGTAGAAAGTTTGGAAAGCATAGACAATCTAAAAGAAGCTGGAAAATATCACTCATGACGCACCCTCCCCTCCGCCCCCCATTCAAGCAGGAAGCCCCATTAGCATTCGATCTCTGTCCTTCCTGCACATTCCTGCAGCGTAAGTGGGGTCTTTTCTTTTCATAATTGAGTTTGTGATGCAAATGTATGTGGATCACGCTTTTCACTTTCTTTTTCTTAACGGGATAGGTTTTTTTACCCTCATGTCACTAAAATCCTCCCTCCATGATTGTTTAAAATGGGTTTGTGAGTTCTTGTTATGAATGGATTACTTATTCAACAATTCCCTAAATAAAGGGATCATCTAATTATTTTCAGTTTTTCACTATTGTAAATCCTATAGTGGTAAGTATCTTTTAAAATATATTTTGGTGTTTTTTTTCCCACAGGTTCTCAAGATTTGGAAATAATTTTAAAATAAAAATAATGTGAAATATATTTTGGTTTGCATTTCAGATTCTTTCCTGAAGTTGGACAGTTTGGCCATGTTCAAGCCTCTGAATTCTTCCATAGAATTGTCTTCTGGAAATCATGCCACAGTAATTTAAGTCTCCCCGGCTGTATGTGTGAGGACTTCTTACCCTCTTGGGCATGGAGGGGTTAGCATGTTTGGTAGCCATTCTAGTCATAGTAGGTTGACAGTTGAGTGTTTCCTAGATCTTTCCAAGTAGACCAGCATGACTATGGAAGAGGCCCTGAAGGTCCCACCCCGACACGCCAGTCCGAAGGGCCCTTGCCTGGGCACCCTGCACCTTCCCCTGGACCTGCTGATGCGCCTGGCTGGGGGAATGCGGGCCTTCGCGTTGGTTCCACCTCCAGCTTCCATGACTGTGGAGTTCTGCAGTGGGTTCATTGAGAAAGTGGTGGTGAGACCAGGGTATCTGAGAGGAGTGGTCGGCAGGGAGATGAGACAAGTGTGGAGACCAGGCAGATGGAAGGCGCATGTCTGGAGGGTGTGAGAGCTGCCAGGTGGGTGTCTGCAGGGTCTTGCAGAGTCGCTCAGCCGCAGGTGGGGCGGCTCTGGAGACCCTATCAGCACATTCCAGAGAGTGGCAGACCCCACGGCCAGGCATGGACTGATGAGCAGGACTGTCCTCCACTGTCCAGACAACAGCACAGATGAAACCCAGGAGCGCCTGGGACGGTGCTGTGAGCCCTGCACATCCACGGAGTCTCTCAGATGAAACCACACGGGTGTCACAGTGACGCTCTCTCCCCTCAGAGGCTGCCGACCCCTCGCTGGGCTGCTGGACTGCTCAGGGCCGGCCCTTGAAGCCTGGAGGGAGCCATGGGTCTGTGTGTACACATGTGTGTGCCCGTGAGTGAGTCTATGTGTGATCTCTGAAAATGAAGCTTCCACATTACCAATGCCTGGAGAATCCAGAACTGGGACTCCCAGGTAACTGAGGGCCTGGGTCCCAAAGCTGGTGGCTGAAGCTGGCTGCTCCGAGGCATGCGTGGCAGGAAGGGGTCATCAGGAGGGCCACCCAAGGCCCCGGGCACCTCTGATGGGTTTCCAGAGTCCCTGCCCTCACGAGAGGGAAGTCAGTTGGAGAATGGGGTGCTGAAGTCTCGAGAGAAAGGTGTCCTTGACTCGGGGTCCAGAGTAAGCAGCTTCTGCCCCCCATATCACGTGGCTAGTGGCTTGTCCTGACTGTGCCCCACGTGTCATGGCAAAGTTTCGACACCCACTTTGGAGATGTCTTGACAGAGGCCAGCGTCAGGCTCCCGTTCTTCCACACGCTGGAAGCTGCTGCACAGCGGGCTCAGAGCCTGGGCTCAGGAGGCATCCCGGTTACTGTTGCTGTATCCTGGAGGGTGGCATCTCCTGGGAGCTGTGGTCCGAGCCCCTTGCAACAGCGGGGCCAGGAGAAGGCTGGTTGCTGGGTGCATCCTGTTCTTGGGGTTCCACCTGCTGTATCCATCTCCCGGGGGATTTTCCGTCGCCGTCCTTGGTTCCAGCACATGCCCTGAGTGGTAATGCCGATTCCTGCCTGTGCTGCCGACTTGGTGCGGGGAGCCTGTGGCTGCTCTGTCAGGTGGTTGGCCCCGATGGCTCCATGGGTGGCCCCCGCCCAGGCATCTCATGGAGGGACTCTGCCTACGTCACTGGCCGCCAGTCCTGGGGGACACCGTGTGCATTTGCACATGAACCATGATGGGAACCTGGGGGACGGGTCTCAGGCTGAGAAAGGTTCCCCTGGGCTTCAAGGTAAATCATAAAGCGAGGTAATTTCCTATAAGTGTCAGAGGACACTGTAACTGTCCCTTCTGAGCAGGACATTGTTGTGGTTGTCTGTCTTCCCTTTTGTCTTCTGCCTGTGGGATTATCTAGATTCTGAGCAGGTAAATTGTTTCAGGCTCTGGCCTTCTCAGAGCCTTTCTGTGGCTGTAGGTTGTGGGGAGGGCACCATGGTAGTTGCCCCTGCTTCATTCACTCAGAGCCACTGACAGGGGCCCCCCAACCTGCTCGGAGCCCTCCAGGGGCAGGCACTGTCCCTGCTGCCCCCCTGCTGCCCTGAACATCTCCCCAGCCCCACAGCTGACCCACCCTTTCAGGGTAACAGTGCAGCTGCGGGGGCAGCCCCCTCCAGCCCTTCCTTGGTCAGCCTCCCTGCTGCTGGCCCTTCCTGGAGACGTGATTTGCCCTAGAAGTGGCAGGTGTGTGTGGCTCATGCCCTCACTGTAAGGCTGTGCCAAGGCAGTGCCACCTTGGGAAAAATCAAAACCCCATACCAGCTCCTCCCAGTCCATGCCAGCACACACCCTGGCTCCTCAGAACCCCCCACAGAAGCAGGCAAGGAATCAAAAACTCAAGTCTGCAGGAAGCCAGGCAGGGATGGAGGAGGGGTATACTGTCACAGGTGAGAGGGTCCCAGAAGCCTTTCTGGAGGAGGTGACTTCAGGCTGGATTTGGAGGGGCAACTTAACAAGCAGACAGGTGGGTGGAGACGCTCCAGCAGAGGAAATGGCATGGAGTGTCCAGGAGCCCACGAATCAGCTGGCATTGTTGAATCATGGAGAACGCAGAGACGGTCTCAGAAGTCGGCCGGAGCCTGAGTCATTGGGCCACGCGGCTTCAGTCCTTCCTTGCAGCCTGTGGGGAGTCTCAGGGGAATTCTGAGGAGGAAAGGGGGATGCTCATGATAGGTATTTATTGTTTTTGTTTGTTTGTTTTTAATCACTTATTTTCACAAGTGTAATCGAAGCACCTGGTTGTGAGTCCAGGAGAGTAAAACATTTAGCCCTCGCCCCTCCCATCCATCACGGATTTTCTGACGCCTGCAGCAGGGTTCCTGCCAAAGGAAAACCCATTTATAGTCATATACTTCCGTGAACCTTTGATATAACCCAGTTATGTATCTAGAAACCTGCCTTTTCAAAAATATTAACCTGTCTATAAATGTAGTAAATGTTATATAAAATGCAATCATGTTTAAGAAGTTAACTATTGTTATATTAATTCGAGTTGAACAATTCAAATTCTCAACTTCATTTATAAACATAGTTAATTAAATTCCTTTATGCATATAAAACTGCATTTTCAAACTTTTTCATACATTTGATTTTCTCATTAAGAGCTTCAAATGCCCAATAGGGCAAATACAAAAGGCTAACAAGAAGGCTGGGCACGGTGGCTCATGCCTGAATCCCAGCACTTTGGGAGGCCGAGGTGGGCGGATCACTTGAAGTCAGGAGTTCAAGACCAGCCTGGCCAACACAGTAAAATCCCGTCTCTACTAAAAATGTAAAAATTAACTGGGTGTGGTGGTGGGAACCTGCAGTCCCAGCTACTTGGGAGGCTGAGACAGGGGGTTCACTTGAACCTGGGAGGTGGAGGTTGCAGTGAGCTGAGATTGCTCCACTGTACTATAGCCTGGGTGATAGAGCGAGGCTCTGTCTCAAAAAAAAAAAAAAAAAAAAAAAAAGGCTAAGAAGGAAGAATTTTTCCCAAGCGCTTGCAAATTCAGACATTAAGTAATGGTCACAAACATCCAAATTCCAAGTTCCCTGAGACATTTCACTCACTTTGAGTTTTGGGGCATGTATGCTATTCCTGCCCTCTGCAGAAGTGTAAAGTCAGAGATCTCGGCTTCCTTCCTTACCTCGGTATCTGGTGCAGCCCTCCCGGGCAGGTGCATCCTCTTACTGGGACCTGGTGCCTTGAAAGTCCAGGGTGATGGCATGTGTACCACAAGAGGACACTCAGGGGCCTGTGTGTGGTCGTCCTGGCAACTGGGGCCTCCAGCCCACACACCAGAGGGAAGTGTTGGCTAAGTCTGGACTCCGTCCCGTCCTTCTGGGTGATTTGAGTTGACAGCGGTCTGATCCTGCCAAGAGGGCAGCTGACGTCCATTTACGACATCCTTTGCTACCTGGCTGAGGCCTGCACGGTGTCGCTGGACCACGGCTCCACCAAGTAGTTTATTGACGTCGATGGGATTCGCCAGGCCTCCGTGGCACCAACACCTTCACCGGCCAGTTCCTCTATCTCTGTCCTCAAAGGCATAGATTTTAGGACTCATGTCTGCCCTCAGGCAGGTGGCCAGAGTCCTGGGGAAGTAACACAGTCCAAGAGCTGCCGAGACTTTCCCCATGCACGTAACAGCCCAGACAGGTGATCAGGACACCGGCATGGGCCTGCGGTGAAGAGGGGAGGAGAAGAGAGACAGGACAGGCACTTGGGAAGTGGAGCCCCACGAGTGAGCCCTGGAAGGACCCCTGTCTGCTCTGCCCCCTCTGCACCCCCAGCCCCAGGAATGGTTTCGGTTTGAGTGCACGTCTGAACCCAAGGGCCTCGTGCTGCTGCGGGGGCAATAGCAGAGAGGAGGCGGGGGTGCAGAGAGGAGGCCGGGGTGCCGTGAAGGCAGGTCATGTGCCCTAGCCAAGGGGCGGTGCTGGGGAGAGTCTGCAGGAGACTGCGGCGGGGATGGCAGGGGTTCTGCAGCTCAGGGGCGGATGCTGGTGTTGGTATGATTTCGGAATTCTCTGAAGGGGTGAGGGCTCGCCCAGGGCAGTATGGAGTAAAGAGGTGAAAAGTCAAAGACACAGCCCCGGGCCATGACTGTGGGTTTCAGGTCAGGCACAGGAGCCAGTGAACAAAGGCCTGAGAGAGTCAGGCTGGGTGGGGTGTCGGGGCAGCGGGAGGGGGTCTCCTTCTGTCCCAGAGACCACTCGCTTTAGGGTGCCCTCACAGAGCTAGGACTGGGAACATGGGGGACCCCAGACTCACGGGGTGAGGGTGACGCTCTGGAATCTGTACTTTGAACCAGCTTCCAGGGGGTCCCTGGAACGTCACAGGGGAGACACTTCTCTCCCCTCTGCTGCTGCCTTTTCCAGCATTTTCTCTCCTGCTGGGCCGTGAGCCAGGGACAGCCGTCCACACCCCCAGCGCCCGAAGTCACCTTCTCCTCACTTCCTCGGCTGGTTTTCTTCTCTGTTTAACCCACCCGTTGCTTTCTGTAAAGTTCTGCTTTTGGAAGAAGTGGGCTGGCGTTCACTTGGCCCGTTCACAGCATGTGAGCAAACTGAACTCTGTGTCCTATAATGAGGGCTCTGCGCAGTGGTAGGAAGAAATAACCACAGTTCCCCAACCCCTTGAAATTTCCTGGGAAAATGTGACCGTGTCTCTAGGAAGGCAGAGCGTCCCCTCCCACGTGGCATCAGGATGGGGCGTGAGCTGCTTCCTGGCCTTGCCCCCTGGCCTTTGCTGTGACAGGGATGTCCCAGCCTGAAGAGGCTCAGGTCTTCACGATAAAAGGCCCAGAAGCTAACCACGGAGTGGCTCCAACTCCACTCCAGGGAGGCAGCAGGAACCCAGAGGACGGTCAAGACTGACACCATTTGTACATTCCCCGTACACTCCTCTTTGCTATGTGTTGTCATTTCTGAATCGCCCCCAAATGGAGAGAGTCAAGTCAAGTAGAGTAGATGAAGAAGAGTGAAGCCTCCCTTCCGGGTGGTCTCTGACCGGTCGGTTGCCCCACTCCTCTCTGTCCCCACATCCAGTCACTGGGAGACCCTCCTTCCCTGGGGCTGGTGTGGCAGGCACTGTGTGTAGTGCTGGGCTCGGCAGTGGAAGGTCATGCAAGCTGGTACCCCAGGGGCCCAGGCTCCCATGGTCCTCACAGCTCCAGCTTCCAATTGGCAGTCTGGCTGATTCCCCCGTGTGAGTACTTGGGGCTCCTCTACAGGGGTACCCCATCATTAGATCTCATCCAGTGCTCTGAACGAGAGCAAATGCCCAGGCACCCTGCACTGCTCAGCCTCTGCAGCCTGGGCTGGTTCCTCGCAGCCTGGGCTGGGCCTACAGCCTCTTCCCTGCGCAGGGCCCTGGAGCCCCTGATGTTGGCCTCCTTATTGGGCTGCAGAACTCTCCCTCCTCCCACCTGAGTCTCAGCCACTCTACGGGCTCCAGCTGGTGGGAGCTGGCAGCAACTGGCACCCCTCCCTGGTGCTTTGATCTCTCAGAGCCAGGCCTTTTGTAGAACAGCCTCCAGCTTGAGCCCTGGGGCCCCAGGCCAGTGAAGTTTTGGCATCGAGCGGGGATCCTGGGGGTGTGTTATCTCTGTTACTTGCCTTGAGGGGATACTAGAGCCATCTTGGTTCTGTGGCTTTGGCCCTGCACACTTGGAAGGCTGTGCTAAGGGCGTTGTTTGGCCCTGGTTGGAGAGAGTTTGACCCTTGGGTCCTCCCAGCTGCTCTGCCACAGTGAGGAAGATGTGGGGGAGATGCCTGTCCTCAGGTTTTCCCCTTGGGAGGCCAGGCTCAGAGGGGAGGTTGCAGAAAGCCTCCTGACCGCCTGAGCCCTTGGGGACACAACTGGCTGCCAAAAACAGAGCAGTTAGCTCTGGAGCCCACAGATGGGACCTTCTCCTCCCTACCTGCTGAGCTCTGCCAGGGTGGCTGCTAGTGTGGATCAGTTTGGAAGGAGGAAGGAGAAGGAAGTGGGAAGAGGCAGTGTCGGGGCAGGGTGGGGGTCCTTTTTATTAGGAGAGCAAAAGCTGACAGTCCTCAGCTGACTTTCACTTTCATCTTATTGACTAACACTGTCATGATGCCAGCCTGGCTGCGGGGTAGGGCCTGGAGATGAGATGCCTGAAAGATGGTTAGGTTCTGTCAGCAAGGACAGGGGGCGGAGTGCAGGCCGGGCAGCTATCTGAAGAATGGAACGGTCAGGCTCTATTGGCAGGGATGGAGGTAGGGGTGCAGGCTGGGGAGCTGGCTGAAGGATAGTCAGGCTCTATCGGCAGGGATGGAGGTAGGGGTGCAGGCTGGGGAGCTGGCTGAAGGATAGTCAGGCTCTATCGGCAGGGATGGAGGTAGGGGTGCAGGCTGGGGAGCTGGCTGAAGGATAGTCAGGCTCTATCAGAGAGACGGAGGCAGGGTGCAGTCCGGGCAGCTGGCTGCATCTCCTGCATCTTGATGTCACTTAAAATGCTCGCATGTGCACTGACCCACAAGGTCCCCACAGAGGCCCTGTGCAGTGGCGCGTGGGGATCACAGCATGTTTGGAAGACGAGGAGGCTGGACTCAGGGAGCCTAAGCTCCTGCCCGAGGCCACCCAGGAGGGGCCGGTACTCGGATCCAGCTGCTCTGACTCTGTGCTCAGTGCTCTGCCACACTTCACTGCATTGGGGAGAAGCTGGAGGGGCTGGAAAACAAGGCCAGGGTCTCCAGCCCTGTTCCAAAGAGTCTACCTTCAGCCTCAGAGAGCAGAGCATCTACCTGGCCTGCCTGTGGCATCTGAAAACATGTCTGCCCGCAGAGAGTCTGTGGCATCTGAAAATATGTCTGCCTGCAGAGACCCTGTGGGACTTTCCACAGGGATCTATAACAGGGGCCATTGTGATGAGCAAGAAGTCCTTTGCCCTCCAGAGTCTTGAAGGCGCCAGCACTGCCTGCAGTGGGCAGGTCTGGGCTCCTTGCAGACCACCTGGGTTATCAGAAAGGTGAAGGCACCTCGTCAGGTGGATCTGCACACCTGACCTCCGAGGGGCTTCACGGGCTTGCTGTAGCCACATGCACACACACACAAACATATGCACACATGCATACACACATGCATACACATACCCACATACACATATACACACACCTACAGACACACACCCACACAAACATATATATACACATACAGACACACACATACATATATACATGTGCAACTAAGAACACACATACTCACATATACACACAGATACAGACACACATGCACACGTCATATACATATAACACATACACACACAGACACAGAGACATGCACACACAAGCAGTCTACATACATAGTAATGTACACACATACATAGACACATACAGATACATGTATACATACACACATATAGACATGTATAATGCATACACATATGCACATACAAATATGCACACATACACATCTGCACATACAGACATATTCATTCATATACACATAACACATACATAGTACTAATACACACAGATACACATGACAGACGCATAGACACAGGTAAACATACATGCACTCAGGCATGCACACAGACACACACACAACCCTCCCATGGGCCAGGCTCCTCCCAGCCCCGTGCCCTGACGGAGCCCTGCCCTCTCCTCCCCAGCACACTGTGGCCACCGGGTACATCTCCTGTTCTGGCGGCTTCCATGTTTCCTTGACAGCACTTACTGCGGCCTTGGCCTCATTGCTGATGGACTCATTCCTTTACTCCTGCCTCAGGCTACCTGGGGTCAAGGACCTGGGAGGTGGAGATGGGGTGCTAAGCGCCAACAGTCAAGGCTGTGTGGGCTCCAGGAGGGCCTGGGCCTGCAGTCAGGCTTTCTTTCGTGGTCTGTGCTCCACCACTTTCTGTGACCTCAGACAACCACGGTCCTTTCTTCATCCGATAAATGGGCATTCATTCATTCTTTCATTCAACAAACATCTACGGCATGGCCCCTGTGAGCTGAACTGCAGTGCTGAGTACAACATGGAGCCCTGTGGAACCCAGTGTTAAGGGGCACTGAGGGGAAGCTGAACGTAGCTCCCTCCGTCATGAGGAGAGCTCGGCAGAGCCAAGAGGCCAGGAGGTGTGGACGGCAGTGGGAAGCCTGTCGGGCTGCGGTGCCTCCTTGAGATCTGGGGGAGGGAGGCCGGGGTCCAGCAGGGTGTAGATTGCTCCAGACAGACAGCAGAGAGGGCAAAGGCCCCAGGCAGGAGACCTGAAGCCATAAGCAGGCCAGGTGGCTGGCCAGGAGGTCGGGAGGCCACAGGGTCATAGGTCCCGCAGGGACACATGGGCTGCAGTGAGGGTTTTGGCTTGTCCTCTGAGTGGAGCAGGGACGTAGGGGAGCTGCCATGATCTGTCTGATGTTTGGAAAGGGTCACTCTGGCTGATGGGGAGGAGTTGCAGGTACAGGAGGAAGAGGAAGCAGGGGGTTTAGGGGCTTGAGGGCCTGGTTGAGGAAGGATGGCTGGGACCCATGGGAGCCATCAGAGCCTGGAGAGGTTTTGAACAAGGACTCATCAGGACTCATTGACAGATTGGCTGGGTATGTGAGAGGAAGAGAGGACCCAGGAGCACTCTGTGGTTCTTGGCTGGAAGAGCATGGCTCCATTCACTCTGGAGGGAGACAGTGCAGGTAGCAGTGAGCACACGGGGCCATAGATGAGCACATGGAGCCATGGATGAGGACACGGGGCCATGGATGAGCACACGCAGCCATGGATGAGCACACGGGGTCATGGATAAGCACACAGGACCATGGATGAGCACACAGGGTCATGGCTGAGCACACACAGCCATGGATGGGCACAAATGGCCATGGATGAGCAATCGGGGCCATGGATGAGCACAAACAGCCATGGATGGGCACAAATGGCCATGGATGAGCAATCGGGTCCATGGATGGGCACACGGGGCCATGGATGAGCACACGGGGCCATGGATGAGCGCACAGCAGCCATGGATGAGCACACAGGGCCATGGATAGGCACACATGGCTATGGATGAGCACATGGGGCCATGGATGAGCACAAACAGCCATGGATGGGCACAAATGGCCATGGATGAGCAATCAGGGCCATGGATGGGCACACAGGGCCATGGATGAGCACACGGGGGCATGGATGGGCACACATGGCCATGGATGAGAACACACGGCCATGGATGAGCAATCGGGGCCATGGATAAGCAGTCGGGGCCATGGATGAACACACACGGCCATGGATAGGCACACACAGCCATGGATGAGCAATCGGGGCCATGGATGAGCACTTGGGGCCATGGATGAGTAATCGGGGCCAGGAATGAGCACACAGGGTCATGGATGGATACACAGGGCCATGGATGGGCACACAGGGCCATGGATGAGCACACATGGCCATGGATGTGTAATCGGGGCATGGATGGGCACACAGGGCCATGGATGGGCACACAGGGCCATGGATGAGCACACACGGCCATGGATGTGTAATCGGGGCATGGATGGGCACACAGGGCCATGGATGGGCACACAGGGCCATGGATGAGCACACAAGGCCATCGATGTGTAATCGGGGCATGGATGGGCATACAGGGCCATGGATGGGCACACAGGGCCATGGATGAGCACACACGGCCATGGATGTGTAATCGGGGCATGGATGGGCACACAGGGCCATGGATGGGCACACAGGGCCATGGATGAGCACACAAGGCCATCGATGTGTAATCGGGGCATGGATGGGCATACAGGGCCATGGATGGGCACACAGGGCCATGGATGAGCACACATGGCCGTGGATGTATAATCGGGGCATGGATGGGCACACAGGGGCATGGATGGGCACACAGGGCCATGGATGAGCACACATGGTCATGGATGTGTAATCGGGGCATGGATGGGCACACGCAGCCATGGATGAGAACACACGGCCATGGATGGGCACATAGGTCCATAGATGAGCACACAGGGCCATGGATGGACACACAGGGCCATCAATGAGCACATGGGGCCATGGATGAGTACACGGGGCCATGGATGAGTACACGGGGCCATGGATGAGAACACATGGCCATGGATGGGCACATAGGGCCATGGATGAGCACACAGAGCCATGGATGGGCACACAGGGCCATCGATGAGCACACAGGGCCATGGGTGGACACACAGGGCCATCGATGAGCACATGGGGCCATGGATGGGCACACGGGGCCATGGATGAGTACACGGGGCCATGGATGAGAACACATGGCCATGGATGGGCACTTGGGGCCATGGATGAGCACACACAGCCACATATGAGCACACACAGCCATGGATGAGCACATGGTGTCATGGATGAGCACACACAGCCATGGATGAGCACACAGGGCCATGAATAGGCATATGGGACCATGGATGGGTACACAGGACCATGGATGAGCACACAGCAGCCATGGATGAGCACACTGGGCCACGGATGGGCACATGGGGCCATGGATGAGCACACTGGGCCATAGATGAGCACACTGGGCCATGGATGGGCACATGGGCCCATGGATAACACAGTGGCTTGGCCTCAGGAGGACCGGGCCTGGGGAGAGGACTGCCTGGGGAGAGAGCTCAGGGAGCTATCAGCGTGCGGATGGTGTTTAACATCATGATGCTGATTAGCTCACCCAGGGAAAATAACACCCTGTCCTGAGCTTGTCGTAAGAGCTGGGCTGGCTGATCCTGGCTGCTTGGCACATAATAAGCACCCGGGAATGTTAGCACAAACAAACAAACACAGCCATCTGGCAGATTCCTGGAGGGATCATAACTCACTAAGTGGGTAAAGCCCTGGCGGCTGGTTAGGAAAGTACTCCCAGATCAGAGGCTGGGGCTTGGTGGGCCTGAGATGTGAGCCCAACACTGAATACAGACTTACACCAACCAGATTCAAACACCAGCCCTGCTCCTGGGGCCCCTCTGCTCGGAGAGGCCTCGTAGGTGGTCAGGCCTCTGTTTGAGGAGCTCAGAGGAGCCCCGGGAGGTGGCGTTCATTTGCTACACCATGGCCAGCAGCTGGGCTCTGACAGCAGGCACGGTGGGCAGCAGTGGGGACATCATTTGGCCCCACAGCACACGGTGAGCCCCGCCTGCAGGTGAGGCTGGGTGCAGAGGAGCCCTCAGATGCAGGAGCCTTGGGCCTGAGCAAGGACGGAGGGGATCGGCCATGGAAGCTCCCAGAGTGGGAGCGTGAGAACAAAGTTCGGAGGGTGGTCAGCCAGTCTGAGGCTCCCTGATGTGGCGGGGTGGGGGTACACCAAGAGGGGGAACTGCAAAGGGCAAGGGGAGGGTGATGAGAGGTGGGTGTGTCTGGGCGCTCACACCTGGCAGGTGCCGTCTGGCCCCAGGAAGGAGTGTGCTGGTGATCTTATGGGCTCTGGGCATTCCTGTAGGTTTTGCTGGTGGTGGAGGCTGGGGGGACAATCCCATCTGTGTGCATTTTGGAGAGGTCTCTGATGCACAGCAGGAGGGCGGGAACAGACAAATGAAACCAGCCAGGAGGCCATCGCAGAGGCCCCAGGAGATGAGAGGGCTGCTTGTTCCCAGCTGGTGGCAGTAGCTGGATTTGAGGGAGCTCAGTAGGAGAGGTGGCAACGGCTGAGGCTGGGCTGGGTGTCGGGGCAAAGCATAGGCATGGCCTGTTTCAGGTCAACCTTCTTGCAGTGCACGGAGCACAGGACTCCAGATACTTGGCAGTTTTTCTTGCTTCCACCTCTGAGCATTGGCAGCAACAGGTGCAGAGTGGAGGTAAGGAGGCGACTCCACGGTTGTTACGGGCAGGGGCTGTCCCTGGCCTTCATCCCCACATCAGGGCACAGTGGCCTGGAGTGGATGGTCAGGTCACCTGCATTTGCTTCTTGGTTAGCACGCCGGCCTCCTACCCGCATGTACCCTCACCGCACTCCCGCTTGGACCTCCTGAGTCTCAGCCTGAACTCAGGACTATTTCTCAGTCCGCATATTGGGCATCTGATGAAGTCAAGGTGTCAGATCGGACGGATGCCGACTTTGTGTGTGCTTGTGCAGGGTGGACATGGAGACCCTGGGAGGGGGGCTCAGGGGCTACTGCATTGGAACGACATCGTGCAGTCTCAGTGAACATCTACCTAGTCTTCTGACTGTTGTTTGACACGATTGCACCCATGTCCCTGGCAGTCAGTCCCATCAGGCATTGGAAGATGCCTTTCCTGGGCTTCCTGCTCCACAGCTGAAGTGGGAGGGCTGAACGGGCCCAGGACTCATGCAGGAAAATAGCCCTCAGCAGCCGAGCAGCCAGCGTGAATGATGCATTGCTCTGCCTGATGCCTCCTGTGTGATGTGGGGGGCTCAGAGATGACCAGGACCCAATCCTTGTACCCACGGGGCCCCAGTCTGCCAGGTGAGGCAGGCCAGACCCAAGTGAGGAGTTCAGTGATGGAGGCTGTAACAGGCAGAATAAAAAGACGTCCACGTCCTCATCCGCAGAACCTGTGACTACGGGGCCTGAAGTGGAGAAAGGGACCTGGCAGACATGATTAGATTAAGGATCATCAGATGGGATATCCTGGGTTACAATGTCATCACAAGGGTCTTTATGAGGCGAGGAGGAGGTCAGAAGCCAGTGAAGAAGGGGAAGGTGCTGTGCTGCCAGCTGTGGGTGATGCAGGGCAGGCGAGCCCCCGAGTGAGGCTGAGCCCCTGAGTGTTCTTTGCTTTGCCCAGGAAAGAACTTAAAGGCAAACCAGAAGTAGAAGAAAACAGCTTTATTGAAGCAGCGGTGTTGCAGCTTTGTGACTGTCCCTGCAGAGCAGGGCTACCCTGGAGGCTGAGAGCAGCAGCTCAGGGCAGGCCTGCAGCCATGTTTACACCCACTTTTAATTGCATGCAGATTAAGGGGTGATTTATGCAGAAATTGCTAGAGAAGGGGGAGTAATCATTGGGTCATTGCCACAGAAAGGGGTGGTAACTCCTGGTTGTCGCCATGGCAACAGTAAATTAAGGAGCACACTGGTTGGCGTGTCTGATTGAAAACTGCTTTTCCCCAGGCCCTGTTTTAGCTAGTCTTCAGTCTGATTCGGTGTCTGAGTCCCATCTTTGGAGTCAGTCCTGCCTCCTACCTCATGAGGAAGGAGGAAGGGACCAGGAACCATGGAACGGGGGCAGGCAGCCTCTTAGAAACTGGAGACCAGGAAACCGGTTTTCCCTTGAAGCCTCCAGAAGGAGCCAGCCCTGCCGACAATACCTTGACTTTAGGCTAGTGAGGCTGAGTTTGGTGGTCTGAGCTCCAGAACTGTAAGATAATGAATTTGGGCTGTTTTAAGCCACTGGATTTGCGGTCCAAACAGAACATGTCGTCACTGTAGCTCCAGGAAACTCACACAGAGGCAAAGCGCAGTTAGGGAGGAATCACGGGGTGCCACAGGTATCTTTCAGGGCCAGGGCCAGCCACTGACCGGCCTGGGGTCCCGGGGTGAGCTGGTGAAGCGTCTGGATCCAGCATTCCGGGTCCTCACTGTATCCTGGGTAGGTCCTCATAGTGCCCTTAGGACCGATGGGTGCACATATTTCTACATGAAAATGGACTTTTCCTGACATGACTTTGACCGTATCTTCTGAAAACAGGAGCTGAGGACAAAAGCGGTCTCTGAGGCTTATAGAGAGTCACAGCCAACCTCTCAGTGCCCCTTTCCCAAAGAAGCAAGGCCAGGCCTGTGACCTCTCCCCAGAAAGGGTCCTCCACACTGGGTTATGAGCACCCATGACTATTAAACTGCCATTGATCTCATCTGCCCGGGGTCGAGTGCTGGTGTTTGGCTATCCCTATGGTGCCAGCGAGGGAATCACCACCCACCAGGAGGGTGCAGAGGTGGAGGCTGGAACAGGTTTACTGACGGTGACCTTGGCTGAGTGGCTCCAGGGGGCTGAGCCTGATGCAAGTCCTCTGTCAAAGCAGCATGGCAAGTGGCTGGCACAGCTTGGGCGTTTGTCCTGCCTGAATCTCTTGTTGAGATGTGATCCCCAAGGTTGGAGGTGGGGCCTGGTGGGAGGTATTGGATCATGGGGCGATTCCTCATGAATGGTTTAGTGCCATCCCCTTGGTGATGAGTGGGTTCTCAGTTCAATGGAGATTGGCTGTTTTCAAGTGTGTGTGCCTCCCCCTCACTCTCTTGCTGAGTGACATGCCTGCTCCCCCTTCACCTTCTCCCACAGTTGAAAGCTTCCTGAGGCCTCTCCAGAAGCTGAGCAGATGCTGGCACCATGCTTGCTTCTCGTACAGCCTCCAGAACCATGAACCAAATAAACCACTTTTCTCGAGAAATCACCCAGCCTCAGGTATTCCTTTATAGTGATGCAAAAATGACCTAATACAGTGGGCATATCAGCCAGGGTTCCCGAGAGAAACGGGGCCAGGAGAAGGAGCTGATGTAGACATAGCTGCGATGTGGCTGTGGATTTAGATGAAAGAATCTACAATGATAAGAAGTTGGCAGACACGATTATGGAGGCTGAAATGTCCCAACATCAGCAGTTGGCAAGCCTGACATCCAGGGAAGCTCGGAGTGTAGCTCCAGGCTGAGTCAGTGGAGAGCCAGTGGTGTAGGTGCCAGTCCGAGGAGGGAAAAGACCCGGGGGCCAGGGCAAGCACCCAGGCAGGAGCCGTCCTGCTTACTCAGCCTTTTCGCTCGATTCGGGTCTTCAGCTGATTGGATGAGGCCCACCCACATGGGGAGGCCCATCTGCTCGACTCAGTCCACTGATGCAACGTTCAGTCTCTTCCAGAAACCCTCACACACGCCCCCAGAATGATGCCTGTGTCTGGACACCCCATGGCCCAGTCAGGTTGATGCAGAAACTTAACTGTCACGATGAGTATCGTGCCCGTTTCACAGATGAACTTTCTTACCCTCTCTGCCGCCAGTTACCCTCAAGTTCATGTGACTCATAAGCAACAGAACTGAGAGTGAAACTCAGGGGTCCTTGTCACTGGACTCACCTTCCCTCCCACAGCAAGAGGCCGACCACATGGTTGAAACCGTGGCCAAGCTTCCTGGGTGTAGGGGGTGTGGGGCCGTCCGTCCTCAGCCACGTGGAGGTCTGTGGTGTGAGCTAAGAGCAGCGGTGTGGAGAACGGGCTGCCTCCCTCCTTCCCAGTGTTCTCACCTGATCGAATGACTTTGTTTCCACATAATAGTTTGTCTTGGTTTTGAAATAACTGCTTAGCTACAACTCCACTACAACCTATATTTTTCCCAAAATCTCAAAGATGCAGGACAACACTGAAATACCTGGTGGGTGAGATAAGACTTAGGAATGCCCCACGGCAGCTGCTTCATCAGTAAGAGGCCTCAGGCCCAGAAGAACAAGCCCCGGGAGGAAGCCCTGCCCCAGCCGTTCCCGTGGATTCTGGGTGATGCAGGAGGGCAGGACAGTGGGCAGGGGAAGAGACGAATGGAGGATGGATGAGGCTGCAGAGATTCTTCCACCAGCCAGGCCTGCAATAGGCCTCCTCTCCCTATTGTGTCTCCCAGTGGAAGCTGCTAAGACTCCACAAGCCTTCCTGTTCTCTTCTCACTATCCTGGGACCCTCTAGAGCCCAGGGGTGATGGAGATGACCCTGGGAGAGTCTCCATCGTGGTGTCAACTTGCCTTGGAGCCACTCTGGCCGAGATACTGCTGACACTTTATAAACAGTTTCTGAACTAAAGCACGGTTCAATCTATGACAGATCTTTCCAGTAGGACTTTGACCAAAAGATTCAGGGGTGCTTGCTCAGGCCGGTCTATCCTGATTTTTCTTCCATTTTTTTCATCTGTGTAGAGAAAAGACTCAGCCGTGCGACAGCTTGGCCGTGGACACCACTGGCCTCCTCATGTGCCGGGCAGAGTCCTCCTCACTCCTGGGTGGACCTTGCTTTTATGCCTCCAGGACGTTGCATGTGCTGTTCTCTTCCTTTCAAATGCCCTCCTCCCCTTTGCGACTCATCCTTCCAGGCCAGCTCGGTGACATCTCACCACGGCGGGAATCTGGAGCTACCTCTCCCAGGGTGAGCCTTGCCACTCCACACACGCCGGGCGCCATCCTCAACTGCTGGCTCACATGTTTCACAGATGTATTTTGCATTTCTCATAGGAGACAGGGATGTGTCTTGTGAGTTCTGGAAGCCCAGTGCCGCAGCCCACATGTTCATTCATTAATTCATTAATTCATTAATTCATTAATTCATGTATTCATCCGACGGATAAATGAATGAGATCCTAGAAGATCTTTCCCCACTGTCCAACAGTGAATCTCCCTCCCTTCTTGTTCTTGCTGGGCCCCCATAAGCTTGGAGGACTACAGGCCACCAATATTTATCCTTTTCAGTGTGCTCGAGCCCTGCCATCTGGAAACTTTTCTTTCTCAAGAAGCGCCATGTTTCCGTGTTAAAGACATGTAAACTCAGCAGCCCGGAAGGCCCTGTGGGGCTCTCTCAGGGATGCTAAGGAACACCTCCTTGGTAAGGTGCCCACTCACCTCCCATGCTGTCCTGCTGGACTCCACAGCCTGGTGAGAAATGCTCCACGTGAAGCCACATGACCTTTTCTCAGGCTGGAAAATGAGTTGGCGAGAAGCGTACCTCTCCAGAGACGTGCACGTTTCTCTTCCCTGGGGGCTGCTGTTTCAGAAATTGCCTGTGGTGTTACTGCTTTGTTGACGATTAAAGCACAGGCTCTGCTGAATTGCAGGGACTGTTAGTGGCTGCAGGCACCTGCTGGAGGATTGTGGGTGATAATGAGGTGTGCGGCTCCTCACTCTGGCTGGAGAGGCTGCTCGGGGAAGAGGGTCTGAGCGTTCTGCCTGGAGTCCCGGCTCCCTGGCCTGCTGAGCGAGGAATGGGGTGGACCTTCCAGTTGAGAGTGAAATCCATCTTGGAGTATTACTTCCTACTTCGATAATAATGGTCCGTGGCCGGGAAGACTGGGTCCCTCAGACCCCATCCTGCTCCCAGAGTGGGAAGGGGGCTGAGGGCACAGTGAGGCATCTTGCCTGTGGGCTCAGGGTGCTGGCCAAGACTTGCCACAGAGAAAGAAAGGGAGAAAGGGAAATTCCGAGTTTTCCGTGGGATGGCAGTTCTCTCTCTCTTTTTCATGTGATTGACGGGAGGCTCCAGAGGGAGGTTGGGAAAAGGCACCCCACACTGGGGGATGAGAATCTAGGAAAGAGCAGCAGCTGAGAAAGGACAGCAAAGGGCTGGGAGAGGCCACAGAGACCACGTCAGCCCCTGTCCTGGGGCCCAGCTGCACTCAGGCCACATCCCCCAGGGCCACCTCAGGCAGCGGTGGCCTCCTTCCCCTCCCGCCCGCTCACCTTCAGAGGGGGACATGGATGGAGGCCTCTTCCTCCCTGGGCCTCCCACTGCTCATCCAGGGCACCCCACTTTGCTGCTGGAGCACAGGGACCTGGGATCTGGGCTGGGTCCATGTGGCCTGCAGCTTCCAAGCCTTTCTCTGAACCTCACACTGGACTTCAAAGATGCATGTGGATTTTGTATTCGCCATAATCTACTTGTTTTATATAAAACTTACATTTTTCAGATTTCAGTTCTTAGGCTACCAGGCTGTAGGTGTCCCAGCCCCACGCAGCTCTGGAGCGCTGGGCAAGGCTTGGCACAGGGAAGCCTCTCTGCCCTACCAGCCTCAGTTTCCTCACCTGCAGAGCCCTCCCACCCTCTCAAGCTCCCGCCAGCACAGCTGCAAACTGTGTGGCTCACAGGCCCCAGTGCCCCAGAGTCTGCAAAGCCCTGCATGAATCCAGTCTCCACCAGGTGAGTGGGGGCACTGTCGGGGCTCAGAGGTCCTTGATCTCGGCTTCTGGCTGGTTCCCTGGACCTGAGCCTTTCAAGGCCAGGCTGCCTGTCCCCACCTGCTCTGCCTAGACTCCCCCGGGTCACCTCATTGTTCCCCAAACAAGAAAGTCCCACTGCAGGGCAGGCCTCTCCCCTGCAGGTGCCCTTTTGTGAGGCAAAGGACCAGCTCCTGCCTGCTTCCCCACCCCGGCCTCTGTCCTTTGTCAGTTTGGATTTTCACAGCGTCTGACTTGCTGCGCGCCCTTCAGGGAGCCCTGCTAGGAGGACTGGGTCCTTTGACTGTTTGGATCTCCTGACCTGAGCCTGTTTCCTCCACAATAGGAAACCACCGTGGGGAACCGCAGCAACAAAGCCTTTTGTGGGTCCAGTTATCCCGTCAGGAGCAGACAGGGGTGCTGCCGGGAGACTTCGGCCCCGTGGCTGCTTTGGCTCCTCTGGTACCAAGCTTAGAAGTAGCTCGGTGGCTCTCTGATCTGCAACATCGCAGACACTGAGATAGTTGAGACGCTTCTTGGAGGATGCTGCCCAGAGGTTAGCTTCTACCCACACACTGGGGTTTCTCCAGTTGTCCACTAAATCTTTAAAACCAGCTGCAGCCAGCCAGCCACCCTCAGATGGCTGGTCCCAGGACGCCCAGGACTCCAGACCCTTCCCATTTACCCTCTGGCCTTCCTGGCCTCCTCCCGGCTCCCTGTTCCTCTGGTCCCTCCTGGGCCCCCTGGCTCTCCCTGGGGTCTTTGAACTTGGGGGAGGGACACTGGATGTCCTAAAGCCATGACACATGATGACGCTGTGTCTCAGGGTCTTTGGGGGCAGAGACTAGAGCTCAGGACAAGCTTCGTCACACAGGTCCCCTCCTTCCCTGGCCCTGTCAGTGTCTCTGAATCCCAAGCACCGCGACTCTTCCGAGTTGCTTCCTGAGAGGCCGTGTGCTGTTCTGCCATTGGCTTTCAGTTGTCAGTCATCTTTCAGCTGATGTTATAAAGGTGTTCACACCCTTGAACAGGAGCCTTTTGTGGTGTGTGGCTGGGGAGGGTGTGGTCCCTCAATGAGGCGTTTTGCATAACGGAGCTTCCTTAGACAACTCCACAGCAGAGCTGGTTCCCAGACTCAGCCCTTCCTCACTGCTCCTTCATTCTGAGGTGTTCAGGCAACACCCGCCGTGTCCCAGCCCTACCCAGGCCCCGGCATGCAGCAGCAAACCACCCACAAAATCACATTCCAGTCTGCGTGGAAGCGACGCTGGGCAGTAAGCAAAGAGCAGAGAGGCCCAGTGCAGGCTGCAGAGCATCCCGAAGGAAAGGGCAGCAGCCTGTGTTCCAGCACCCTCCCTGGGACGAGGCCTTCCTGTTAGACGCAGCGGTGAGGGGCTCCCTCAGCCTGTGGTCCAGCACCCTCCCTGGGACAAGGTCTTCCTGTTAGACACAGTGGCGAGGGGCTCCCTCAGCCTGTGGTCCAGCACCCTCCCTGGGACGAGGCCTTCCTGTTAGATGCAGCAGTGAGGGGCTCCCTCAGCCTCTGTTCCAGCACCCTCCCTGGGACAAGGTCTTCCTGTTAGATGCAGCAGTGAGGGGCTCCCTCCAGAGGGGACCTGTGAGCCCAGAGCAGAATGAAGCCGCAGCGTGAGCCCACGGAGGCCTGGGGGCAGGGGCAGAGGCCCCGTGGCAGGCGCATGCTTGGCTGTGGAGTCTGAGGACAGGCGTTGTGGCTGCCGAGGAGGGAAAGTAGGGAGGAGTCAGGGCCACACTGCAGGGCCTGGGAGATCTGAGAGGCGGCTGGGGATGGTATTCCAAGCAAGAAGGCGACAGCCACCGAGGGCTCTGAGTGGAGCATGGCTTGACCCGACCCATACCCCACGAGAGCTTTACGGCCACCATTCGGGGAATGGGCGGCTCCAGCCACCAGCACAGGGGCCTTTCCCCGGAGCTCCCACACCTCACCGTGCACCTGGGGCAGGGAGCCTGCTTTCATAACATACAGTCAATCACTAGAGAAATCAAATAAAAAAGCAGATCAGCCCCAATTGTTTTTATTATTAGATTCGACAGGTATAAAACCACATCTTCATGAATATTAAACCAAGACAATACAGAGAAAAAGAAATAAATTATGTTGTTTCTATAATAAATTATTGAAAGTGTGCAGGTCTGTGATAAATATAGAGTCACTCTTGTCACTCTCTGTCACTGAACAGGAAGTTAAAAGCGAATTCAGCATTTCTCCTTGTTAAAAGGTGTGGCCAGCAGCCTCTGAGATCGTGTAAGGGTCCCCACCTCCTGGCATTCACGTTCTTGGGCAATCCCTCTCTCCAAGTGTTGCCTGGACTACTTGCTTGTAAGGACTAGAATATGACAAATGCGATGGAATGCCACTTCTGTAACTAGGTTATGGGAGGATTCTGGCTCTGGTCTTGCTGCTACCTCTGATGGGAACCATCTACCATGCTGTGAGCTGCCCTCCGGACAGGCCCATGTGGCAAAGATCTGAGTGAAGCCTCCAGCTGTGGAGTCCATCCTCAGGCTCCACAGCCAAGCATGTGCCTGCCACGGGGCCTTTGCACCTGCCCCACAGGCCTCCATGCGCTCACTCTGCTGCTTCATTCTGCTCTAGGCTCCAGGTCGCCTCTGGAAGGAGCCCCTCACTGCTGCCTTCTAACCAGAAGACACTGTTCCAGGGAGGGGTCCTCAGAGCACAGACCACTTCCCTCTCCTTCAGGACATTCTGCAGCCTGGGGGAAGCCCAGGGAGAAACCGGGGTCCTTGGTCCAACAGCCCAAGGAACTGAATCCTCTGACCACCACATGAGTGAGCTTGGAGCAGCTCCTCCTTCACTTGAGCCTTCAGATGAGACACAACCATGGCCAGCGCTTGCCTGTAGCCTTGGGAGAGGCCCCAAACTTAGCTGCATCCAGATTCCTGACCTGGGAAACTGCACAAGAAGAAATGTTTGTTGTTTTAAGCTACTAATTTCTGGGGGGTAATTTGTTACACAGCCACAGATAACTAATACAAACATCTATGAACAAACCTATGTATGCCAACATTAATGGCTTTGAATACAGCAAATGAGCTCAGGTTTTAAGAATTGTATATTTACTTAGTCTATGCTGGTGATGATATACTGCTCATAGGGAATGATGTATATTAAACTGTTTAAGTGTCTTGTTTTAATAACATAAACAGAAATGAGCCTCAAAAATGCATGTTGATGGAAATAACAGAAGAGATTTTAAAGCACTTTCAGCATATATGGAATATTCATCTTAAACTTTTATCCAAAATAAAGAAAATAATGTATTTTCAAAATCCATACTGAATCCTTCATCATTAGCTAGTTTCACAATTTATTCTGTAGATTTTTAGTTACATTTGAAACATCTTTCCATGAAGGAAATGGACTCTGGGTCCATGAATTTCTTATGCATCGACCTCTTCTGGTAGAAAGCAAAATTCAGAAAGTTCTATCAAACTTCTCAGTCATTGGATGATAACTTTTTTTCGTGGATGTGAAATATCATGATCACGTCGTACTTCATTGACGGTTGTTGTTAAGTAGTAGAAATTATGTCACAATAATTGAAGAAACTTTATTCTTCCAAGCTTTTAACTTTTGCATTTGCCTTCAACTCTTAGTTGCCAAATGTGTTGTATTTCTTCTTTGCTGGAAAAAATATTTAAAATCCCAAAGGTGTCATACAAATAAGCAAGTTTGGCTGTACAAATATTTAAATCATTGGCACTTAATTGGTTTCTTATCTTTCAGAAGTATTAAGAGATCAATCTATATGTCAGACAATCTAGACAAAGATCTTCTCATTACCATTGCACTTCAGCTTGTAATAACAGTTGTTCTTAATCAACCTTCTATCGTTACAAAGAGATAAAGTTCAACATTAACACACAGCCTTAAAATAATACATATTGTAATATAAGTATACCATGCCCAACTACTGCAAAACACATAATTTTTACTTTGCTCCTAAGCATAATCTAGTTCAGTGGGGTTTTTTTTTTTTTCCTAAAGCAAGACTTTCTTGATGAAGGAAGCAGTGTGCTGATTTAGATCCCAGCGTTAGCTCCTTAAATTAAGCTCCTACTCCAAGCCATATTTGTTGACAATTCAATCCTTCATAGTTTTATACAGTTTAAAGCTAGTTGTATTTGTTGGCAATGAAGCTGAAAAAAATTTCTTCCTTCATATCAAGTTCAAATCACATACAGGCTCAAAGAATTGCCATGCTAGCAATATTTGTGTTATCGTCGAATTTTAATGAGAAATATTTTGCTAGCTTTACTTGCTCTGTGGATTGGTCTTCTATACCACCAGCCAGTTCATGCATATATTGATCTTTGGCATCGTTGGGAAGTGGTACTTGAGCCGCCTTCCTTGTCATGGATTCTGTCCACGTTTTCCTGAAAACATCTCTGATGCCATCTTTCCTTAGTGCGTCGGTGATTTTATTTGGTTTTCGCGACTCAAAATGCTGCTTTGTAAGAAACTCAGAAAGCACTAAGGTCTATGTGTAAAATATTGAACATCTCTCAGCTTCTTATTCTTTCAAAGAACACGCTTTGTTTTTGCATTTTTCCATGCTTTGTATATAACCACCACTTAAGCTTTGATAGTTTCACTGGTTCTTTAGCTACTCCTACATTTCCACAAATAACAGAACGTGGTTTTAGCACTTCCCCGTCAATGATGGCTGCAACACTGAGCTCAATGCATGAAGGATCATAGCTCTGAGCAACCTGCCCCACTCGTGGCTTTCTTCTTTTGGCATCACTTTCATCACTGACATTTGGTTGGCCATTTCCGCTGCATTTCAAAAAGGAGTCTCCTTCCTTGACAAATGTCCAGTGAAACTGATTGCACAATCACGTAGTAGAGCTAAAAATAATGATACAAATTTTACTTCCCTAATTTAGCTAAGAATGTTAAAGTACACATTTAAAAAATAGTCTTAATTAAGACTTAAAACAATTATAAAAGCAACAAATGGTAACAATAAATACATATTTGCATTTTTTCAGATATTTACATATTTCTTAGGTACAGTTGACAAACTAACCTGAAGATATCACACATCCTTGAATAGACATTTCTCCAAAGAAGATACACAAATGGTCAATCAGCACATGAAAAGATGCGCAACGTCATTAATCATCAGAGAAATGTAAATCCAACATGCGGTGAGATACCACCTCATACCCATTAGGTCGGCTACTATCAAAAACCAGAAAGTAACCAGTGTTGGTGAGGATGTGGAGAAACTGGAACCCTTGGACAGTGAGAGTGGGAATGTAAAATGGTGCAGCTGCTGCGGACACCAATATGACAGGTCCTCAAGAAATCAAAAATAGAATTATCATGTGATCCAGAAAATTCACTTCTAGGTATATACACCAAAGAATTAAAAGCAGGAACTCGAAGAAATATGTGTACACCCATGTTCCTAGCAACATTATTTACAAGACTTAAAAAACAGAAGCAACCCATGTTCATCAACCCATGAATGGATACAAAAAAATGGGGTATTTACACACTAGGGAATATTATTCAGCCATAAACAGGAAGAACCTTGAGGACATCACGCTAAGTGAAATAAGCCAGAGGCAGAAAGACAAATACTGTATGATTCCACTGACATGAGGTACTTAGAGTAGTTAAATTCACAGAGACCGAAAGGAGAATGGTAGCTACCAGGGACTGGGGGGAGGGGAATGCAGAGTTAGCGTTTAATGGAATCAGAGGTGTAGTTTTGCAAGATTAGAAGTTCTGGAGATGGATGGCAGTGATGATTGCACAACAATTTCAATGTACTTAGTGAAACTGAACTGTGCACTTAAATTAGTTAAGATAGTACATTTTATGTTGTGTATTTTACAATAAAAACATTTTTTAAAAAGTCACATGTTGTAACGTGGTCATACTTCATGTGACAATGGCAAGCCTCCTGCGTGTGCCAGTCCACGGGCACTGTTGGGTGAGGGTCCTCTGAGCCTGGACTTGCATGCAACACAGGGACCACAGTGCTGTGCATTTCTGGGGCTTCCTCTCACTTTGTGTGCTTTTCTCATCCTTAGGACACACCTTGCAAGTCCTTGGTCTTGGGGTGTGGTTGGATGGCATTGAGGTTCCTGTGAGGGTCACACTCATCATGTCCATTTGAGTCCTCCAAAGAGCAGATACCAAGAAAAGAAGCAAAAGATGGACTGAGGGCCATACCTGTGAAGGACGAGCGAGGGGACTGGAGGCAGCATTGCAGCAACTGTGACAACAAGGGCAGCTGCTCAGGTGCAGAGGGACAAAAGGAGAGAGCCCCAGAGTGGGACTGGGGCCCAGGACGAGAGGCACGGGGCAGCGAGGGGTAGGCAGCTGAGTGCAAATGTGTGGTCAGGACATGGACATGAGGGCTGAGCCACGAGATGGGCCTTGGGGAGGAAGGACAGAGAGACAGAGGAGTGAGGACAGGGAGAAGGTTGCTGGTTCTCAGCCTGCTGGCTGCAGAGAGGCCTGGACGGGCCCGTCAGACCACCGTGTCGGGTGAGCTGGCTCAGGAGGAGGGTGAGGAAACTGCAGGGCTGGAGATTAATCAAGGAGGCTGTGGCTGTCCGTCAGAACAGCTTCTAGGGTCACGCTGCGGTGATCAACCCTGCGTCGGAGGAGCCTAGGAGGTCGAAGGAGAGACGTCCGACAGAGGCCGAGGCTGGCGTGAGGGAGTGCTGGTGTGCGTTCAAGTCTGCGCGTGTGTCCCTGCGTCCCTTCCTCCTCCCTCTCTCTGTCTCTCCTCCCTCCTCCCTCCCTTCCTTCCCCCCCTTTACACTCCCTTTCTCCATTCTTCCTCTGGTCTCTTCTCTTTCTTTCTCTTCCTTCCTCCCAGCCCCATGCTTTCTTTCCCCAACTTCAGCAGAGGGAGTTTTTCACATGATTGCTCCTGGCAATGAGCGACTATCTGTAACTATTCAGCTACTAAATAAAAACAACACAAGCTAATCTGTAAAGATTAACACCGGAGGGTAACAGGGAAAGCGTGGTTATTGATGAAAAAAACGTTTTTTTCAAGAAGTCACTTCCCTAATCTCTTCAAAGCTGACCTTAGAATTCTGATCAGTAAGATTTACACTTCCCATTTATTTTGAACACAATAAAATACATGCTACATAAACTGCCAGGCATTTGAGTATTTATTTCCTTATTAATATTTAATAAAAAATTTAAAACTGTTGAGAGGTGTAGACATGCCGATGCTGTCTTTGAGAGCGCTGAGAAATCAGGGAAGAAGTGTTAATTATACATGAGGGGAGATGCTAAATTGACAATGAAACTACGATGAAGCTTCACTGCCCTGAAGACAAAAATCAATGAGATAGAAAAGAACACTTGGACACAGAAAAGCTATAAAGGTCCCCAGGACCAGACCAGGCGGGGCTTCGGCTGCAGAGCCCACCAGCCACATGCGAGCTGGGGGAGCAGGGCCGGGAACCCACACAAGTGAAACAGTGTCGCGCCCGGTCACTGCCTGAGGGGCCCTCTCCACGGAGAAGGACGCACGCAGCGCCACGTGCGGCAGACAATGAGTCTGCTGGCCACGGTGCCCTGAGTGGGTGCCCCCCATCCTGTCTGGGTATTGTCAGGGCTGCTGCCACACGTGCTTTCTGCCACCTAAAGCCGGTCACTACCATTTTATTATTAGATTGGGGCAAAAGTAATGGTAGATTTTGCTGTTGAACATAATGGCAAAAATCACACTTACTTTTGCACCAACCTAGTCATGACTTTTGGGGCATTGCTGAGTCAGAAACTCTGGGTTGGTTGGTGATGATCACGGCCATTGTCCAGGGCTTATGGTGATCATGAGTCAAATGGGGGAGTGAGTGAGAGGAACAGGACATTGATCTCTGAGACAGCCTGGTTCCCCAGGGCAGGGCCCGTCTGTGCCGCCCCGGCCCCAGCCTTGTTCTCGGTGTCTAATGCATGCCAGCGTGAAGTGGGAGTCTCGCCAGAAGGCTGAGGGACAGGTGGATGAGGGACAGTCTGATCACTGTGAGCCAGGCGTGGGAAAAGCGAGGCTGGGAGAGGAATAGCTGACGCAGGCCCCAGGCAGTCACGGCACTCAGCTTCCTGGTGGCCTGGAGCTGTGGGGGCTGATCTGCATTGAGAACAATGGCAGCCTTCACAGGAACCATCCACCTCCCCTCTTCTTAGGCAGGAGGTCCCCAAGCTCCACTGGCACCTGAATCCAGATGATGATATCCTGATGCCAGGTGATGATATCTTCCTGCGGTCGTCCTGAGGGAGCCACATACAGGTGCAGGGCTGGGCAGGAGCACGACCCGGGAGGAGACTTTCCCTGGCAGAGAGGCGGGCCTGAGATTTCTTCTGATCAGTGATATCCAGTCCTCTGGCCGGCAGGCAGTGTGCCCTCTCTGCTTGGCATTTACCGCGGCCTCGCCTGCTGTCTTCTGTGCGTGCCGCGTCTTCTCACCCCATTCACACCTAGAACCACGGTGCAGCGGATGTGGACAAGCAGCTGGCAGACGGAGCTGTTGCCATCAATTCTCTTCTCTGTAATAACTGCTCGGCATGGTTCCTAGACACCACGCAAATCAATGGAACCTGGATTGAGATTTCTAATGAATAATGTAAGGGTTTAATAAATTTCCAGAGTGCAAACTGGGCTGGCACTAGTGGGTCTGATTGATTTCTCCTTGAGATGCATGTCTGCACCCAGCTTCCTCTGTGCTCCGCGAGGCGCGAGGGATTGGGGGCCATCAGGGGCAGAGGTGCAGGCTCCGCTGGGACTTTGAAGCTGGGGCAAGGAGTAGGGCTCACAGTGTGCGAGGTGTCGGTCGTGCTCAGGGCCCAGATGGCCAGAGCCTGGCACCCTAAAAAACCCAGCTAGAGAAAGGACGTTCTGAATAGGTTCCCCCATAGATAAAGGGGTAGGGGGATGTCACAGGAGCCCTTGAAGGGACTGGGCTTCTCCATGGGGAAAGAGAAGACCAGCGAGAGGAGGGTGAACTTTCTCCCTTCCATTTCATCGAGGCCTCCTGACAACCCGGCAAGGTTGGATTTTGGTCCTGTTTCACAGATAAGCCCCAAGCTTTAGAGACTTTAAATAACGGTGTCAAGGTGGAATAATGAGACTGTGAGCCGGGGTCCATCGGCCCTGAAGCCTCAGTTCCTTGCTCAGCACAGCCCCCAGAGAAGAATGACCTTGATGTGGAGGTGATGGGTGGACATGGCAGGAGACTGTCACTGACCAGGCTGCAGGTGTGGATGCAGGGAGGCAGGGAGGAGGGGCCGCTTAGGAGGGATGGGTGCTTCTGGGCAGGTGTGAGCAGGTAGGGTGGGCCCTTGCTAGTGATGTGCCAAGGAAGCTGGATTCTTTTGGATGTCAGCTGCAGTCTTGGAACTCTTGGACCCTGAGGGACTTCTGGCACTGAGACCCTCAGGCTCTGAGAAGGATTGCTGTTTCCTTGGTGAGCAGCTCCCACTCACCTGTTAGCAGGAGCAGTGCATCCCCACAAGGGCTCGTACAGTCACATTGAGGCGGGGTGTGCCTCCTTGGCCCCGACAGCCCCAGCTGCTGTGCCCGGCACCCCAGCTGCAACCATGATCACACAACCCAGGGCTGCTTCCAGCTCTTGACTGGCTGGATATGGAGGGAGATGAGGCAGGCCTAACCCCAGGATCACCCACATGGCAAATCCCATCTGACAGCTGCTTCTCAGAGGACACAAACTGACACTAGTGGCACCAAGAAGACAGGTATTGACATGAAGACCTGGGACCATCTCACTCCAGCCAGCAGGCGCTGAGGTGTCAAATGTTTCATGGATAGGTCCCCGCACAGAGTAATACCTCAGAGCCACAGAGTCCCTGCTGGGACCTGGGAAAGTGTCCTGATGGTGGGGAACAGTGCGGCAGGACAGCGATGCCGGCATTGGATGGAGGAAGGAAGCCACAAGCGCAGTGGAGCTGACAGGTGGACCAAGCTGTCTTGGCACCTGCAGGAGCATAATAAAACTGAGGGGCGGAGCCATTGCCAGGTGTGTCTGGGAGCCAGTGGGTTCTTTGACAGCACAGAGAGGCCCCAGTCTCTGCAGGTCAGACCAGACTGAGCCCTGCAGCCTGAGGGTGTCACTGTGAGAATCAGGCTCTGGAAACATTTGCATGCATGCTTGCCATTCTCAGCCATAGCAGGTCTGTCATGCAAACCTCCCAGCCCTGAGGAAAACCTGGGGCCCTGAGCAGACCCAGGAGCCCTGGGGTGGGAGGGGCAGCTGCCCGTTCGCCATCACTCCTGTGATCACTGGAGGGCTCACTGACGGGTGTGCTTGCTGGGGACACACCGAGGATCCCATCACACCTCCAGTCACACTGAGGATGCCACTGCACCACCAGTCACACCGAAGATCCCATTGCCCTGCCAGTCCCAGCTGCTGCTGGAGCTTTGGAATCCTCATGGTTGGGGCACACAAGGCAGCATCTTGGTGGGGGTAATGGCACCTGGTGGGCAGAAGGAGGCCGGAGGATTTGCATCCCTGTGAGCCCAGGTGATGCTCCTGGTCCCTCCAGGGACTCCCTTTCACTTCCTCACTCTGAATGGATATGTGTGGCTCCCTGGCCTAAGCAAGGTATAGCCACCAAGGGCTCAGTCCTGCAGGAATGAAGGGCAGGGTCACTCTGGTGACTGCTGAGGGAGGGGGCTTCAGTGTGGATGCCAGAGGAGGAGAGGATGAAGATCAACTGTGGTCCCAACATGAACTGTGCATGACAAAGGCTGCAGCTGCCCCCCAACCTTGCTCTCCAAAGTGACGCCACAGGAAGAGGGACCCAGGGAACCGTGGAGAAGCTGCCCTCAGTCCCAGACCCCAGGGGACAAGGAGTGGACTGTGGTGGCCCTGCAACGTGCCCCTCTGACTGTGGGGAGAGACATTGCCTGAGGACCCAGCTGCTGGGCTATGAAATCCATCACCATGCCCATCCCAGGGCCACGCTGGCCATGGCTGCCGGCCGCTAATAACAGTGAGACAGGGACGGTAAGGCGGTTGGCTCCAGGGAGGTGCCGGGCACCTTGGACGGGTGAATTTTGCTCCAAGTCTGACGGCCTTGCTAAACTCTCTTGGAACTGCATTGCAATGTCCTAGAATGGAAGTCTGAGGTGCTTCCAAACATCTCTCATTCCTTCTCCCTTTCCTGGGGTCAGCCCCGAATTGTGGTGTGACAGCCCTCCTAGCCTCACCTGACCACCTCTGCGTTTTTGCTCACAGGTATTGCCCCTAAACATCTCCTGCAATCGAATTCTGTCTTGGTGCCTGCTTCTCAGCAGACCCGGGCAGGACTTGTTCCCCTGTAGCTGTGTTGTGTGAGAAATGATCTCCTCAGGCTTTCTTTTTTAAACTGGAAATTAAAAAATAAATTTCCAATTCTTTGTAATTCTTCTGTATTAAAATATAACATGAATACCAATAAGTGCACTTCTGAAGTGTACAGCTCATTGTACTTTATATGCCCATGTAAATTTTATCCAATCAAGACCTGGAACTTTCCTAGAACCGTAGAGCTAATTCCCAGTCATCACTCCTCTAAAGAAAGCCACTATTCTGGCTTCTATCACCATAGGTTAATTTGTCCATTTTTTAATGTTATTGAATACATTGTATCTTCTTTATGTCCAGAGTCTTTTGGCCTTTGAGATTTAGCCATTGGTTACCTTTAGCAGCCATTTATTCTTTTAATCATGAGTTGCTTTAGTATTCTATTGCATGAACAGACTGTAATTTATTTATTCATTCTGTTGTGAAAAGACATTTGGGGTGTTTCCATTTTTTGGCTATTATAATAAGGTTGCCATGAATAGTTTGATCCATGGGTATAGGTATATCCACTGAATATATTCCCGTGGGGAGAATTACTGGGTTGTAGAGTGTGTGTATGTTTTGTTTTGTTTTGTTTTGTTTTTTTATTTTATTTTATTTTATTTTGAGATGGAGTCTCACTCTGTCACCCAGGCTGGAATGCAGTGGCGTGATCTCACCTCACTGCAACCTCCATCTCCCAGGTTCAAGCGATTCTCCTGCCTCAGCCTTCCAAGCAGCTGGGACTACAGGCACATGCCACCATGCTCAGATAATTTTTGTATTTTCAGTAAAGACGGTGTTTCACCATGTTGGCCAGGCTGGTCTCGAACTCCTGACCTCAGGCAATCTGCCTGCCTAGGCCTCCCAAAGTGCTGGGATTACAGGCATGAGCCACTGCACCTAGCCATGTTTTGTTTTAATAAATACTGCCAAAAGGTTTTCTAAAGTAGTTGTGCCAATTTAAACTCCCACCATAGTATGATGGTTCCATTTGCCCCACATCCTTGCCAACACTCTAGGCACATGTATATGAATGTACGTATATGAATATATATGAATGCATATTCATATATATTATTTATGTATATATTCATATATTATGAATTAAATATAAATGTAATTTTAGGTATTTTGACAGGTACATAGTAGAATTTCATTGTGGTTTTACTTTCCTTGGTGAGTAATCATATTATACACCTTTCATGTACATATTGACATTTGCATGTCCTTTTTAATGATCAACAGTCAATATTTTTCCCATTTTGGGGGAAACGTCTTATTGATATGTTAGAGTTCTTTTTACATTCTGGATGTGCGTTCTCTGTTGGTTATATGTACTGCAAATATCTTCTTCCACACTGCAGCTTGCCTTTCACTCTCGTGTGTATTTTGATAAGTAGACATTATTTATTTTAATAAAGTATAATTCATCAATTTTTTAATCTTTAGCTAGTTGTTTTTAAATTGTACTTATTTATTGTTTGTCTCCAAATATAAAAAACTCCATGAGGAGAGGGTCTTTGTTTTGACATTTCCCTGTCTCCCATGTCAGAAACAGAGCCAGGCTCACAGTAGTTGCTCAATAAATTATTAGTTTTTCTTTTTTTCTTTTATTATTGCTTTTATTTGACACATAATAATGGTACATGTTTATGGGGTCCACTGTGATATTTCCATACAAGCATACAATGTGTAATGGTCAGATCAGGGTCATCCCCTCAAACAGTTATGATTTCTTTGTGTTGAGAACATTCAAAATCTGCCCTTCTATTCAGCTAGTTATTTTTATTTTCTGTTTAAGAAGTTTTTACCGATCTCAAGTCATACAAATAGTCTCTTTTTCTTTTTTTTCTCTGGAAGCTTTTTTGCTTTTACTTTTCACTTTTAGGCCTGCAGTTCGTGAGAACTTAAATTCTGTGTAGGGGGCTGAACGCTGTGGCTCACGCCTATAATCCCAGCACTTTGGGAGGCTGAGGCAGGAGGATTGCATGAGCCCAGGAGTTTGAGACCAGCCTAGCCAATGTGATGAGACCCCACCTCTACAAAAAATACGAAAATTAATCAGGACTGATGACATGCCTGTAGCATCAGCTACTCAAGAGGCCAAGTGGGGGAATCGCTTGAGCCCAGCAGGTCAAGGCTGCAGTAAGCATTTCAGCCTAGGTCACAGAATAAAACCCTGTCTCAAACAAACAAACAAACAAAATGTGTATAGTGTAAGACAGGGATTGAAGCTTATGATATCAAGTATCCAATTGGTACATCACCATTTACTTGAAAAGGTCATCTCTTCCCACTGCATTTCATGATTTTTGTCATAAATCATGTGATCATATGGGTCTGTTTCTGGGCTCTCTGTACTGTTATTCTAGCTAATTGTCTATTCTTGCTTCTTACATTTATTTAGGCTTAAAGTAAGTTTTTGGTACCTGCTAGTGTATGTCCTTCAATATGGGGGATCAAAGATGATCAGAAATATTTTGGAACTTCACTCATCAGTCTGGAGGACCCAGTGACCACTTGACCAATAGAGAAAGGCAGCAGCAAGGCTGACTCTGTTTCTGGGGCCAGGTTTTGAGAGACTGGTGACTTCAACTTCTTGTCTCTTGGGTCTTTTGCTTTTGGAGCTCTGAGAAACTACATAAGAAGTCCGACTACTGTGAGGCCACCATGCCAGAGAGACTCTATGAAGAGACACATTTAATTCTGAGACTACCTGATGAGAGTGAGGTGCCTCATCAGTCCCCATCCATTTTATCCCTGAGTTGCACAGGTATTCCAGATAAGGCTCCAAACACTGGGATCAGAGACAGGTGCTTCCCATTAAATTTTGCTCCTAAATAAATTATTGTTGTTTTAAGCCACTAAGTTTTGGAGTGGTTTGTGTCACAGTAATAGATAACTGGCTCCTCTAATTTTGATTTCCTCTAGATTACCTTGCCTATTCTTCACACTTTAAATTTTACTATGAATTTTAGAATAAAATTGTCAATTTTCATTGAAAATCTGCTGAGATTTTGATTAGAATTGCATGGACTCTATAGATTTATTGAAGCTTCCAGTCAATGAACATGATATAGGATATATTTCTATGTTTATTTAAGACTTCTTTAATTTCTCCCATTAATGTTTGTAGTTTTCTATATAAAGGTCTCATATATACTTTATTATCCTCAGATATATGGTGTTTAATGATGCTATTATTATTATCTATGATATTGCTTTGCATTTTTATTTTTAAATTATTTGTGTCTAGCATATTTATATTTTGATTTTAATTATATTATAATTTTAATCATAAGAACATAAATTTGAAATTTAATCAGAATTGTTTTATGGCCTGGCATACAGTTTATATTAAGAAATGTTACTGGCACATTTGAAAAAAGATGTGTTCTTTTGTGGTTGGGTGCAGTGTTTTATACATGCCAATTAGGTAAATTTTGTTTAAACATTTGATGTCACTATTGATTTTTTTTATCTGCTTGTCCTATTCAGTGGATAAAAGTGAGTTAAAAATTCCAACCATAGGTGGGGCACGGTGGCTTATGCCTATAATTCCAGCACTTTGGGAGGCTGAACTGGGCAGATCACCTGAGGTCAGGAGTTTGAGATCAGCCTAGCCAACATAGTGAAACCCTGTCTCTACCAAAAATAGAAAAATTAGCTGGGTGTGGTGGTGCATGCCTGTAATCTCAGCTACCTGGGAGGCCGAGGCATGAGAATCACTTGAACCTGGGAGGTGGAGATTGCAGTGAGCTGAGATGGTGCCACTGCACTCCAGCCTGGGCAACAGAGTGGGACTTTGTCTCAAAACAAACAAAAAACAAAAAACTCCAACTATAATTATGGATTAGTCTTTCTCCTTTTGTTTCTACTACTTTTTGCTTTTATATTTCAAGGCTATATTTTAGGTGCATGCAAATTTAGGACTTGACCTCGTGGACTGACCAATTTGTCATTACGAAATATCCCCCTTTCTCTCCAGTAGAACGTATTACCCTAAAGTCTACTTTGTCTGATATTTGGATAGCTTTACCAGCTTTCTTTTCATTAGATTTTGCAGCTTTGTTTTGATCAGTTGTTTTCTTTTTTGGCCTGTTATAGTTAAGATGTGTCTCTTGTATTTAACTTATAGTTGTTTTCCTAATTCATTCTTACAGTCATTGCTTTTTATTAGGAATATAGCCCATTTACATTTAATGCCATTGATTTTATTTTAGATTTAAATATAACATCTTGATGTTTGATTTTTGTTTGTTTTTAGTCTTGCTCTGTTGCCCAGGCTGGAGTGCAGTAGCAAGATCTCAGCTCACTGCAACCTCTGCCTCCTGGGTTTAAACGATTCTCCTGCCTCAGCCTCCTGAGTAGTTGGGATTACAGGTGTGCACTACCATGCCTGGCTAATTTTTGTATTTTTAGTAGAGACAGGGTTTTGTCATGTTGGCCAGGCTCATCTTGAACTCCTGCCCTCAAGTGATCCACCTGCCTCGGCCTCCCAAAGTGCTGGGATTACAGGAGTGAGCCACTGTGCCCAGCTTGATGTTTGATTTTTGTTGCCCTATTTGTTCACCTTTTTTCTTTTCTTTTGAATTGATATAATTTCATTATTCTATTTTTTGCTCAATTGGTTTGTTAGTAATCTATTTAAAACATTTTAGTCAGTAGTTTTCCTAGAGGTTACAAAATGCATCCTTGACATACTGTTGTTAGATTCTACCTTAAATTGGAAGGTGTATCATTTTGCAGATAATGTGAGAATTCTGCAACACTTTAACTTTTTTTATCCTTCCCAAGTTTGTACTATTGTTATCATAATTTTAAATTTATGTTTAAGCTCTAGAATCCATTTCTATTATTGTTTTAAACATGCAATATTCACTAAGATTTAACCATATATTTGTACTTTCTCACTTCTACTGAAATAATTCTGCCTGGAATTATTTTCCTTCTGCCTGAACAACTTTCTGTAGTATTTACTTGAGGGTCTGTGATAAATTTGCTCAGTGTTGGTTTGTCTGAAGGTTTTTTTATATACCTTAATTTTTTGGAGGATATTCGAAGTAGATATAGAATTTTTATTGGCAGTTATTTTCTTTTAGTATTTAAAGATTTTATTCCGTCATATTCTAGTTTTAACCATTTCTGTGGGAAAGCTACATTCTTATTATTGCTTCTATGAAGGTAGTGGGTCTTTTTCCTCTGGGCCTTTTTTTTTCTTCCACCATCTTCATTTTCCTGCAGTTTTACTATGATGTGCCTAGGTGTATTTTTTTATTGTATTATTTTCAGCTTGGGTATATAGACTATCACTGTTGTAAAATTCTTAGCATATCTTCAAATATTGCTCTTGCTCAATTGTCCTTCTCTCATACTCTTCTGGAAATCCAGTTACATTTATGATAGACTTTTCTACCATATTCTATATGTTTCTTTTTTTCCCTGCATTTTCAACCCCTTTTTTTTTCTATGCTGTAATCTGAATATTTTCACTGATGTATTTTCCAATTCACTAATCCTTTCTTTTGCCATATCCAATCTTCTTTTAAATCAATATATGAATTCCTAATTTTATTTATTATATTATATATATTTTTAGTTCTAGGATTTCCAATTGATTACTTTTATAGATTCATCAGCTCTCTGATGAAATTAATATTTTTCCACATTTTCTTGAACATGATAATCATACTTACTTAAATTCTGTATTTGATTTAAATTCTGTATTCAATGCCTCAGACCTGGATCCCCTTTGAGACTGTTTCTACAGTCTATTCTCTTAGTTTTCTGCCATTTGGTCCTATTTCTTGGCATGCTTGTAATTTTTAATTGAAAATGCAAAATTTTTTAGTTCCCCAAATGAGTTGATCATCTTTCAGAGACAACATATATATATACACACACATATATACATATGTATGCATATATACATATACAACATATATACATATATATATAGTATGTATGTATATATGGCAAACAGATGAATATGGGTAGTTCACCATGACCTCTTTAGGGCTGATCTATTTCAGCTATTTCTTACTACAAGGGCAGAGAATTTCAGGGGTCTCAACTGAAAGCTTAGATTATTACTGGAGCCCCTCTTCCCTGGTGGACTCTGAACTCCAATTTTTGTCATTCCAGCTCTGTGGCATTGTTGTAATCTCTGTTTAGCCCTTTAGCCTCTTAGAAGCTGCTCTCTGCTTGGTTTTGTGAAGTTTCACACTGAATTGTGTGACTTAGGCATCTGAACATGTCTTAATAGTGCAGAATTCTAGGCTCACCTTCCCAGAATTTGCTTTCTTCTGGGATCTTGGCACTTACGCAGTGGTTTCTTTGGTAGCCTAAACTTCAATTCCATCTCCAAATGACCGTTGCAAGCTCTAATCCACTGTTTTATCTGCATGTCCTGTTCTGCTGATTAGCAATTGCTTCAGAGAAAGGAAGGGTGTATACCTGTGGGCTCACTTCAGTGTACTCTCTCCTCTCCAGGACCGTGGCCTCTGAAGTCCTGGCTGCCTTGTTTTTCTCTAGCACCTTCCAACCCAGCCATTTTCATGCATTGTGTCCAGCCTCTATATGCAGGCTGGTTAATCTGAAACTAGCTGTGCCATAACCAGAAGGGAAAGGCCCCCCTTTGATTGGATTTTGAATTCATGTTTCCTATGTTTACTTGGTAGTTACTGACTCAAAAATGGCTAAAACTATGATACTTGTTGTCCCTGAGGCCCCATTTATCTTCTTGCCAACTCCACAGTCTATGACACATAGCTTCCCAGGAGTCTGGGATGGTGTCAAGGAACCTTTAGAGTGGAGACCATCCAGAATACCAACACCCCTGGGATTCATGCAATTGATCTATGCAGGTTAATAGAGAACTCTATTTGCTATGTCTATATTTAGCAGCTAAGGCTTCCTGTGTATGGTACATAGTCCTTGATGTTAAATCTGCTTTTCTACACACCCCTGCCTGCCCTACCCCAGGCGTTACTGCCAATAGCTCAGTGTGTATATTCCACCTCCTCCCTGGGGCTCAGTTTTTCCTCCTATAAAATGAGCAAGTGGAGTTTGGAAGTTTGATATGGACTTTTTCAACATACTAATTTTATCTTGGCTTATCCATTGCAAAGGGATCTATTTAAACTGTTTATTGATTTGAGGCAGGTATTAGACCCAAGTAAGTGATGTCTTGAACTTCATTGTTATTAGCTCATCCCAGGGTATGTGGTTTCCATGGTTTGGCATCCACCTTGAGTAGGATTGGCAATGGGATTACAATTTAATATTTATCAAGCCAAAGTGTTTTGTTTTAATTTTTATTGAGAACACAAAAGAATATCTTACCTCTCCGTCACTGTCTGTTAGTATTTGACTGTGGAGTGTTAGCATGCATGTCCCTGGGGTCCTTTGAAAAGTAATTATTTCACCCGTAGTTACATTTTCTATAGTGGAACCTGTTTGGGAGGAGAGTCTCTTGCTTCTGCAGGTGGCTGCATACAGCTTACCAAACTGAGTTGCATCACACATCTCCCTGTTTAGAGTCCATCAGTGGCTTCTCATGGCCTAGAATAAAATCTCGGTGCCTTGGCCTGGTACCCCTGGAAGCCTGATCTTGGTGCTAAAGCTCACTGCCTTTTCCCAGATCCTCAGTAAGCCCCTTTCCACTCCAGGGCCTTGGCCCGGACAGTCCCCTCCCCCTGAGATGCTCCTTCTTTTGCCCTTCTCGGAGTCAGTTCCTTTATCCCCTCCGCTCTCATTCTCCATGTGACATCCTCCTAAATGCCCTCTCTGGCCCCCTGAGAGAAAGAGGATACCCTGTCATTCTCTCTCCCACCACCCTGTTCTTTTCCTTTCTAGGATTCATCATAATTGTCATTATATAAGCATTTGTATGAATAATTTTAAACCTGTTTTAAAATTTAATATTGAATTGATACAAAAGAACGTTTAACATTTTGTGCAAGGAATAATTATAATACAGAGCATGTCTGCATAACCACCTCCAGATTAAACCCTGGAGTGTTGCTTTGAAGCCCCTCTGTGTGCAGCCCCTCCCGGGACTCTTCTCCTCCCTTCCCCTGGAGGTAACCATCTCCCTGAATTTTATGTGACATTCTCTTGCATTTCTTTTTGTTTTACTACTTTATTTATAGTATCCCTAAACCATATATGTTTAGCTTTGCATGTTTTAAAACTTCATGTAGATGGAATTACACTGAATATGTTCTTTGGATTCCTGCTCTTCAACTTTACATAATGTTCCTGAGATTCATCCATGTTAATGCATTTAGCAAGAATCAGTGCGTTTTCACCACCATGCTGCATTCTGATGTTTGAGTAAATCACAGATAACTTATTTCTTCTGCAGTTGGTGGACATCTACATTGTTCCCAAGTCTTTTGGTCTCACAAGCAACGCTGCTGACAATGTTCTTTCCCTCAAAGCTGGGAGTGGGTTTCTCCAATGCCAAAGTGTTTTTGATGCTTGATTCCCTCAAAACTGGGCTTACCCACAGGCCTACAAGCTCTGTGAGGGCAGTCCCTGATTTCTCCTGATCACTTCCACTGTATCCTCAGAGCCAGCATTATGTCCAGGCATCATCTCACTCGATTCTCAATAAATATTGTTGAGTGAATAAATGACTGTGTGGATGACACAATGAATCTCCCTGGTGATCTCATTTGCATTTTCTGTGTCACTAGCCCCAGCCCTGCTGCGCCACGTGAGCTCGGCCTGACCGTTGCTTATTGGCCATCACTGCCTGGACAGCCCCAGGCACCTAACCCTCACTTTGGCTCAACTGTGAGTGCTCATGTCTGCTTGCTTCCTCCTTAACCTCGAGCTGCATCTTTCTAACATGGGAGCTGTTCTTGGTCCTCTCTCTTACCCCCTCAAATACTTCAAATTGAACCCCAAGTTTTGGGCACTCTAGTCTTTAATATCTCAGCCTCTGTCCTAGCCAAACTCCTTTCCACCATCTCAGTCCAGTGTTAATCGACTTGGTGAGGACTGGGTTGGTGTCTGCCTGGATTTCAATCCCAGTGCTTGGCCATGCTTGCTTGGAGAGGCGGGTGCAGCCTGGGGCTGGGGGTGTGGGTGGGAGAGAGTCAGGCACTCCCACCCTCCGCATGCGGTGCTTCTCCCACGGCTTAGCTGCTGTGTGCCTTGCCACCTTCCTGTGGACCCGGGCACTCCTGCAGCCCTGGTCGGTGTGATCCTCTGATACTCGGCTCAATGCCATCCACCAGGGATACTGGCCCATCCTCAGTGGTTCCAAGCTCCCACAGCACCTGACCTCGCTCTGTCTCACTGAGTCTTCTCTATCCTTTATGAGCCAAAGTGTGTCCCCTTGAATTCATATATTGAAGTCCTAACTCCAGTACCTCAGAGTGTGATTTTCCATGGAAATTAGTTTCTATTTTTTTATTTTTTTTATTTTTCAATTTTTATATATTTAGATGGTACTAGTACAGATTTCTTACATATACCACATATGGTATGGTGAAGTCTGGGCTGTTAGTGTATTTCTCACCTGACTAGTGAACACTGTCCCAAGTAGGTAATTTTTCAACTCTTACCCCGCTTCCGCCCTTAGAAAGAAGATTTTCATTTATGTATTTATTCTTCTATGCACTCAACTCCAAAGAGATTTTTTAAAAAAAAACAATTTCAACTTTCATTTTAGATTCAGGGGGTTCACGTGCAGGTTTATTACGTGGGCATATTGCGTGATGCTGAGGTTTGGAGTATGAAAGGCCCCGTCACCCAGGTAGTGAGTGTAGTATCCTGCAGGTGGTTATTCAGCCCTTGCCCCTCTAGTAGTTCCCAGTGACTATTGTTCCCATCTTTATGTCCACGTGTACCCAACGCTTAGTTCCCACTCGTAAGTGAGAACATGCGGTTTTTGCCCTACTGTTAATTCACTTAGGAAAATGGCCTCCAGCTGCATCCATGTTGCTGCAAAGGGCATGATTTTATTCTTTTTTATGACTAAGTAGTATTCCATGGTGTATATGGACCACATTTTCTTTATCCAATCCACTTCTGGTAGGCACCTAGGTTGGTTCATGTCTTTGCTATAATTATTTGTAGTGCTGCTGTGAACATACAGTACATATGTCCTTTTGGTAGAAAGGTTTGTTTTTCTTTCTTTTTTTTTTTTTTTGAGACAGAGTCTCTCTCTGTCACCCAGGCTGGAGTGCAGTGGCGCTATCTCGGCTCAATGCAACCTCCGCCTCCTAGGCTCAAGCTATTCTCCTGCCTCAGCCTCCCAAGTAGCTGGGATTACAGGTACCCACCAACATGCCCGGCTAATTTTTGTATTTTTTGTATAGACAGAGTTTCATCATGTTGGCCAGGCTGGGCTTGAGCTCCTGACCTTAAGAGATCCACCAGCCTCGGCCTCCCAAAGTGCTGGGATTACAGGCCTGAGCCACTGCGCCCGGCCAAATGATTTGTTTATATACCCAGTGGTGGCTAGGTCGAATGGTAGTTTTATTTTAAATTCTTTGAGAAATCTCCGAACTGCTTTCCGCAGTGGCTGAGCTAATTTACGTTCCCACGAACGGTGCAGAAGCATTTCCTTTTCTCTGCAGCCTTGCCTGCTTCTGTTATTTTTTGACTTTTTAATGGTAGCTGTTCTGACTGGTGTGAGATGGTATCTTGCTGTGGTTTTGTTTTGCATTTCTCTGATGATTGATGACGTTGATTATTTCTTCATGTTTGTGGGTCACCTGCACATCTTCTTTGGAGAAGTGTCTGTTTGTGACCTTTGCCCATGTTTTAATTGCCTATGTTTTTTGTTTATGGAATTGTTTAAGTTCCTTATAAATTCTGGATATTGGACCTTTGTCAGATGCATAGTTTGCAGTATTTTCTTTTATTCTGCAGGCTGTCTGTTTACTCTGCTGGCAATTCCCTTTGCTGTGCAAAACCTCCTGAGTTTAATTGTCCCAGTTGTTAATTTTTGTTTTTGTTGCAATTGCTTTTGGGAACTTAGTCATGAAATCTTTGCCAAAGATGATGTTGAAAAGGGTTTTTTCTAGATTTTCTTCTAGAATTATGATAGTTTGAGTGGTCTTACATTTAAATTTTTAATCTCTCAAGTTAATTTTTGTATATGATGAGAGGTAGAGACCCACTTTTATTCTTCTGCACGTGGCTAGACAGTTGTATTCAATGAATGACATGTTTCAAGTGCTGCTGGATTTTGCTAGTATTTTGTTGAGGATTTTTGTGTCTATTCATCTGGGATATTGGCCTGTAGTTTTCTTTTTTCATTGTGTCTTTGCCAGGTTTTGGTACTAGGGTGAGACTGGCTTCACAGGATGAGTTAGGGAGGAGTCCCTTGTCCTCGATTTTTTGGAATGGTTTCAGTAGAATTGGTACCAGCTCAGCTGGGCATGGTGGTGTATATCTGTAATCCCAGCACTTTGAGAGGTTGAGGCTTGCAGATTTCTTGAGCCAAAGAGTTCAAGACCAGCCTGGGCAACATGGCAAAAACTCATCTCTACAAAAAATACAAAAATTAGCCAGGTATAGTGGGGCACTCCTGTAGTCCCAGCTGCTTGGGAGGTGGGAAGATTGCTTGAGCCTGGGAGGCGGAGGTTGCAGCAAGCAGAGATTGTGGCCCTGCACTCCAGCCTGGGCAACAGAGTGAGACTCTGCCTCCCGAACAAACAAACAAACAAACAACTCAACAAAACAAAACAGAATTGGTACCAGCTCTTCTTCATAAATCTGAATTCAGCTGTGAGTCCATGTAGCCCAGGGCTTTTTTTTTTTTTTTTTCCTCTGGTGGGTAGATTTTTTATTACTGATTTAATTTCAAAACTTGATGTTGGTCTGTTCAGGATTTCAATTTCTTCCTGATTCAATGTTGGGACCTTGTGTGTTTCCAGGAATTTATGCATTTCCTTTGTATTTCTGGTTTGTGTGCATAGATCTACTCATAACTGCCTCTGAAGTTCTTTTGTATTTCTGTGGGATCAGTTGTAATGTCACCTTTGTCATTTCTAGTTGTATTTGTTTGGATCTTTTCCTTCTTTTTCTTGTTAATCTAACCAGCATTCTATTGATCTTGTTTATCCTTTCAAATAACCAACTCTTGGTTTTGTTGATTATTTGTATTGATTTTTAGGTCTCACTTTTGTTCAGTTCTGCTCTGATTTTAGTTATTTCTTTCCTTCTAGCTTTGGGGTTAGTGTTTTGTTTTTCTAGTCTCTCTAGGTTTGATGTTAGATTGTTAATTTGATATCTTTCTAACTTTTTGATGTAGGTGTTCAGTGCTAGAAACCTTCCTCTTAATATTGCTTTGACCGCTTCTCAGAGATTTCGGTATGTTGTACATGTTTCTTTTAGGAAATAAAGTTTTTAAAAATATAATTAAAATTAAACAAGGTCATTAGGGTAGACCCTAACCCAATATGACTGATGTTCTCTTAAGAAGAGAGATGAGGACACAGACATGTATAGGGGAACACACAGGTGCAGACAGGGAGAACGCAGTCATCCGCAAGCTAGAGAGGCCTCATAAGGAACCAACCTTGCTGGCACCTTGATCTCAGACTCCTAGCCTCCAGAACTGTGAGGAAATAAGTGTTTGTGGTTTAAACCCTCCTAGCCTGGGGCACTTAGTTATGGCAGCCCGAGCAGACACATACTGCCCCTGAGAAGCGGGGCTGTGTCTTAGCGCCTTTGTGCCCAACACACATGGACACACTTAGAGCTGTGCTGAATGAGGGAGGGAGTGAGGGTTCGCAACCTTGGAAGTTCTTGTCCATTCCAAGGCCGCCTAAGGGGAAGAATTTCCTGGCCTCCTCGTGGCTTCGCCGCCCATGAAAGACACACGTGGGCACCGGGTCCTTGCAGGGAGGACCTTTTCTCTAAGGCACCACAGAGCCCGCCTCCCTGTCTCGGTGACCTTGCTTTCTCTGCACAATAGTTGTAGGGAGACTCGGGGAGCTTCCTGAGAGGCTGAAGGACACTTTAGAAATGTCAGCAGGAGAGACCCACTTCCCTTTTAACCCATGGAGTCAGGAGGAGAGGTAGGTGATGGCGTCAGGAGGGGAGGTAGGTGACCGTTCCTCTGTGGTCACACCTAGGGTTGGCCACATGGAGCTCTTTTCCTTGGACAAGCCTCTTCTCCTCTCCCAGCCTCAGTTTCCCCTCAGCAAAATGATCATGACCCATGTCTCTCCCCTAAAACCTCCAACAGTTATGAAAACGCTTTGTCAACTGTGGTGTTACCCACAAATGTGCAGTGTGGTGTAGGGTTTGTACTGTGGAAGCTTGGTTCTCTTGCTGGTGCTAAAAGTGAGGCCCGGGGCGGGCAGGGCTGCTGGATGCAGATGGCATGTGTGTGTGCGTGTGTGTGCATGCATGTGAGTGTCAGAGCACAGGAGCCCTCGGTGGCCATGGGGCTGGTGCTTCCCGCCCACCCACCAGGCCAGGCTGGCTGCAAAGCATTCTCTGCTGAACTCATGAACAACACCCTCTGACCACCCCAGAGATGGAACAAGGTTGGAGAAGCTGTGTCTTCAGTGCCCGTCTTTGGGTGATTCTGAGGCTCTGCTGGGCTCAGAGAACACTTTTGGTAAAGGCCCAGACAGGAAACACATTCAGCTTTGCAGGCTGTGCAGTCTCTACTAAAAGTACACAGCTCTACTCTTACAACTGGAAGACAGCCACAGACAGTATGCAAATGAATGAGCATTACTGTGTTCCAATAAAACTTTATTTATAAAAGCAGGCAGATTTGGCCCACTGGTTGTAGTTTGCGGACTCCTGTTCTAGGCCAACCTGTTCCTTCTACCAAAGGAAATAGTGAGGCCTGGGGTGGGGAGACTCCCCTGGGGCATGAAGGCTCCCTGGGGTGTGGACCCCCCCCTGCCAGTCCCCTGACTCCTCCCAGAGCACCGCACTGCTGAGCTCCTGAGGCCCAGCTCCCCTCCCCAGTGTGTTCTTCTGTGTGATGTCTCAACACTGGTTGAATTTCCTGGGTGAAATTTAACTATCATTTGTCCTTAACTGATGATAAGCTCTTTGATGTAAATTGAGTTATCCATTTCCCATGACAAACATATGGAGTATTATTTTTATCTCCATTTTAAATACGAGGAAACTAAGCCCCACAGAGTTACCTTCTAGGATGAAATCTGCCCCGTTTTAGATTCTGCGCACTGACAAGAGAGTAGTTAGAAGAGGGACACATTTGCTCACTTCCAGAGGGAGGCTGACAGGCCCCCAACCCAACCCCCACCCAGGGTGTGCCCCCGGCTGGCCGACAGAAATCCTTGTATTTCAGGACGCCTCACCCGCCCTGCAACCAAGGGGGGCCTGCCAGGACCACTGCCAGTAGCTGGTGACTCACATCCGTGTGTGCAAAAAACTCTCATCTGTTGCCTCCCGGGAAGGGGTGCCGGGGGCTCCCTGTGTGGCTGGCCAGGGTCCCCGGCGGGGATGTGGTCCTGCTCTGGGGCTGCATTCCTGCTGAGGTGTCCCGACTCCCCCAAGGATGTGGGTGCCGTGTGTACGTGTGTGTGTGTGCATGGGCCCTGGCATGGGTAGGAGCCTCAGGTGCTGCCTCTGGGCCTCATCCCCTTTACCCACCCCCACCTTTGCGCTCTCTGCTGCTGTACGAGCTTCAAAGCCTTTGTCTTGCTGTGACACCGGGAGGGCAGGATTCCCACATTCCCCTTGAACTTGGTCCTGACACTGGCCTTCCTCCAGGCCACAGCTCTGCTCAGGTGCCCTCCACGCCCTGTGAACAGCCTGCCAGTGCCCACCCCTCCTTGACTGGTGCCCAACTTCTGAAAATGTTTTGATCACATATGCCATCTGGAGCAGCAGCCACACTGAGCTTCCATAGTGCTTACGATGGGGACTACCTGGGCAAGGAGTGTGGCCAGGGGTCCCCACTTGGGGGCCCAAGTCTTCTCTCCATTGTGAGACAGTAATGATGGACACCACATTGTGAAGAGAGCTGCAACTGACTTTACCAAAATGTTAAATTAAGAAAATGAACATGTTCAGCAAACTGCCTGTGCAATCTCATTTGGTTCTGGGACAGGGAAAGGCGTGCTGGAGGAGATTGCCCACCGGGTTCATCTTCCCTGCTCCAGGTTCTGCCCGTCTGGTCTGTGCAGAAATGGCCACTTAAAAATGTTTTGAGTTATGAGTGCAAATAGCTGATTTCCACCCAGGAACATTTGCACTAAGAAGTTCCTCAGTCTGGAATGCTCTTATTTTCTCTTTCCACGCCTGGCTTGTAATTGTCATTCAGATCTCAGTTTAAGTGTCTTTTCTTTTTCAGATTTTTATCTGACTCTTTTTTCTTTTTTCTTTTTTTTTTTTGACAGAGTCTTGTTTTGTCGCCTAGGCTGGAGTGCAGTGGTGCAATCCGGGCTCACTGCAACCACCGCCTCCCAGGTTCAAGCAATTCTCCTGCCTCAGCCACCCGAGTAGCTGGGATTACAGGCATGCACCACCATGCCTGGCTAATTTTTGTATTTTTAGCAGAGACAGGGTTTCACCATGTTGGCCAGGCTGGTCTCAAACTCCTGACCTCAGGTGATCCACCTGCCTCGGCCTCCCAAAGTGCTGGGATTACAGGTGTGAGCCACCACACCCAGACCAAGACTCTTTTCTATAATAGCCAGGCAGCACTATCATATCACCCCTTTTAATTCTCTGACATTGATATGTGTGTTCCTCTCCCTTTCTCTCCTATTCAATTGATTGTAAGCTTCATGAAGCAAGGGGGACTTTGCTGTTTTTGTTCATGCTGGGTCATGCCGGGTTATGCTGGGTCTCCAGTGTTTGTAATGGCTCCTACGATATCATGGACACCCAACACACGCTTGGGGGATAACTCAATGAACGGCAGATAAGTCTGTCTCTTCTCACAGTGGCTTAGGGTTCAGATCTTAGGTATGGTCAGCCGCATCTCTGCAACTCCATTTAGCTCCAGTCTTTTTGTTTGTTTGTTTGTTTGTGTTTTTTTTGTTTGTTTGTTTTTTGAGGTGGAGTTTCGCTCTTGCTGCCCAGGCTGGAGTGCAATGGTGCCATCTCGGCTCACTGCAACCTCTGCCTCCCGGGTTCAAGTGATTCTTCTGCCTCAGCCTCCCGAGTAGCTGGGATTACAGGTGCCTGCCACCACGCCCGGATAATTTTCTGTAATTTTAGTAGAGAAGGTGTTTCACTATGTTGGCCAGGCTGGTCTCGAACTCCTGACCTCAGGTGATCTGCCCGCCTCAGCCTCCCAAAGTGCTAGGATTACAGGCGTGAGCCACCTCGCTTGGCCTAACTCCAGTCTTAATTGCAAATATTTTATGACAATTCTTTCTGCTCCCAGTGCTCTTAGGAAATGGTGGTTCCAATGGTCACTGAAGCAGCGTCTCTCTTCAGTGCAGTGGTTCTGCTGTTTGCTTGGAGAGATTTGTGAATGACTTGGTGTTTTGTGGTGAGAGGGATGGAGGGGGAAGGAGAAGAGCCATGTGCAAGAGTCATTGAACTTCGTGGTAACTCGTGAAGTTATTAAATTACAAGATTAAATGTCTCCTGGGATTGAGGCAGGTCATGTACTTAAGATTCCCTCTCCGGAAGGGACCAGGGAAAGAGGCGTTTTTGAAGCCTGTGTTAGCACCACAGGCTCTATAGCCAGCAGCCCAGTCACATATTTGATAGATATTGCCATGAATTGACTAACCCACCTAATCTTCAGTGAATTCCCACTCTATTCAAGATATGTGTGGATGTTGGGGATGCAGTGATGGACAAACTACAGACAGTTAATGAGAATTTTGAGGTTTAACAACAGATTATTTTATTACATAAAGAATAAACAATGTAACCTATTTACACACTAATATTAAGAAAAACATAACTTGAAGCAAGATTGAAAGAAACAGCACCATGGCACCAATCTCATTTTCCTCCCTTTCAACGTGGATGCCTTCCAGGGGGCAGCGTGGCTCTGTCCTGGGTCTCCCACATACCAGCCTTGTGCCAGTAGCCAATTAGCTAACCCAATTCTATTTCACCATCTGCAAAATGGTACCCGCTTGTGTGTTTCACAGAAACATTATGAGAAGTTAAATAATAATCCATGTAAAACCCATATACAACACTCAGTCTATAGAAAAGTGAATTTTAAAATTATTTTTCTGTCTTACTTTATTCATGAATTTATCTCCCAGATTGTGAGGAAATAGTTTTCAACTACCCAGAATTTTATGTTTGAAACGTCAGAAACCCTCCAGAGAGCATAGGTTGCCCGGGCGACTGTAGTACAGCATCAAGGCACCCTTGAGTTGGCAAGACACAGGCTTGCTGTGCCTGAGAAGCACAAGGTTCCACTTCCCAGCCATGGTGGTTTTCAGCAGTGCTGTTTCTACTCTTAGGTCAGAACAGAGATATGGGAAAAATCCCTGCTCTTCTGTTTCTTTTCCCCAGTGCCGCCTCCTCCAGCCTCCAATGGAGGTGTTTCCATGGGTGACCACATTCTGTTCCACTGGTGGTGGCCTTTGTGTGAGTGCTCCTTCAGGGACCACATTGATCATTAACACACCTTTGAGGTTTCTTTCTTTTTTCTCTGAAACATGGCTTCTTAAAAACTTTACACTTTTTCTCTCATGAGCATTTTAACACATTTAAAAAATAACAGAACAGTTAAAAAAAAAAACCCACAGTTTCACACAGGCTTCTTCTCACTGAATCATGTTTCATCTTTTCCCTTGGCACAACCAAAGGGAAGGTTAATTTAAAACAGCTGAGAGTGATGTCACGTCACACGCCGACACCTCTTTTTCTTTTTTTTTTTTTTTTTTTTTTTTTGCCAGGAAAGAAAAGAGGTTCACCTCAGGCTGCTCAGAAGGAAGGTGTTCCAGGAAGGCCAGAAAAGGGAGGCTGCTCTGGAAAAACAAAGAAGAGCTTGGCAGGTCCTAGAACGGAGGAGAAGTTAGACCCTGGGAATCCAAGATGCTGCAACGTCAGGCAGCTGGTCCCCAGCAAGGCTGGCACGTGGAAACCTCACGGAGAAAAGTGATTCATAACCAAAGCAGGGCTCCCACAGCGACGCTGAGCAGACACAGAACTATTTTTCACATAACACTTATTTTATTTAAAAAAAATGTTAAATGACTTTCCTTTGCATGGATTCTCTGTTTCTCTTGCTCTGGTTCTGGAAGCCATGTGGAGTGGTGGCCAAGAGTCAGTCCTGTTCTGTATTTTTTTGTTGTTGTTGTTATCTTTCTGAGTTGATCAGCAACTGAGAGAATTGAGGAAAGTCGCCCAGGTGGCTCATGTCCAGTGCGTCACTCCACCCCATTCCGACAGCCTCATAGGTTGCTTAACTCTGGAGCCTGGCATTCTCCAGATGCCCCTGCAGGGAGGATTACTTGGCTCCCTCCAGCAGACAACCTTGTGGAACGCTCAGAGCAGAAGTGAGTCACTGCAGCAGGCCCTGTGCACGGAGGCAAGCCAGGAGGTGGTGGAGCTTTATGCGTCCATCATCAGCATTAAAGATGCAGCGAGGGGCAGGGCTCCTTCCCCCAGAACCATGCATGGTGGGCTATTTGTCCCCAAGTGTGATCTTTGCCTGCAAGGTTCCTGCTGTTGTGGCACTCAGACCTTCATCTATACCTTCCTCAGGAATTCTGTAAACTACCAAATAGTTTTATCAATAACCCCTTCCTACCTAAGCCAGCTAGAGTGAATACTTAAGGCTGCATCTAAGAACGGTGACCAATTTAATCACTTCACTAATTTTAACAATGGCTCCTCAAACAGGGGTTTGCTCCATTTCCTCCGTTTCCAAAGGAGGAAGTTGATGGGCTGATGGAGGTAGGTGAATATCATTGGTTGATGTTGAATAGGCCAAAGCTCTTATTATTACTAGTATTTAAAATATTCATTCTGAAGTTATTTACATATTTTAGAACTCATTTAATTAAAGACTCATGTTACAGGTTCATTGAGTAAATAAGTCTGGTTATTTACTGATCCACTGGTTCCAACTAAATAGTTGGGCCACAGATTGTCTGTTGGTGACAATAACCAGTAAGCACCTTTTTAGAGAAAGCCTGTTGCTGTGTGCCTCAGCATTTGACTAATGGCAGGAACACCTCTGAGTACTTCACCGGGCCTGGATTTGACCTGTGAGAATGAATGTGCAGCTTACTGCATGGGAACTGGAAAGATTTAAGGACCTACTCTGGTGGGCACACAGTGAATTACTGGTGCGTCCTAGTGAGAACTTACCATCTCAGCTGCTAGTCGATTATTTCTCACACATTAAGGACTTTACTCTGTTTCTTAAGAGAAAATCCTTTCCCACTGAAGGGAAGGATTCATTAGTAAAATCCATTCTAGTTGAGGCTCCTCTGTCTTCCCAAGAGGAAGGGAGGGTGCAGTTGGGCATGAAGGCTTTTTGAAGGTACTGTAACTTAGTATGGTACAACAACTTACTAGGTTGCCCCTTTGCTGTCACCCAAATTTGGAAAGGAATTGGTCATTTCAGGTTTTTCATATTTATAGTAAAAGAAAATCCATCAAGTTTATCCCTAAAGAGGACTTACGTGACAACTGCCCATGCATAGACAACTGGAGTCCCTCGATCAGACCCACCAAGGAGAGAAATCCATTTTGCATATTGTGTATGGCCTTGAACCAGGAAGGGCATAGGCCGTGGGTGTGCTTCCCTCCGTGCAAGGGAGTGCAGCCTGGGAGCTGCATTCCATCATCACGTCTCTCAAGTGAAGTTGCGCAGAAAGCATGGAACTCCTTTCTGCCTGGATTTTGGAAGGAACCAGTGGACAAATTTAATCTGATGAAGACATTGTAAGGTTAATTTTAGGTTTCAAATACTTTCTTTTGTAAAAATAGTGAGTATTCATTAATTTCCAGAAAGGGTGCCTGGTACTGAGGATCCAGAGGCCAAAAAGACATGTCCCTAGACACCTGGAGTTGGGGTGTGACCAGAAAGCCATCGCAACCTCTGTGAAAGAAAATGAAACCTTCATTCCAGGTGAATCTCTGCATTGCGCTCTGAAGGACATGCAGCCCCTTTCTTCTACTACACTTTCTCTAAGGACTGTGATTCATTGATTAGCCATCCCATGTTCCGTATCCTTGGGTTGTTATCCCAGGCTGCCCTCTGCCATCTGCTCCCTGGAAAAGATGGGTCCTTATTGCAGCCACCTGTGGAGCCATTTTGGCCTGGGATGAGCTACTCACCAACACACCCAGCCCATCTTAGATCTCTGGGATCCCAGACCAAATGGAGGCAGCCCTTGAACAGTCCGTGGAGATAATCCCTCTCTATTTTTCCTATTTCCAAGGCTCCATGAACCTACACATAGAATCTGTCTGGTGAGCATAATACACGCCGCAGCTGAAAACCTTCTGAAGACGCAACACATTGTTGTGGGTGATTGAGCTTCATATTGTTTTGCCAATTCTCGAACAAATGGCCAGACTCGTTTGGAACTCGCTTTTCTTTGTTGTTTAATAAAGCAGCAATCATATAGCATGTGAGATAATGGAATGGTTGAATGCAAACTTGAATTATTTTATTTTATGGAGTCTTAATTAGATTTGTAATGTGGAGCTCCCAAGTACCAAATGGTTGCTGAAATTTAATGGGACCTCTTGTGGGGAGTGAGAGAGTTGTAATTCTCCCATTCACACAACAAAGGCCGGCTGTTCTGAAGTTTGGCATATATCAAGTTACAAAACACCTTCCTGACTCCGCAGAAGATCCATGCCTTGGCTCCTTCTTATTTCTCTGCTCTGTTTTCTTATGGTTGTCTTTGCTTGAGCCCTGGAGAAGAATGGTTCACCTTTTCAAGTTTCTTTATTAAAGTCATCATTGTTTACCGTCAACCTGAGCTGAGACTGTGGCAGCACCATGGGGCTGCTTCTGGACAGTGTAGAGGTTCTTGGCCCCAGCCCAAGTCCTGAGTCCTCCTCACTTCCCACCTTCCCCAGGCACACCCCTCCTGGAGCCACCATCAGAAGCTGCCAGACCAGGGCAGGAGCTTGTGGGTCAAACCCAGTTCTGAGGTGGGTTACGTGTGTTATGTTCCACTAAGAATATCTAAAGAATTAGGTTCCTATCCCTATAATGACACCATTCTCAGTTGCCAGCATCCAAATGTGATTTTCAGAGTAGGAAGGGAAGGGTGGACTTGGAGCTGGCGCCCCAGGGAGTTGTTTTGAATGTGAACATGACCTAGACTGTGGGTCATGGTGGAGACAAGTTCAGGAATCAGCACGCTGGGGCGCTGGGGAGGCAAGGAGATGGGCAGTCCAGCTTGGCCCCAGTGCCCAAACCCATCCCTCACTGGGGAGGCAAGGGAGATGGGCAGCCCAGCCTGGCCCCAGTGCCCAAACCCATCCCTCACTGGGGAGGCAAGGGAGATGGGCAGCCCAGCCTGGCCCCGATGCCCAAACCCATCCCTCTGGTTCAAGGTCCTTTCCTCATCACCTCAAGCCCATCACACAGGCTGTGAGTATATCTTCTTCCTCCCTGAGGCATGGGCTTAGTCCTTCTGTGCTGCTGAAACAAAATGTCATAAACTGAGTGGCTTACACATAGCAGAAATTTATTTTTCAGTCTGGAGACTGGGAGGTCCCAGATGAAAACATCAGCAGATTTGGTGTCTGGTGAGGGCCCAAATTCTCATAGATGGCACCTTTTTACTGCATCCTCACATGGTGGAACTGACAACCATGCTCCCTTGGGGCTCTTCATAAGGGGACAACCTCACTCATGAGGCTCTTCTCCAGTGGCCTAATCACTTTCCAAGGGCCCCGCCTCCTAATATCATCACCTTGGGGGTGAGGACATCAACCTATGAACACTGAGGGGACACAAACCTTCAGACTACAGTGTCTGGTCAGCATCACCCTTTTTAGCTTCCACTTTGGTGGCTTGGATCTTGGACTCACAGGTTTCTACAATGATTTTTTTGCTTTCTGACTTCACCCTGACCATGGTCATCTCTTCTCCCTGACATTGCCTATGCTGGATGGAACATGTTTTAGTTTTGAGTGTCTCCAGAGGAGACTGAGGTAAGGAAATGCTGTGTGTAGCTCATCTGGATGGTGCAGGGACCCCAGCAGGGAGGTGGGGAGTGATTTGAGGAAGGAACAGTGACCCTCCAGGGGGAGCATTGTAAGCATAGATGGCAAATGGACCTTAATCCTTTAGGGGAAGTTCTAGGAAAAAGAACTGTATTGGTGGGGGAACTGGGGTATTTATACTCCCACACCTGTCCGTCGTTGGTCACGTGCTGCCCTGGGACACATTCATTTATTCTCCATGAGCACCTCAAAAGGCCCTTCTCTGTGTTAGGGGCACAAGCTCCTCTGTCCAGCCTGAGATGGACCTGGTGTTCTCAGCCCACATACAGAGCCAGGAGAGTCGACAGGTCACCACTCAGGACTGTATCCCCCTCCGGCTCAGCTTCCCAACTGGGCCCATGCCCCAGTGTGTGCAAGGGGGGGTTTTACCCCATCTTCCAGTGTGCAGCTTGAGGTGCCAATGGGTGAGGTGCCAATGGGTCTCTGAAAAGTCCACTTTCACCACAGAGGGTTCTGAGTGGCTGCAGGCTCTGGATTCAATTCCAAGCTCCTCCATCCCCAGTGGGACTGTCTTTTCACCACCATGCCCAGGTATGGTGACATTGGCCACCTCTTAGGCTTCTGGGAGGGTTGAGCTATATTTGTGTCACATGTAAAGTGATATAATGCACATACATTGTTATTTTTATTAATACTTTGAATTCTGAGCTGCCTGCCCTTGCAAATTCAGCAAGAGGTGGCCTGTGGTTGTCAGCCTCCAATATGCCACCCATCTCCCCACCCCCTGAGTGGCTCGCAGGGATGATCTGATGACTGAGGGTGATGAGATGTCACTTCTATGACTACATTGCAGAAGACACATCTGAGATGCCCTCTCACCTTCCTGACTCCCTCATGCTAGGGGAAGACAACTGTCAAGGAGAAGTCCACAGAGTAAGGATGCAAGTCCTCTGGCAAACAGTCATGTGTGTGACTTGGAATTGGATTTCCCAGCTGCAGTTGAGCCCTCAGATGACAGCAACTGCTGCTGACAGCTTGATGGAAACTTCATGAGAAACCCCGAGCCAACATTACCCACCTCAGCCATTTCCAAGACCCCAACCCTCAGAAACTCTGTGAGATAACAAGGATTTGCTGTTTTGAGCCACTAAGTTTTTGAAAAATGTGTTATGCAGCAATAGATAACTGAGACATGGCCCCAGCAATGATGGATTCTAAATGTGACTCACCATCTCATAAGCAAGCAGTCTATTAGAGGGTCAAGGTCCCATAGGAGCATATTATGCAGGCCCTGTCCTCATCCTGCTGTCCCCTTAAGCCTTTGCCTCTGGATAATGATCCCCTCACCACTCACTGGGGTCCTTCTGGACCAGCTGTCATTTTCCAGCATGCCCCCTCCTCAACCTCCTGTGCCTTTGCTGGTCCCAGAGCTGGGATGCCGGTCTCATCTGACATCCTTCCGTGACCACTCTGAGCTCACCTCCTTCACCCAAAGAGAACTCCCAGGAGCCTCAGGCAGAGTTATTAGCCTTGGCCTCTGAGATCCCACAGCACATTGTGCAGAATCAATGGTACCAGGTCTCCTGTGGAGAAGACAGCATGAGAGTAGACTTTACATGGGCTCTTGTTACCCCTGCCTCCTGGTGTTTATGCCTGTTTAGTCTTCAGGGAAGCAGATGCTTCCACAGTTGAGCCTCAGATGAGACTACAGCCCTGGCTGACATCTTGATTGCAGCCTTGTGGGATGCAAAGCTAAGCTGTGACACCTGACTCACAGAAATGTTGAGATCATAAATATGTGTTGCTGAAGCTGCTAAATGTGTAGAGCTTATTATGCTAGATAATTAATACAATGGCTTATCAAAGCTGCAAAGAGAGTTTAAAAAAATAACAATAGCCAGCACATTCTCCTTCAGTCTTTTGCATGTCACCTTCTGGTCCAGTTGAAGTGATACCATTTTACATAGCTTGTCACAGTCATTAGGAGCAGGTGTCCTTGTAAATCTGAGCTCAGACTCCACATTCCAGTGTGTGTAGCCTTGTCTCTTTGTGGCAGGAACACCTTGCTCGTAACTACATTCTCTAAGCCTTCATCTTCCCATTGGTACAGTGTGCACAAGAATGCTGCTCACTTTGTGGGGTTACTGAAATGATGGTCTGAGTTAAGTGCTTAGAACATTGCTGGGAAAATAGTAGTGACTCATTCAGTAACTGTTGAATAGTCTCCTTCTTATTTTTGTAGTCTTACAGCATCTGTGGGGGAGGGTAAGGACTCTGGGAGCCACCATTCTTCAATGTTGAGAAGGAAGCCCGGAGATTCCTTGGGGAGGCTCAGGTGCTCGGAGGGGAGGCAGAGAGAGCTGGGTATCTGTGCTCAGGGTCTGGTCTGACAGAAATCAAGGACGCTTGCCTCTTGGCTCTTCCTTCACAGCTATCTCAGCTCAAATGAACCCCTTCTTTCCCTGAAGCTGGTGCCCACAAGTCCAAGTGGGTGAGACTCAGAGGCTGACAGAGCACATCTCTGTCCTCTTGTGGTTCCCAGGGGGTCCCACACCTGCCTCCTGGAAATCAAATGCCCAGAAAACTGACTGGAGGAGCCACTGGCAACCAAATGAGGCAATGACATTTTTTAAGCAATGTAAGTAACTGAATTGCCTGTGAATGTTAGAGACAAGCTTATATGAAAAGTTGGTACAAGAGCTATAATCAAAAATGATTACAAGGTATAACAAGAAGACAAAAGTCACAGAGCCAGAAATTAAGGACACTAAACAAAGAAACAAACAGCTAACCATCAGCCTGCAAATAGCATGGTTCAGAGCCGCTGTCTAAACAGTGTCGCGCCTTGGGAAAAAGTCCCTGGATGCCTGGTGGGGAAAAGCTTATTGCTAGAATGTGCTTAGCCCAATGGAAACAGAAATGTTCTCCACATTGAACAAGGGTGGGAAAGTAAACTGAGGAGTTGTTTATCTGCCTGACATGCTGGCCAAGCCACTCAAAGTGACCCAAAACATGAGCAGAAGACTTGGGTAGGTCACGCAGCCCATCTGTACCATCAGATCACACAGCCTGTAGGCGCCAAGGAAGCAGAGGTGTTGGAGCCCTTTCCTTGCTGTCCTTATCAGTGCAATGGAGATCCCCTGCTGTGTCCAATCTCCCACCCCAGGCTCCCCTAAGGAAAGACCCTCCATCTTCCACCAGGTGCAAACTCAGCCCAGCACATGGGAGGAGACCCGCACTGGGAATCCCAGGTTGTAGCTCAGAGTCTAGGCACTGTGCTGTGTGAGCTCGGCCGAGTCACTGTGCCACTGTGGGTCTTGGCTTCCTTACTGGCAAGACTGGGGGGTTGAGTTCCATCCGCTTTATTCAGCATGGAGTCTGGAACCTGAGGGTGTCATCTGTTCTTAGGCTTCCAGTGGGGGATTTCCACTTCCAACTCCTGACCTCTATGGTGTGACAGCAACTTTGGCCCTGGGTCTGCTCTGAAGGAAACACATTTTTCTCTTTCCCTCCAAAATTACAGACCTTATCATACCTCATGAATCACATTATAGAACGTTTCCCTTAGTACAGCCACCTGAAATTTTTAATTTAGTCATTTATAAATACATCATGCATGAGATTCACTCTGACATTCTGATCCTCTTCTACTCTCCTAGTGTCCAGTGGGTTAGGAAAGCTGCACAGCCGTGAGGAGCACGAGGCCATGGGACTCCATGACTTGGTCTGAGTAAGTCAATGCCTGGACTGCAACTCAGGACCTGCTATGAGTGGATTGGTGACCCAGCCCTGCATTTCCCCTTGCAAGTCTGACTTGAGAACTAAGAATAAAATCCTAAGCACCCACCCATGGAAAAGACCCCCATCTTGGCCAAGGGGACCCCAGGAAAACCTTAAAATTGAGTTGCCAGCCATGACACGCTTCTTTATACCCCCTCCCTTTTGTGGTTTAGACACAACAACTGACCAGCATTAGTGTTAAAATAGAGATAATAAGGCTGGTGGATGGGCCAGGTGCAGTAGCTCACACCCGTAATCCTACCACTTTGGGAGGCTGAGGCAGGCAGATCACCTGAGGTCAGGAATTTGAGACCAGCCTGACCAACATGGCAAAATCCTGTCTCTACTAAAAATACAAATATTAGCTGGGCGTGGTGGTGTGCACCTGTAATCCCAGCTACTCAGGAGGCTGAGGCAAGAGAATTGCTTGAACCCGGGAGGTGGAGGTTGCAGTGAGCCAAGATCATGCCACTGCATTCCAGCCTGGGTGATCGAGCAAGACTCCATATCAAAAAAAAAAAAAAAAAAAAGACTGGTGGATGGACTGTTTGTGTCAAAATATCAAATTGTACACAGGATTTAAGGCCATGACAGAAAAAGGGTTAAGCCACACACCGTACACTTAAAAGATAAACTGTTTTAACTCTCTCGAGGTTTTTTTCACTTTTTCTCTAGCAGCTAAAGGCACAGTGGCCTTGAGATAAACAACATTAAACCAGGGGCAGGCCACCCCTGCCAGACACTGACTCTCTGACCCCTGCTCCGCCAGACCATGACTGTGATTGGACAAGAGACTCATTTCCGTAACGTTCTCCTAGTAAGAGACCACTGACCAGGGACTGGTTCTGGTGGTTACAGAGGCTACCCATGGAGTGCCTTCCTGTCCCTGCTTCACCTTTGGATGTACAGGGCCTAATTGTAATGCATTTCGATGTCTCCATCCCACAGTGAACGTGTGTTGCATGTCACATGCATGTTTGTTCAATGCTATTCATCAGGAACCCCTTGGTGAATGCTCATGGCTCCTCCTGCAGCCTGTTGAATGTGCGTATTCAGTCCATCTGTTCAGCATGAAGCTTATGCCCCACCCACCCCCTCCTTTGAAGTGCCTGCTTTTGAGTCTCTGCTGGAGGCTACATTTCCCAGCCTGTCAGGATGGCTACCTTGCAGCCTGTAAACCTTTATAAGAAATAAAGGCTCCTTTCTAACTTTATACAATTGTGTTTTTTTTTTTCAGTTGGCATGCATTTTGATGTTTATGGGGTAGACCCATTCCAGGGTCCTGGGGGTCTGGTCACACACCTTCAGCTGCATGGGTTTCCAACACAAGACCCAGAATCAAGCCTCCCCGTCCCGGCCCTGGCACTCTGGGCTTGTGCTTAGGTGTGGAATGCTCAGGTGTGGAACTTCCCCTGCAGGTCATTGTTGGCTGCCTCTCACCACTGGCTCAGGAATCTCAGATTGTGTTTGGGACAAGCAGACCCTGAGATGCAGCATGCAAGCAAGGAATTCATCTAAAAAGTGTCCTCTGGAGAAAATGGCAACTTTGAGGGGAAGCAGGGCAGGGGAGGGGTGGAAGCTAGAGAGGGTGATTTCAGGTGGAGACCCAGCCTCAGCCTGGTCCTGTGCGAGCTCTGGAGGGAGAATTGTACCTTGGAGGGTGCCCTGTCTCCAGGTTAGAAAGCGAGGCCTCCACACCCCTGCACCTGTCATCAGTGGCTGACTGTAGACATGAGCTCCCGGATACACACTTCCAGGGTTCTCTGGAGTTCCCAGGCACAAAGCCTTTGAAAGCAAAGTGCACAGAAGCCAGGGGCCAGGGCCTCAGAGAGTAGAGTATGGGGCCACTGGGTGATCAGCCAACAGCATCTGCCACCTGGATTCACTCTGGGCTAGACACCAACGCCAGGCCACAGGTCCTGCCTCTTTCCTTTTTCTCTTCGTTGATCTTATACACATTATTAACCCAACACTCCCAAAGACCCTCACCAGTGATTAAAAGTAGCTTCTGTTTGCTAGTGAGGATCCCCTGAAATTGTGAACTGAAGGCTAACTTGTCATAGCAAAATGCTCCCAAAGGCAAGGAATAAAACTATTTTTGTCTTCTGTCCACAACAGTGGCCGAATGTAAGCCTGATCCATAGTACAGCACCCGGCAAATCGACACTCATCCTAACCCCAGTCATCACTGCGCATGAGTACTCACCTAACTGCTTCCTGAAGGGACCATGTCTCTGATGTCAGGAGGAAGCTCGGCTGGGAGTGGGCAGGGGTCCTGTCCAACAACTAACTGTGAGCCGGCAGGAGTGGGAGCCTGGCCCAGCCCTCCAGTGCCCACAGAGCCCCTTGGACCTAGAACTTTAATGAGCTCTCCTCAGACCTGAAACTCCATCTCTCCAGGGTCAGGGCCAGTCCTGTGTGAACCACAGTGTGGGAATCTTGGAGGTCTTCTGTAGGGGGTGATATTTGAACTCTGCCGTGAGATGTGGCAGTGACCAGGATGTGGGAAGAGGGGTCTTCCAGGCCGAGGAATGCATGTGACCTGTCACAGAAGTGGTCTTCCTTGGATCTCTGGTGCATGACACTTCACCAGGGAGAGGTAGAACCATGGGAGACCCCAGGGCCTCAAGCCCTGTGCTGAGGAGAGTGGACTCTGTTCTGCAGGAAACAGGGACCCGTGTCCGGTGTTCGAGGAACAGAGGAAAGCAATGTGACCAACAGGCGGAGAAATGATTATGTATGCAACTTCAGCTCGAAGATGGAGAAACTGCACGCGAAGTGCTGACAATAATTATGTTAATGATATCATGGGCTACATAATAGTTCCCAAATGTTCTGGGAAGAAATTACACATCCAGACAGGTTCAAGCCCTTAAAAGTTAATTATACCAAATCTGAGATCCTCAATGTAGGGCCTTCCCGTGTTTAGAGAGGGTAATGGCAAACACAGAAAGATTTTTAATCTAACATAGACCCATCCTTCAAATTACTATATCTAAGAGACGCTGTAGATCCCCTGCAGTAAACATTCTTGAGGTTAATTGCCCTCCAGTGAAGAGTCAATTAGAAAAGGAAGCTCTCATCTTCCTTGTTCAACTAAGCAGATTAAAACAAACATCTCAGACCCCAGCCCAAACCAGGTTTGCAAAATAACACAGTCGTCTATTTCAATGTTTGTTAAAAAGAATCACTGGAAATGCCATGTGGAGCTGGACTGCAGAATGGTCTGGGGCTTTCTGAGGCCCACACAGTGGGTCTGCACCTTCCGCCCGCAGCCTGGCACTGCCTGGTGTGTGTGACCCTGGAGCCCCTCTGCCAACTTCACTCCCCACCTCTTTGGCCAGTGGTCTGGGGGTTCTTATTCTCCGCACGTTCTTGCTCCTTTCTTCCACATCCTCTTGGCCAACTTCTTCATCTCCTTGGGTTTTGGAGATTCTGTGCGTCCCCCCAGGTGGGCCGGCATCCTTGACCGGCCATCATGACAGCTGGCTGCTGTTGGCTGCAGCCTTCGATACACATTCACGTGCAGAGAAAGCGCTTTCCCCTGTTACGGGATCTTTGTGGACTTTGTTCCAAGGGAAATGGAAGCCATGGCATTTGAGGGCAGAGCCAGGCCATTGGGCAATCGTGGACGGAGATAAGGGGGACAGCATGGGTGTGAGAAGGGGGAGTTGTCAGGGTGGTTGGAAAAGGTCTCCTCCACTGTGGGGATTGTGCAGGTGCATGGGAGGGTGTGTGTAGGGTGTATGTTGGGTGTGGGGGACGTGGGCTCTGTAGGTTTGTGTGGTCAGTGTGAGGGGATGTGCAGTGTGGGGTGAGAGAGTTTTCTGTAGGGTGTGTAAAGTGTAGCTGGGGTAAGATGTCTGCTCACTGTGAGAATGTGTGGTGTGTGGTGTGTGTGTGTGGTGTGTATGTGTGGGGGTGTGGGAGTGTGTGTGTCGTGTGTACATGTGAGGTGTGTGTAATTGTGTGCGATGTGTATGTGTGTGGTGTGTTAGGTCTGTGTGATTGTGTGTCATGTTTGTGCATGCATGTGGTGTGTGTGGTGTGATTGTGGTATGTGTATGTGTGCGGTGTGTGAGGTGTTTGTGGTATATGTGTATGTGTGGGGTGTGTGAGGTGTTTGTAGTATATGTGATTGTGGTGTGTGTATGTGTAGTGTGTGTTATTGTGTGTGGTGTGTGAGGTGTGTGTGGTGTGATTGTGTGATGTGTATGTGTGTGGTGTGTGTGATTGTGTGTGATGTGTATGTGTGAGGTGTGTGTGATTGTGTGTATCATGTCTGTGCATGTGTGTGTGTGGTGTGTGGGGTGTGTGTGATTATGGTGTATATGTGTGGGGTATGTGGGTCTTGTATGGTGTGTGACTGCCATGTGTTTGTATGAGTGTGGTGTGTGTGATTGTGTGTGATGTGTGTGATTCTGTGTATGTGGTGTGTGGGGTGTGTGGAGTGTGTGTGATTGTGTGTGTGGTGTGTATGTGTGGGCTGTGTGGGGTGTTTGTGGACTTTGTTCCAAGGGAAATGGAAGCCATGGCATTTGAGGGCAGAGCCAGGCCATTGGGCAATCGTGGACGGAGATAAGGGGGACAGCATGGGTGTGAGAAGGGGGAGTTGTCAGGGTGGTTGGAAAAGGTCTCCTCCACTGTGGGGATTGTGCAGGTGCATGGGAGGGTGTGTGTAGGGTGTATGTTGGGTGTGGGGGACGTGGGCTCTGTAGGTTTGTGTGGTCAGTGTGAGGGGATGTGCAGTGTGGGGTGAGAGAGTTTTCTGTAGGGTGTGTAAAGTGTAGCTGGGGTAAGATGTCTGCTCACTGTGAGAATGTGTGGTGTGTGGTGTGTGTGTGTGGTGTGTGATTGTGTGTGCATGTGTGTGATTGTGTGTGGTGTGTATGTGTGGCATGTATGGGGTTTGTGTGGTGTGTGCGATTGTGTGTCGTGTGTTTTTATGAGTGTGGTGTGTGATTGTGTGTGGTATGATTGTGTGGTGTGTGTGGTTGTGTGTGTGGTGTGTGGGGTGTGTTGAGTGTGTATGATTCTGTGTGTGACTGTGTGCATGTGTGTGGTTGTGTATAGTGTGTATCTGTGGGGTGTGTGGGGTTTGTGTGGTGTGTGCGATTGGGTGTCGTGTGTTTGTATGAGTGTGGTGTGTGATTGTGTGTGGTGTGATTGTGTGGTGTGTGTGGTTGTGTAAGTGGTGTGTGGGGTGTTTTGAGTGTGTATGATTGTGTGTGTGACTGTGTGTGCATGTGTGTGGTTGTATATGGTGTGTATGTGTGGGGTGTGTGGGGTTTGTGTGGTGTGTGCGATTGTGTGTCGTGTGTTTGTATGAATGTGGTGTGTGATTGTGTGTGGTGTGATTGTGTGGTGTGTGTGGTTGTGTATGTGGTGTGTGGGGTGTGTTGAGTGTGTATGATTGTGTGTGTGACTGTGTGTGCATGTGTGTGGTTGTATATTGTGTGTATGTGTGGGGTTTGTGTGGTGTGTGCGATTGTGTGTCGTGTGTATGTGTTGTGTGTGATCGTGTGTGGTGTGGTTGTGTGTGTGGGGTGGTGCAGTGTGTGTGACTGTGTGTGCATGTGTACATACTTGTGCACAGCCACACATCCTGTGCTCACGCCCCAACGTGCCCTGCACTTGGACTGAGGGTGGCGTGGAGAGCAGGAGCTGTGGCTGCTGTCCCCAGGGAGCTGTCCAACGTTTTCAAGCACTGTAGCTTTGCCCTGTATTGGAGCATCTGAGAGTCAAGAAAAATGTAACAGCTCTATTGAAGTGTAGTTGACAAGTGCACACATTTAAAGTGCACAGTTTGGGACGTTTGACGTCTGCGTAGATACACACAGGTGAAGCCGTCCATCCAGTTATGACCACAGTTTGGGACGTTTGACGTCTGCGTAGATACACACAGGTGCAGCCGTCCATCCAGTTATGACCACAGTTTGGGACGTTTGACGTCTGCGTAGATACACACAGGTGAAGCCGTCCATCCAGTTATGACCACAGTTTGGGACGTTTGACGTCTGCGTAGATACACACAGGTGAAGCCGTCCATCCAGTTATGACCACAGTTTGGGACGTTTGACGTCTGCGTAGATACACACAGGTGAAGCCGTCCATCCAGTTATGACCACAGTTTGGGACGTTTGACGTCTGCGTAGATACGCACAGGTGAAGCCGTCCATCCAGTTATGACCACAGTTTGGGACGTTTGACGTCTGCGTAGATACACACAGGTGAAGCCGTCCATCCAGTTATGACCACAGTTTGGGACGTTTGACGTCTGCGTAGATACACACAGGTGAAGCCGTCCATCCAGTTATGACCACAGTTTGGGACGTTTGACGTCTGCGTAGATACACACAGGTGAAGCCGTCCATCCAGTTATGACCACAAGCACTCTTCCTGTCCTGCCGCCCCACTCTCCCTGGTGCCCCTTGGGGACCCACCTGTCCTGCCTCTGGCTGCCCTCCTCCTCCAGTGCCCCATCCACAGGCAATGGCTGATCTGCCTCTCACATCACAGATCAGTTTTCATTTTCTAGAAATGTCTGTAACAAGAAACGCAGTATGAACACTTTTTCCTTTTTTTAATTTTTAAAGTCATCATATAGTCATATAGATTTTTTCATTTTAGCTTGCAGTTCCATGCATGTAAACACATGATCAGTTACAATCACCACAACAGGTCCAGGGCTCCACCTGCCCCCAAATCCTTTGTGTTATTTCTTTTCTTTTTTTCTTTTTCTTTCTTCTTCTTCTTTTTTTTTTTGGGTGAAATCTCGCTCTGTCGCCCAGGCTGGAGTGCAGTGGTGCGATCTCGGCTCACCGCAAGCTCCACCTCCCAGGTTCAAGCGATTCTGCTGCCTCAGCCTCCCGAGTAGCTGGGATAACAGGCACCCGCCACGATGCCCAGCTAATTTTTTGTATTTTTAGTAGAGACGGGGTTTCACCATCTTGGCCAGGCTGGTTTTGAACTCATGACCTCAAATGATCCACCCACCTCGGCCTGCCAAAGTGCTGGGATTACAGGAGTGAGCCACCGCGCCCAGCCTCAGCTATTTCTTTATGGTCACACACTACCTCCCCCCCCCGCCCCCCGCCGATCTGTTCTCCTCCACCATAGTTTTAATTATTGAAAATGAGAATGGCACATACATGGAATCACACAATCGGCAGCCTTTGTGACCAGTTTCTTTCACCAACACCTGCCTTGGAGAGTTGTTCACAAGCTCGTATGCATTGATAGTGTGGTCCTCGTGTGGCCGATAGAGTTGCACTGTGGATATATCAAGCGTGTGGGTCTTTCGCCTGCTGAGGGGCGTCTGGGCTATGCCAGCGTTTGAAGTTGGGAATACGCTCAGACTTTGTGACTTTACCTTGCAGGGCGCTGGGCATCTCAGTCTTCCTATAAATATTCTTGAGCTCTGTTCTGGAAGGGCTTAAACTGCAAAGAAAGTTTAGTCCTTTTGTTTCTTTGCTAGTTGGGACCTGAGCAGAATCGAATCTAGGGCTACTCTTGCCCCTTCCTGGGGCAAAAAAGCCCTTCTGAGTGCTTACCCAGTGCCCACGAGGGTGGCATCCACTCAGCCGGCGGGAGTAGGAGCTGCGCCTCCCCTGTGTGCCTGGACGTTGCCTTTTCCAGTTCTCAGGGATTTCCTCACACACATGCTCTGATGGGCTCTCAGCTCCAAACCTAAGGGGAGCCTCTGCACGTTCTCCAGAATGTTCTCTCTGTACACTGTGCTCCTCTGAGGGCTCTGCTCGCTCACGCCGGCCCCTTTGGCCTCTCCAGAATCCATCTCCAGCTCCCGGGCTGTGCGGCTGGACATTTTCCAGAGCTGATCTGGGGGCAGCCCCGGGGACACCTTGTTTGCTTCCCAGCCCGCAGCGATCACTGTCCTTCCTCATCTACTGTCCACTGTCTTCAAAACCATCGTTTCACATATTTTGTCCAGGCTTACAGTTATTTCAGGAGAGAGGAGAAACCCCATCCCGGTTACTCCATAGTCAGAAGGATAAACCTAGTTTCTTCGACTCCACCTTGGGAAGATGAAAGCCAGAGTCTATACTCTACGGTAGAAATGATGAGTGGGTTCCTTTTACTCTGTGAGATGAGAAGTATAAACTCCATTCCTACTCTCCACTGTGGTGGGAACAGCAGTTCCTGCCCCGTGACAACTAGCTCTTCATTCTCCTGCCTTTTATGACTTTTCATGGCTGTAATTTTATGTTTATTTTCCATATAAACTCTAGAATTAGCTTGTCAAGTTCCTGCTGTTATTTTATTAGGATCACCTCAAGGTTTCTAAAAATTATTAATACAGCAAGTCTTCTGAAAATAGAGTTATTCTCCAAGAATAAGATATATCTTGCCACGTACTCAAGTCTCCTTTTCTGTACTCGAGTAAGATATTAAAGTTGTCTTAATGTAATTTTGCAAGTTTCTTGTTAAATTTATTCCTAGAGATTTTTTTTTTGTCTTTTCTTCCTTCATCTATTTCTTGGAGGTTATCATCTGTCTTAGTCCCTTCGGGTTGCTATAACCAAATACCATAGGCTTGGGTAGCTTGTAAACAAAGGAAACTTATTTCTCACAGTTCTGCAGGCTGCGGGTCTAAGATCAAGGTGTTGGCAGATTTGGTGTCAGATGAGGGCTGCTTCCTGGTTTGTAGATGACGCCTTCTCCCGGTGTCCTCACGTGGCAGGAGAGGCAAGAGGTCATGCAGTTCCATTTGTGAGGGCTTTGCTCTGATGACCTAATCACCCCAGAAGCCCTAGCTCCTACTACCATCACTTGGGAATTAGGATTCATAACATATGCATTTTGTGGGGACACAAACTTTTAGACCGTAGCATTATTGCATAAGAGTATGGCATATTAATTTTGTGACCAGCCTTTATGTTTATTAAATTTCTATTTCAATTACATTTTCAGCTGTATTTGCACATCATGAGCAAATAACGAGACGCCGCTCACTTTCTCCCATGCAACTCTGTTTTCTTATTACATCAATTAGCACTTCCTGAAAAATGTTAAATGGCAGTGCTGCTTTGGGTTGCCTTGCATGTTCTGAGCTTTAAGGAAGTTATTTAGTTTGTTTTCCCACTAAGAGTGATTTTGGTTTTAATTTGAGATAAACATTTTGATATTCCTGAGGAATTATCCAAAATTCTATTGTTACTACTACTCCTCCTATTACTAATATTAAGTGCTTGAAGCCAGGATGGATATTGCATTTTACAAATTGGCTTTCAAAGTCTGAGGAGTAAAGACTTCCTGGTCCACCTAGATTGAGCAGCCCCATTTTTCCCAGATACTCCTTCTTGCAACTCAACATCTCTGGACATACACAAGCACCAAGCAAGGGCAGACTCTGGAGAGTGGGAGGAAGAAGGTGGATGAGCAGTGCCTCAAGACTGACATGGAGGGAATCCCCTGGGTTCCTATTACTTCCAGCCTTGACCTGAAAACAAGCACAGACCAAAAGGGCACTCCAAGAAAAAAGCACAAGTTCCCCCTGAAAAGGACCCCGAATAGGGGAGCCTAATAAATAGTAGAAAAACTTTTTGGTGATACCCACCCCACTCTAGCCAAACACTAACAGAAAACCTGCACGTCCTCCATCCCCTAGTTTTCAAGAGGCTGAGTGGGACATTGATCTTCCATGACACTCCCCACACGCCCTGCCTCTGAGCAGGCTGCCAGCTGCCTGCTCAGATTCCCCTGTGCTGGGTGTGTGAGGTGGTGTGAGGGGGTCCAGCAGGGACCTGGCCTTCCACTTCTCTTTGGGTGAGAGCAGGAGACTTTCCAGTTTCTCTGCTGGGGTACACTGGTGGGGCCCAGCTGGGAGCTGACTTTTCATTCCTTGCCCAGCAGAAGCAGATAGTACTTCAAGTCTCATCCTACCTTGGGGTACTAATAGTGGGGTCTCACTGCTGCTGAGTCTCTAACCCCACCTGGAGTCAAGACTGAATGCCAAGCACAGGCTGGGGCTAGAGAGCTGCCACCTTTCCCAACTCTGGGTGTCATGAGGTCTAGTGAGGACCTGCACCTCCACAACCACCCAATAGCAGTGACCCTGAGAGAAGCTGTGGGGGTGGTTAGCTGTCACTGCTGTACCTCATCCTCCATCCTGGTGTCAGTGGGCCCCCATGGGGAGCTGAGCTTCTGCCCCCATCCTATAGCAACAAAGCAGGATGAGTCAGCCATACCCTCCCTGCTTCCTGGTGGCAGCTGGGCCCAGCGGGGAGCTGATCTTAACCCAAACTCAGAGGCATTAAGGCAGTGAGAGTCAGAAAAGCATCCATGGGGCTGGCAGGGGCTGAACAGCTGGCCCTTACGTCTGCAGTGTGGCACTGTGAGCTGGAACTCCACCTGTGCTGGGGGGCCCAGTAGGAAGCTAAACACACACACCCACCTGACCCTCACACTACAAAAAGATTAAATAGGATCCAGAGTCTCATCATATGATATTCAAGATGTCTGGAAGATAATAAAAAATGACTTGTCTTATCTAGAACCAAGAAAATCACAAGTTCAATGAGAAAACAAAATCAACAGACATTAACAGTGAGATGAAGCTGATGTTGGAAATACTTGAAAAGGATTTTAAAGCAGACATCATAAAAATGCTTCAACAAATAGTTACAAATACTCTTGAAACATTTTTTAAGAAAATCTCAGCAAATAAGTAGCCATTACAAGAAAGAACCAAAGAAAATCAGAGAACTAACAAATACGACAAGTAAAATAAAAACCTTGCTGGATGGACTTGATCATAGAATGAAAATGACTGAGAATAGAGGTAGTGAACTTGAGAATAATCAACTGAATTACCCCAATCTGAGGAATAGAGGGAAGACAGAATAACAACAGCCAAGAACAAAGCCTGAGACAGTCACGTGACAGTAACAAGGGGGTTGACATTTGTGTCACTGGAGTCCCAGAGAAAGAGGAGACAGAGAATGGGACTGAAGAAGTACTCCAGAATACGATGGCTGAAAAATCCCCAAATCTGATGCAAAACATAAACTTACAGATTCAGTAAGCTGAATAGATGCTAAATAGATTAAACACAAATAAATATATGCCAAGAAGGGGTGGGAAAAGACATATCATACAGACATTAATTTAAAAAAATCAGGAGTAGGCTGGGCATGGTGGCTCACGCAGGTAATCACAGCACTTTGTGAGGCCAAGGCAGGTGGATCTTTTGAGGTCAGGAGCTTGAGACCAGCCTGGCCAACATGGTGGAACCCCGTTTCTACTAAAAATACAAAAATTAGCCAGATGTGATGGCATGCACCTGTAATCCCAGCTACTTGGGAGGCTGAGGCAGGAGAACCACTTGAACCCAGGAAGTGGAGGTTGCAGTGAGCTGAGACCACACCTTTGCACTCCAGCCAGGGAAACGAGATTGAAACTCTGTCTCAAAAAAAAAAAAAAATCAGGAGTAGCTGTATTAATGTCAGGTAAAGGGGGCTTGAGATCAAAGAAAATTGCTAGAGACAAAGAGAGACAGTCCATATTAACATAATGATTGATCCACTAGGAAGACATAAAAATCCTAAATCTGCATGCACCAAACACAGAGCCTCAGAATACATGAAGCAAAGCCAATGAGAACCTAAGGGAAAAATAAACCCTCAGGTTATAGTTGGAGCCTTCAATCTTTCACTTTCAGCAATTGAAAGAACTCTTAGACAAAAAACCAGAACACAGCCAACCGATGGTATCTAAGTGAGCACTCCACTCAGCAGCAGCAGAATAGACAGTTTTTCAAGCAACCGTGGGGCATTAACCAAGATAGATTATAGCCTGGGCCTTCAAGCAAACTGCAACGAGTTTAAAACAACTGAAATCATACACAATATGGTCTCTGACCATAATGGAATCAAACTAGATATCAGTACAGAAAGACAACAGGAAAATCTCCAAACACTTAGAATTTAAACAAAATGCTTCAAAATAATTCATGGGTCAAAGATGCAGTCTCTAAGGAAATTTTTTAAAATGCATAGAACTGAAGGAAAATAAAAACACAACATATAAAACCATGTGGGATGCAGCTGAGAGTACATTTTGTAAATTTATAAATGCTTACATTAGAATAGAAGAAAAATCTCAAATCAATAATATAAGTTCTATCTTAAGAAATGATAAAAAAAGGAACAAAACAAACCCCAAACGACCAGAAGAAACTAAATAATAAGTGCAGAAATCAGTGAAGTTGCACATAGGAAAGCAATTGAAAAAAAATCGATAAAGCAAATATCTGGTTCTTTGAAAAAAATCAATAACATTGGTAAATCTCTAGCAAGACTGACTTACATAAAAAGAGAAAAGACATGAGTCACCAATTTCAGGCAGACCAAAATTTAACGATGTAAAATAAATGGACCAATTTTTCACAACCCTCAAACTATCAAACTCCACAAGATGAACTAGACAGCCTGATTAGTCCTAAAACAATTAAGAAATTGAATCTGTAATTAAAAATCTCCAAGCAACTACTGACAAAGGCACAAAAGTGATTGAAGAGAAGTGCAGTCTTTTGTCTTTTCAACCATGGTGCTGAAGCCATTGGACATCTGCAGGCAGAAAAAATGAACCTCAAACTTAACTGTACACAAAAACCAACTCCAATCTCATTGCAGACCTAAACGTAAAATATAAAACTACAAAAGTTTTAGGGGAAAAAAGAAATAGGTGAAAATCTTTGGGACCTAGGATAGGCAAACAATTCTTAGGTTTAAGGCCAAAAGTAAAAAAGAACAATTTGATAAATGGGGTTTCATTAAAGTTAAAACTCTTTGTTCTGGGAACAGGACGAAAAAATAAGCTACTGAGTGAAATGACATATACATAAACTACCTATCTGACAAAAGACTTGTATCTAGACTATATAAAAAGCTCCTAAAACTCAACAGCATAAAAAATTAAGAACCCAATTACAAAACGGGGAAAGAAAAGGCACTATAGACAGCAAATAACAATTAAGAACCCAATTACAAAATGGGCAAAGAAAAGGCACTAAAGACAGCAAATAACCACATGAAGAGATGTTCAATATCATTAGCCATTGGGGAAGTGCAAATTAAAACATGATAAAAATTATGACACAACTATCAGTATGGCTAAAACAACAACAACAAATAGTGACAACACCAAATGCTGGCAAGGATGTGGAGAAACTGGGTCACTTGTACATTGCTGGTGTGAATGCAGAATGATCCAGCCACTCTGGAGACCAGTTTGGCGTTTTCTTGTAAGACGAATCATGCTGCCATTGTACAGGCCAGCAATTGTACACTTTGATACTCACCTCAGAGAAATGAAAACTTATGCTAGCACGAAAACTGTACATAAATATTCATCACAGTTTTATTCATCATAGCCAAAAATTGGAAACAACCCAGATCTCCTCAAAGGAGTGAATGGTTAAATAAACCGTGGTACATCTACACCATGGAATAATACTCAACATGAAAATAACTGAACTATTGAGTCACACATCAGCTCAGGTGAATCTGCAGAGAATTAGACTCAGTGGAAAAACCCTATTCCCAAAGTTATGTCGTGTATGATTACATTTATGTAATATTCTTAAAATGACAAATGTATAGGAGTAATGCGGGTTGGTGGTTTCCAGGGGTCAGGGATGGGGATGGGTGGGCGGAAAATGGGAAGCAAGTGTGGTTTAAAAAGATAGCATGGGCCGGGCGCGGTGGCTCACGCCTGTATTCCCAGCACTTTGGGAGGCCCAGGCAGGCGGATCACGAAGTTAGGAGATCGAGACCATCCTGGCTAACGCGGTGAAACCCCGCCTCTACTAAAAAAAAAAACACAAAAATTAGCCAGTCGTGGTGGCGGGCGCCTGCAGTCCCAGCTACTCGGGAGGCTGAGGCAGGAGAATGGCGTAAACCTGGGAGGCGGAGCTTGCAGTGAGCCGAGATCGCGCCACTGGACTCCAGCCTGGGCGACAGAGCGAGACTCCGTCTCAAAAAAAAAAAAAAAAGGGGGTAGCATGAGGGATTCTTGTGATGGGCATGTTCTATTTTTTTTTTTTTCTTTTTGAGACAGGGTCTCACTCTGTGGCCCTGGCTGGAGTGCAGTGGCGCGATCTCGGCTCACTACAAACTCCACCTCCCGAGCTCAAGCTATCCTGCCTCAGCCACCCAAATAGCTGGGAGTACAGGTGTGCACCACCACGTCTAGCTAATTTTTGTAATTTTTTGTTGTTGTTGTAGAGATAGGGTCTCACAGTGTTACTCAGGCAGGTCTCAAACTCCTTGGCACAAGTGATCTGCCTGCCTGGGCCTTCCAAAGTGCTGGGATTACAGGTGTGAGCCACAGTCCCTGGCAACGGGCATGTTCTTTATTTTGTCTGCATCAACATCAGTCTCTTGGTTGTGGTATCATATTGGAGTTTTGTAGGATGTTACCATGGGGGAAACTGAGTAAGGGGCACATGGGCTTTCTCTGTATTAGTTCTTACAACTGCATGTGAATCTACAATTATCTCTAGATTAAAAAGTTTAATTTAAAAAATCAGAAGAGCTAACCAAATGGCTTTTATCCAATGACCTATTTAATTAGCAAATTATGAAATTGAGTTCCTTGTGTTGACCAATCTTTCTTCTTCAAAGGAACCCAGTTTGTAGGGTGCTATGCTTTCAAAACGCCCTGTTCCATTCGACGTGTTTGTAATTTTCACAGTGATATTTCTGAATGTGATTGGTCTAAAGTTTCTCTTTGTGTCTGCCTATTAGCTTTATGTGCTACTGTTATGGTGACTTTATAAAAAGTGTTCTGGTGTGTTACTTTTCTATCTATTCTCTGGAACAGTTCAGAGAGCATTAGGCTGGTTTGTTCCGTGAAGCCTAGATATATTTATCCTTGTGTTTCTTGAAGTTTTTGCTTTAAGCATTTTAATGTAATATTACTTCTCACAGAAAAATATTAGATCATTATTGTAGATTGTTATTTTTATTTTTGTGTGTTTTCTTGTTATTTTGCCTTTCCCACTATTCTTTTTCTCTGTTCTGAGTCACTTTGTTCAGATGCAGCTCATGTACTGTATGTGGCCTGTTGATAAGTTTTGGATTTTAACCCTGGGAACTTTATTTCCTATTAATATATTAATTTTCCCATTTGTTTATTGATATAATTTTTTTATATTTTTGTCATCTTGTTTTATTAAAGATCATTTGTCTACTATAAGCTATGTGTGTTTGTGTGTAATTTTTAATAGCTTGCATGCTTATAGTGTAGTCTCTATTTCTTAATGAAAAGTGTTAGATTTTATATAATCTCTCCTAACTCCAAGAAACTTATTCTCTTATCCTTTCTCTTAACTTACTTCCTTCCCTTTAACCTTCCAATTTAGTTTATGCTATATTTTTAATTTCCTGTGGTTATCTTTATATAATTGTATGAAATACTAAAATTCCTAGTACAGGCTGTATTTCCCTTATCCAAAATGCTTGAGACCAGAAGTGATTCAGATTTCATATTTTTTTCAGATTTTAGAATATTTGCATGTACATGATGAGATATCTTGGGAATGGAACCCAAATCTAAACATAAAATTTATTTATGATTCTTATATACCTTATACAAATAGCCTGAAGGCAATTTTATACATTGTTTTATACAATTTTGTGCATGAAACAAAGCTTGTGTACATTGACCCATTAGAAAGCAAAGGTGCCACTATCTCAGCCACTGGTGTGGACAGTCTGGGGTTGTCTGGCATCACCATCATTCCTGACTCTGGATTTATGTGCTACTGATCAGCCACCATTTTCTTACACTTACTGACATATAAGTACTTAACAGTAAAAAATGACACGCCATTAACACAGTGAGAAAATATCATGTTCAGGGTATCTCAGCAGCACAGCAGCGTCACTGGCACCCCTGCACTAGCTTCTAAACCTCAGCAGCAACAAACAATGGCCGCTTCCAGCCACCACCTACAATGCTGCATTTTGATTACAAGGCTGCTGTATGCAGTATTTTTTTTAGGTGAGAAGAAACATCAGAAACAGTTGGAAAGGACCGGGAGGTGGATCCTCTAGGGATGTGGAGGGTTTCTGCTGGATGGCTTTCTTAAATGTTTCCTCTAGAGTCATCTGTGTCAGTAACGTTTGTGTGTGTGTCTTAGAAGTCTCTCTAGGATTTTATAAACTGCCATGATTTCTTGCTCTGTTATGAATTCATGTTGCTCTAGTCGTTCAAAAAGCCCAACACACACTCTCGCCATGGCACCTGTAGGCACCCTTTCTGCAGTGTTAACAACGTCATCCTCAGCATCACTATTATCATCATCACCTTGACTCAGAACTTTTGTCTGTTTCATCGTTGGTCGATGAATGCACAACTGAAGCCTCATTATGAATGTTAAAGACTTATTGGAATCCACTTCTTCTCGCTTGCCGATGGACTGTGTAGGTATATTTCTTGCATCTGTAAGAAGGTCAGACATCATCTTTTTCTCACTTGACATATGGAATCCTTCAAAGTCACCACCTTGTTCATCATCATCACTGAACGTAGTTACACACCAGAGGCTGTGCCAGGCATGCATGACTGTGTCTTTGGTCACTGTGTTCCAGGTTGGCAACAGCATATAACAACAGCCTTCATGCTAAATTCCTTTCGAAAACCTTCCCCACACACACATCTGTTTACTGCTGCTAGCATGCTCCTTAAGAAAGTGATTTTCTATTTATTCTTCATTAATCTAAGGATACCTTGGTCATGTGGCTGAATTAGTGAAGTCATGCTTGTGGGAAAGTACTTGGCATAAACATTATTTTTTATGAGAATTTCAGCTGAAGGATGAGCAAAACAATTGTTAAGGAATAACAAAATCTTGCAATTATCCAGTCCAGCTTCCCTGCAGTGAGCATGAGCCACTGGTACAAAATGTTTATGAAACCAATCAGAAAAGATGTTCCTGGTGATCCATGCATTTCTGTTAGCAAAATATGAACTGGTAAGAAATTCACTCCTTAAAAATAATAAGGATGCAGGCTCTTGCCTATCACAGCAAGCTTACACGTACACATGGCTGCTGCATTTGCAAATCCCAGCAAAGTCTTTCTGTCCCTCCTGTAGGAGCTGTGTCATCAGCGGTAGTCCGTGTATTTCTCTGGAAATAACACCAGAACAGTAATGTTTTATCAACATTATAGACTTTTTCTGAGCATCAGATTTTCACTAGTGATGGCCTTGGCAAATTCATCAGGTCATCAGTGAATTTTTTTTTTTTTTTGCTTCATGACCAGCAGATGATTTATCACCATAAACCTTTAAAAATTTAGCACTGTGGCCGGACGTGGTGGTTCACACCTGTAATCCCAGCACTTTGGGAGGCCGAGGCAGGTGGATCACAAGGTCAGGAGTTCCAGACCAGACTGGCCAACATGGTGAAACCCCGTCTCTACTAAAAATACAAAAATTAGCCAGGCATGGTGGCAGGTGCCTGTAATCCCAGCTACTTGGGAGGCTGAGGCAGAAGAATTGCTTGAACCCAGGAGGCAAAGGTTGCAGTGAGCCGAGATCACGCCACTGCACTCCAGCCTGGCAAGAGTGAGACCCTGCCTCAAAAAATAAAAATGAAAATAAAATAGCGCTGTGTCTTTTCTTAAATTTCTGCAATGTAACTGTTGGACAGTTCCCTTTAATTTCAGTTCATTGTGACAGGTCTCTGCTTGTTTCATAATCAGCATGGCATTAAGTGGCATGTGTGTTCATTGTGATGTTGACAGATCCTCTCTTTCAATACACAAACCCGATCTTTATTTTTAGCTTTACGTAGTGTTTTCCCATTTGTCACTAGCTTTTGCTCATCACTTTTGTCATAAAACTTCAACAGTCTGTCCTTCTGTTTCTTCAGGTCACGTATGGTGGTCATTCCAACACCACGCTCTTTTCTAAGACATTTCACACTTAAGCTGTGGTCCTATTTCCCCAACAGCTGGACTTTCTGTGCCATAAATCAATGCTTTGTCTTTTTCTTATTACGTTTGCCCAAAGGGGTATCTGTAGCCCTTTTTAATATTTCCAGCAATATCTTTACACCACAGAGCAGAGAATAAGAAAAAACAAAACAAAACAGTGAGTCATGCAGGTAGGTTTTGGCTTACGTGGGACATTTGGGAACCCGCTGTTGGCATGTCCAGCCTGCACACATGCCATTTTCTTACCCTTTGAGGACGTGCTTGTGTGGGGTAATCTGGGTGTGTGCAGAGAAGATATATCACCACTGAAAGTGGATGGAGGGTCTTTTTCCCCTGGGGAATGCTGAATAAACGGTTGTGCACCTGTGTTTTGACTGTGACCCATCACATGAAGTCAGGTGTGAAATTTTACACTTGTGGCCTCATGTCAGTGCTCAGAAAGTTTCAGATTTTGAAGCGTCTCGGATTCTAGGTTTTCAAATTAAAGATGCTCAAACTATACTTGATATATCAGTTTAAGTATCTAGGAGATAGTTTTAAGTATCTGTTTCCCACCTTACCTCCTTTTTTTTTTTTTTTGGTTGTTGTTGTTATATCATTATTTCTTCATTGAGAAATTTATAAAATTAATTTTACTCTGTAAATAATATTTATGTAGAAGTTTAGCCATAGTTCTGGATTTAAATTTAGTGTATCATCATTACTTAATGTCTTTTTTGTCTCTTGCTTGTCTGGAGTTTGTCAGGTTGTTTTCTCAAATTGAGCTCACAGGTGCCATTCCTGAAGTCTTTGGATGTTAGAGAATGTCTGTCTGTTTTCTCTACATTTGAGCAACACTTTGGGGAGATGCTCTGTAGACATGAAGAAAATACAAATTTAGGCTTCTCCATCCTCTGGTGCCAACTGAATCTTCACTTTTTTTCTTTCCTGGAGTTCATAGAATAATTTATTCTTGAAACCCTGTGATTTTACAAAAATGTGTTTATTCTGTAAAATTTTTTCTTGAGATATAGTGTTCCCCTTCACCACGCGGATTCAAGCCTTCTTTTATTCTAGTTTTCTTCTATTCTATCTTTGCATTTTTAATTTTTTTTTTTTGTTCTCTTTGTTTTGTTCTCTGCTTTGGGAATATCATGTATGAACATGTTATGTCCTTTTTTTGCCTGTCTTCCAGATCTATTGTTTTCTTTCTCATCATTTTAACGTTTTTCCTTGTGTTTTGCTCTATCTTTGCCTATTTCTGGTTTTAGCAGCATCTGTTCTTTGTTTTCTCTACTGAAGCTTTTATTTCTGCATATTCTTAACTTTCTCTTCCATTTCTTTGTCTGGGCTCCAGAACTTTTTTTTTTTTTTGTCTCTTGAAGATGAATTTTTTTTTTTGCATCTCTTCTTGCAGTATTTGTTTCAAAGGGGTTTTTAATTTCCTGTGGCATCAGGGAGAAGTTTTTGTTGGAGAGGTTTTCACTGTCCTGGCACAGTTCTGTGGAAGTGTGTTTTTCATTGCCTTCCTGGATGGTCACATTCAATGTCAGATCAAGGCAGGTGCATGGGGGCCCTGACATTTGGAGGAATGCAGTGCAACTCTGACGGGCCCTGCCAGCCCCACAGTGCCCTCTCCCTTAGGCCAACAGACCTGCCTGGCACCCTGCCCGCAAGGGTCTCAGAGGTGCTCTCGTTTCTGCCTTTGCCCCCCGACCCCCGCCCCGTCCCCTCTTGTGTCTGCCCCACTCTCATGGCCTTGACTTCACCATCTCCTTCTCTTTTGAACCTTTTGTATCTGGCTTCTTCTTTTCATTAAAAAATATTTTTACAGAAACTACTCTCTTTGAGCCAACCAATGACTTTCTGTCATCATTTCTGGCTATTTCTTCCAACTCTCGTGGCCTTCTCTATGTCCCCAGCCAGCCACTGTTAGGACTGTGGGCTTCCTTAAGCTCTTTCCTTAGGCCCTACTGGTGCAGTCCTGAACCTCCACTAAAGACCGCTGGCCATTCCCCCGGACTTCTGCCAAAGGCCGTTCTTCCCTCTAGCTTGGATGCTGTTACTGCCCAGGGTTAGTATTGGCTCTCTCTGCTCCCCTTCCCTCCCCTCCCTCCTCTCCTCCTCTCCTCTGCTCCCCTTCCCTCCCCTCCCTCCTCTCCTCTGCTCCCCTTCCGTCCCCTCCCTCCTCTCCTCTGCTCCCCTTCCGTCCCTTCCCTCCTCTCCTCTGCTCCATTCCCACCCCTCCCTCCACTCCTAGGCTCCCATGCCTTCCCTCCCTCCTCTCCTCTGCTCCCCTTCCCTCCCCTCCCTCCTCTCCTCTGCTCCCCTTCCGTCCCCTCCCTCCTCTCCTCTGCTCCCCTTCCCTCCCTTCCCTCCTCTCCTCTGCTCCATTCCCACCCCTCCCTCCACTCCTAGGCTCCCATGCCTTCCCTCCCTCCTCTCCTCTGCTCCCCTTCCCTCCCCTCCCTCCTCTCCTCTGCTCCCCTTCCGTCCCCTCCCTCCTCTCCTCTGCTCCCCTTCCGTCCCTTCCCTCCTCTCCTCTGCTCCATTCCCACCCCTCCCTCCACTCCTAGGCTCCCATGCCTTCCCTCCCTCCTCTCCTCTGCTCCCCTTCCCTCCCCTCCCTCCTCTCCTCTGCTCCCCTTCCCTCCCCTCCCTCCTCTCCTCTGCTCCCCTTCCGTCCCCTCCCTCCTCTCCTCTGCTCCCCTTCCCTCCCTTCCCTCCTCTCCTCTGCTCCATTCCCACCCCTCCCTCCACTCCTAGGCTCCCATGCCTTCCCTCCCTCCTCTCCTCTGCTCTCCTTCCTACCCTCCCTCCTCTCCGCCGCTCCCGTCTCTCCCCTCCCTGCTCTCCGCTGCTCCCATCCCTCCCCTCCCTCCTGTCTTCTGTGTCCCTCACACCTTCCCCTTCCTCTGCTCTCCTCTGTGCCCCTGGGAGCCCACATGTTCACTTGCCTGCACCTCAGGCCTGGACTCTGGTGAGCCACACCACTTGTCCCTCGTCCCTTCTTTCTAAACCAGAACTTCTTGTCATCCAGCCAGACTGTGACCCTATCTGGCCTCACCCTCCCTCCCTCCCTCCTTCCTTCCTTCCTTTTTTTTTTTTTTTTTTTTTTTTTGAGTTGCACTCTCGTCTCCCAGGCTGGAGTGCAGTGGCGCAATCTCGGCTCACTGCAACCTCTGCCTCCCAGGTTCAAGCTATTCTCCTGCCTCAGCCTCCTGAGTAGCTGGGATTACAGGCACCTGCCACCACGCCCAGCTAATTTTTGTATTTTTAGTAGAGACAGGGTTTCGCCATGTTGGTCAGGCTGGTCTGGAACTCCTGACATCAGATGATCAGCCCGCCTCGGCCTCCCATAGTGCTGGGATTACAGGTGTGAGCCACCGCGCCTGGCCTGGCCTCACGTTTTCTGTTTGATTTCTCTCAATAGAATCCTTGTGTGGGGCCTCGAAGCTGACTGACCACACCCCTGCCTCCGCCCTAAACTTGCGTCTGGGTCAATTGGTAGTGGGGCAGTTGTGTGGAGGGTTTTGTCACTGTATCTATTCCACCACGCCCTGCCTTTCCCTTCACACAGCCCCCACTCTGGTCCAGGCCCGGCTGGCGCGGTGACTCCTCCCCCACTGCCTGGTCCTCCCCCGCCCCTCCCACGCAGGCTCCAACACCGTCGGGGTAGGTTCTTTCTCCTAAAACATTGCTGAGCCCCACATCGTGTTAGGTTCTTTCTCATAAAACATTGCTGAGCTCCATCTCAGTAAATGTCCAGCAACCCCCCGCCCGCCCCCCAGACTAGGTGGAGCCACACTAGGCCACTTCTGTGACTCTGGGGTTGGCCCCAGCTGTTCCTCACTCAGTTCCCCACTCTGCTCCCCACTGCGGGGCTCACTGCCCCTCCTCCTGCTGTCCTGAATCCATGCTGAGCTCCAGCCCTCCCCACCTGAGACACCTCCCTCTGCCTCCCTCATCAGAGGCGGGCACCAGTCCAGAGCCGGCTTCGCCACCCAGCCTTGAGTCACCTCTCCACCTGGCCACCTACGGAGAAGCTCCTAGGTGATTCATTTGTCAAGTACCGACGAGACACCCTCTGGTGTGAGGCGGCATTGTTAGTAACCTTGTTATGATCTAAATATTCGCAGGTTTGGATCTCATCGCTACCATAGACTGTTGGAGTTTCAAGGGTGGAGATCCGCCATTGCTTTTTCCATATCCGCAGAAATTCCTTTCACATGAAATGTGAGTCTGTTGGGTTCCCCCCCGAGACCAGCGGTGGAAGAAGAAGCTGGAGGTGGCTGATGAGACACTTCATGCTGGACCAAGAAACGGGGACTCGGGGTTGAGTCCACATGTGCCATTTGTGGGGACGCCGTGCATTCCCCAGTTTGCCGCTCTCTGTTTCAAATTCTTTCACTCGATGCTGTTGTGGGCATGAAGTCAAAGCAGGCATGTGTGAGACAGTGCTTTGTAAAACATAAGGCACGGAACAAGTTTAGAACAGGAAGAGTTGAAGCTGGATTGACGCAATTACCAAAAATAAAATTAGCTGAGGGTGTCAGCGATGAGCCATGGAACTTTTAATAATCATCACATTTTAGGTCGGTGCCTTTATGCTTTGAATTCAAATGGCATCAATTTAGGAATAAAGAAGTCAACAGTTTTAATGGCCCAATATGGATGCAAGGGTCACTGATTACTTTAGGGTCCTTATGTTGCAAGGAGTCTAGGAAAAACTTCAATTTTTTTTTTTTACAGCAACGTGATTCTCTTTGTGGTGTCTACTAAAATAAGAAAGTTACAGTGAGATTTCTTCAGTGTTCTGATGGCTTTCTGCCTCTCCTCTGACCAGCGTGAGCCACTCCTTCATCTCTGCCTCTCACTTTCTGCTTGACAGTCAAGGCTCGCCTTGAACCTCCCTCTTCAGAAAGCCTTTCTGACCTGCCTCCTCAGGAGTGTTTGTTTGTGGTATTTGACCACAATCTGCACTATACTAATTAGCTATGATTTTTATGGGGCTGGAGGAACTTCTAAGGCAGCAGCCGCGTCGGGTTCTTCTGTCTCCTTCCCAGGGCTTCCTCAGGGCTTAGTACAGGGCATGTGCTAAGCATTCCCTAGCCCCTTCCTTTGCCCTTGTTTGTTCTTTCTAATCAGATTCTGTGGGGAAGTTCATTGTCACAATGTCCAATGTTTAGCATTCAAAGGCTGCATGAGGTAGATCAGGTAAACATACCTCTCTGGCTGTACCAAAATGGGGGGTTTGGCATATCCGCCACCTGAAAGCAGCTGGACCCTGCGTGGATCTGGGTTTGTATGCTGTGAGTAATGCTGTCTGCATCTTCGAATCTTTCACTGTAAGAAACAAAAGTCTGACAGCCTCTGAATCCCGCCCTCCTTCCTGATACACTGTGACAATGTGTTTATAGTACCCTGTTGATGCTGACCAGATGCTTGAAGAGGACAGGGTCAGATGCTTTGTTTGCCGAAGAAACCAGGTAGATACCCACACTGTGGCCCCAGGAGCTGGCAGCATCCTGGCAGCACCCTCGCAGCACCGCAGAGCCCCCACCTGCCTGCCCGTCACCGATGTCCTTTCTCTTCTTGAGTTAAGCCTTTCACTTACTGTCAGCTGGAGGATGCATGCCACAGCTAAATCCCTGGCTAAAAGGTACTAACTCCCAGATGCTCCAACCCCCACTGTGGGACTCACCGTGAAAATGTCCAGTTTCTTTATTATCAAAGAAAAATAATAGTCAGTGAAACCCAAACAAATCTTAGCGCTCCATGTGGCACAGTCTCTGCCTATTGGGACAAACTTGTGATCTGTTTCATACACCTTAAGATACAATGTATCTTTCGGGAGTATTTTTAAAGGGGCAGGGAGGCGGTGGGTGTGGTGCTTCCTGCAGAAAGACTCCTGAAAGGCGTCTTGACTTGTTTTTCTCGCTCCCCAAAGCCCATCCTCTTGTGCCAGCTCACTCCCTCTCCACTCTGCTCCTCCATTTCCTGTGCCTTTCCTGAGGGACTCAGCTTACACCCAACACACGCCAAGGGACTTTCATTGCTGCAGCATCTAGGACGTGTCATCTCATTGTCATCACTCAACACTTTTCTTATCAGCCTCAGGCTGTTACTTGGTCTCTGCAGATACAGCAGAACTTGAGAGAGAACCAAAAAACAAAATCCTTCCTTGGTCCTGGGTTATTCGCTGGTGGAGTCTGTGTCTCTGCTAAGATGACTTTGTCAAACACCTGCTATGTGCCAGAGCGTGGGCCCTGTGTCCAGCACACTTGCATGCCCTTTTGAGACTGACAGGCATCATTATCTTTTCTACAAAAAAGAAAGACGAGGCACTGGGTGCATAATTAACCTGCCCCAGACACGCAGCCAGTTAGTGGTGAAGCTGGAGCCCCCCCCGGAGCCTTCACATCACTGCCCTGCTCTCCAGCCAACCGTGGAACGAAACAAGAAGGCAGACAACGTCCACGGACGGCTCGCCCTGTGTTTATTATAGTGTTTGCAAATCTGAATAACTGAGCACATTCCTGACAACCCTGACTACTGAAATGAAGGCAAAGAGATGGGATGAAAAATGGGTACTTTGGATCAAAACAACCCCCGATTTATGTAAATGTAACTCTAACTTTTGGACAGGTGGCAGGTTTGAGACTGGGAAGCTGGATTCCCTCTGGACTGGGGGTGCCTCTGGCGACAACACTCCTGAGGAAGGCTCAAGCAGAGGAATTTTTTAAAATGAATGAATAAATGAGCTCTTCTCATAGGTTCTCATGAAAGGAGGGTCCCCAAAGAAGGGGAAGGGCTGAAGGGTTGGGTGATCTACACATCAGCAGCAGCAGTGTGTGGTTTCACCTGACAGACTGCTTGTTTGGGAGGGTGGAGGGGCTCTCCCAGGGGATCCCGAGGTTGCCCCTGAGTGAGCGAGGTCAGGACAATCTCTCCTCTCCTTCCTGGGTCTCAGGGAGCTTCCATGAACAGAGCTGGGGTCTGAGGCTGGCTCTTGGTTTGCAGCTGGGCTTGGCTGACACAGCCAGCCTGGCTCTGCTTGGGGTAGCAGGATACAGGAATTTAAGGCCAGCGTCTACTCCTGGGCGGGGGCAGGTCATCCCCCTGCCAGCCCATCTTTCCAATGTGACTAAGGGAGGTGCAGTGGGATGTGCAGGAAACGAGGATCCCTTCAGCCTCACAGTCCCCGGGACAGGGGCCTTGCATTTGTGTCTACTGGGCCGGTCTCACCCCAACATCCTAATGTCACCAACGTTGAACTTGTCTATTGTCTCAGTTTGGGTTTTCCTGAAAGTAGGTCCTGAGACAGGACTTGCGTACAGGCAGTTTATTTAGGGGACTGAGACAGGGAGAAAAGAAAAGACACAATGTGTGAATGAATAAGACGGACTCTCCTGAGGACAAGTGTTACTCAGCCCCACCAACCCCTTCTGAGGACTGTGTAGGACCCACCTGGAATTCATCTCCCCAAAGTATTAGGAGTCTGGGACACTTACTTTTCTGGGCCAGAAAAAGCCCCAGGCAGAGGTCCATGAAGGACTGATGTGGACAGATGCTCTCCAGTGACCTCCTGCACCGATGGTGTCTGCCACCCTGTCTTTGCCACCAGACTCTGAGTTCTGAGTCAATTTCGTCCACGGGACCCAGCTGTGGGCTTGGCCCATTTTTTTTTTTTTTTTAATGAATGAATGAATAAGCTCTTCTCATAGCTTTTCATGTAAGGAGGGTCCCAAAGAAGGATGAGCCAGGAGGCCCAGATAGGGGATCCCCTTTAGTTCCAGGTAGAGGGACACCCCAGGGTTGAGAGGGAACAGAGCAGCCTGAGGATGGCAAGGGAAGCGAGGGGTGGGGGTCTGGGGGCCTGGGGGCCTGAGCCCGCTTTGGCAAAGGCCAGGACAAAGTGGCCTTCTTGAGTGGTAGGGAACAGCAGGGTGTGACCTTCTTCCAGCCCAGGCTGGAGACCCCTCTGCCACCTCCTGGTGAGTGTGATGGGGGGAGGTGGCCTCTGTGATGAAAGTAGGAATGGCCAGGGCTGAAGCATCATGATGGAACTGTCCCCTGTGCCCCGGTTATGTGTGTCACTGCTGTGCCATGCCTGGGTGTGTGGGAGGACTGGAGGACACTGGCTGGGCCTGTATCAGGGCCACAGGAGCCCACTGGATGTTTGTGACTACACATCAAGTATGGAGGTAAGTGTCTTACGTGTTTGGGAAATGGTAATGGTGGGGAGGCCGGTGCAGGAGAATATGTGGGCCATGCCTCCTTCTGCTCCCTACTGTGTAACCTGAGGCAAGTGAACTTACTTCTTTGTGCTTTATGTCTCCCATCTGTAAAATGAAGACAATCACCATCCCCCCTCTTAGGATTACCACGAGAATGGAATGAGTTAACACACGGAAAACATTCAGACAGGGGCCTGAACTTCGGGAGTGCTCAATAATAGCTGTTTTTATTGTTGTGATTGACAGAGAACCTCTAGAAATAATTTCATTTCTACCTCCCGGTGGTCATGCAGGCAGCCATTATTTTGGTCTGTGATGAGCAGTCAGGGTTCAGGCAGGAAGACAGAAACATTCTAGGCATTTGCAACGGAGGGATTTAATATAGGGTATTTGTTACACTGGAGACAGAGTCCTGGGAAGCTGAGCAGGAAGTGGCAAAGCAGGTCAAGTCCCCCGAGAAGTGGCCATCAAGGCTTCAGTCGACCTGCCTGGGATCTACTGGGGAGAGGCCTTCGAGGACAGGAGTGGGTGGGCAGGGTCTCGGAGACCCCACAGGGTGGCCCCTGTGAAGGGGCGGGGTGAGGAGGAGGATGGAAGGAGGAGTGGGTGGGCAGGGTCTCGGAGACCCCACAGGGTGGCCCCTGTGAAGGGGCGGGGTGAGGAGGAGGATGGAAGGAGGAGTGGGTGGGCAGGGTCTCGGAGACCCCACAGGGTGGCCCCTGTGAAGGGGCGGGGTGAGGAGGAGGATGGAAGGAGGAGTGGGTGGGCAGGGTCTCGGAGACCCCACAGGGTGGCCCCTGTGAAGGGGCGGGGTGAGGAGGAGGATGGAAGGAGGAGTGGGTGGGCAGGGTCTCGGAGACCCCACAGGGTGGCCCCTGTGAAGGGGCGGGGTGAGGAGGAGGATGGAAGGAGGAGTGGGTGGCTGCAGCACAGCCCTAAGAAAGCTTGTCTTGGGGGCTGGGCGCGGTGGCTCACGCCTATAATCCCAGCACTTTGAGGGGCTGAGGTGGGTGGATCCCCTGAGGTCAGGAGGTCAAGACTACCCTGGCCAACATGGCAAAACCTCATCTGTACTAAAAATACAAAAAGATTAGCTCGGCGTTGTTGTGTGAGCCTGTAATCCCAGCTGTTTGGGAGGCTGAGGCAGGAGGATCACTTGAACTTGGGAGGCAGAGGCTGCAGTGAGCTGAGACTGCTCCATTGCACTCCAGCCTGGGTAACACAGTGAGACTCCATCTTGAAAAAAAAAAAAGAAAGAAAGAAAAGAAAGTTTGGTTGGGGCAGTGGGGCCCTCTTTGGAGCTCTGCTCACCATCCTCCATCCTGTCACATTAGTAGGTGACGTGGTCCCTGTCTGCCTCTCTGATGTAGCGTCCAGCCTATGGGGAAGGGAGTGAGGTGGTCTGCCCTGCTTTCTGTGGCACCTTCGGTCCCAGAGCGCCTGCACCTGTCACAGAACTGGGACAGAGCAGACCCTGCAGTGTGCAGCAGCGCTGAGAACCCCCAGCCCTTCTGCCCTGGCTCAGTGTTGGGATTCAGGTCTGGGCAGGTCAATGAGGTGGAATTGGCCTCAGACTTGGAGTCCTGGGTTTGGGTTCTTGCTCTGTCCCTTGTCACGACCAGTCCCTTTCCAAGCTCCTGAGCCCCCATTTGTAGAATGACGATGGTGCAATTTGCCTCCAGGCTGCTGAGGACTGAAGGAGCCCCACCTGCAAGTCCGAAGAGCATCTGTGAAGTCCCAGGCACACACCTGGGTGATGGGGCCGGTGGTGGAGTTCCTGGGGTTCACCAGGTGCTTGAAACCTTGGGCGGCTATAACCCTTCAGTGTGGGAGGCGGGGCGCGGCTTGCGAAGGTTTCTTCAGATTCACAAAGGCAGCGAACACACCTTGGTGAGACGCTCCAGGGAGATGTTTCCAGCCGCCACCAAAGACCCAGACACTCCTCCTCCCACGGGAGTTTCCTGCTCTGCCTCCTGCCTCCCACCTGCTCCTTTCTTCTTTCCATTCTTAGACTTACTTTGGGAAAAGAAATCTTTGTTTGAAGGAAGGCAATGGAGTCTGCTCTCCAAATGAGGCCTCAGTGCCCTGGCCCCCCGCCAAACACCATGCCCTGGGCTGGCCAGAACGTGCCTCTGCAGCGCAGCCCCAGCAGTCGGTGCATCTTATCTCCATCTGCCCCACCCTCCAGCCCTCTGCTCAGATGTGTCTAATGAGGGATCTCTGGAGTGGGTGGTTGGAGCCACCTCCTCCTTCTCCCTGCCCCACATGCACAGTCAGCTAGATCCAAAAGAGCAGGCAGAGGGCCACCGTGCTCACTCCACCATGCTCACTCTCTCCAGGGTGCCTCCCCAGCCTGGTGTGAGGGTGCCACGAGGGGCCTCTACCTTACTCTTCTCCTGCCCCAGGCAGCAGGCAAGCAAGACCTTTGCTCAGTGTGTGGTCTGGTGACACACTTCCTTCCATCCCTCAGGCTGGACAGCATCTTTGACCACCCGAAATCGTCACTCTGCCAGCAACATGTCCCCCAGGCCCCAAAGCACTGCACTGCGCTGGGTCAGGGCTGCTGCGTGTTCTGTTCCTGCGTGTTTGCTGTTTATGTGTTTATTTTATCATCTCCTGGGGCAGATGAGTTGCAGAAGGAACCAAAGAAAGATGTGAGGAGATGTGGGGCAAATGTGTAGGTGGGAGGAAGCTAGGACACTGCAAGAATGTCATTACTCACTTTTTGAAATTTATAAACTCTTAAAATCCATTGCTGTGAAGGTCACCCTCATTCAGTACCAGCCGAGGGGACCCTCGCTCTGGCTCTTGGGGCCCTAGGACTGTGCCAGCATCAGTAGCATCGTCTGTCTTATTGAATTCTGGCAGCGATGGTCTAGGGGTGCTTGTGTGCCCCACGGTGCAGATGAGAAGTCTGATCCTGGGGGTGCTGGCAAGTGGAAGTGCCGGCCCCGTCTCCTGTAAGTCTAATGTCTGGGCACAAAAGCTCCTCCCTCATGCCTCCTCCTCCAAGGAAGGGGTGCGAGACTTTGCACAGGTGCAAGAGGATGGGCTGAGACACATGTGCATCCATAGGGGTCCACGGACACAGAACAATGGCATTGGTTCAGAAGACAGAGAATTTATATTTTCTTTTGGGTGCAGTAAAAATAGCCTGTGCATTCCCGGAACAGCAAGCACTGAAGATGACTGCTCAGGGCATTTTGTCTTGAAGAGAAACAAACAAACAAACTTGATTGTTGCCTGGTTGTCGAGACCCAAACAATCCCCCTCCCACCTCCGTTCATCACGGGGCCCCTGCCAACCTTTCTGTATAAGAGGGGCTTGCTTTTAGCTTCTCTATGGGAGAGCCAAGCCAGGTTGGGTGGCGTCTGCATGGGTTTTGGATGAAGACAATTTGCCCATTCCCAACTCTGGGACAGCTCGGCAATTCCTGCCTGGCGGGCAAGGGAGGAGCTCTCCAGAGAGTGTTGTCTTCCCTCAGCCAGACCCCTCGGTCTCCCTTCCCTCCTCCTCCAGCCAAGAGAAACAAACTCTGCAAAGGACCTGCTGACAACAGTGGTGAATGGGCTGCAACGGGTGGCAGTGCTCCTTGGCTGGGCCCCGCATGGCCCCTACCATGGCTTGCTCAGTAAACACAATGATTAGAGCACCCAGAGGGGCCCACAGGCCTGGGCATTTCCAGCATTTGAATGTCTCTTGAGTTTAAATCACTTCTCACCAAACTGGTCCAGGCCAAGGCCCCAGAAGAAGGGATGGGATTACATGGGTTTCCTAGTGCAGAGAAAAGCTGGTCCAGAGGGGTTGGCTGGCACACCCTGCCCACGTGCACCTTGGAAGGAGGATGAGTTGACACAGTGCATATGGGTAGGCAGTTTCCTTATACTCTGTACCTGATGAGGATAGGATAACGCTGCGGTCTCCACACATGCAAACAGACACGCATGTGTATGCACACACAGGCAGGCACACACCCTCAAACACACATACACTCACATGTATGTATACACACATGAGCACACCTCCACATGCACACACAGATGTGTATATACACTGGCATGCACACATCCTCAAACACATGCATATACTCACATGTATGGATACACACATGAGCACACCTCCACATGCACACACAGACATGCATACACACACACAGGCATGCACACACCCTGATATACATGCATATACTGACATATATGTATACACACAAGCACACCTCCACATGCACACTCACACACATGCACACACAGGCCTGCACACATGCTCTAACTTATGCACACACCTCAAATATGGAGAGGCTCTGGCTAAACACGACTGCCTAGAAAAGCCTTGAGCCTCACTGCAACTCAGGGTACACACAGAGCAGACGCCCCTGCTCTCCTTAGCGGTGCTTCCAGTTTCTGGATTATTGGGCAAAGGTTCAACCTTTGGCCTTTGGTATGGGAAGCCCTCACCTCTTCAGTGGCACATGAAGTCAACCAGACCACAGAGGTGAGATGACAGCAGCCATGTGCCATCAGCCACCTCCTGCCCTGCCCGACACCAAGACCTCTGGAGCCCTGGGGACGCCATCATGCTTTCCTGGGTGGACAAGCCCTCCCCAAAACCTCCCTCTTTCCCTGGAAATGGCTGCTGCAACACTACAGCCTCTCGCCCACTTTGCAACACCAGCTCCCAAACTCTAGGGGGATGCAGCACCTACAGAAATGTGTCTGAGTTCCTGACATGGGGGCCAGCTTCTAGAAGGGCCTGAGCCTGAGGGAGTCCCCTCTGTCTCCCAGCTCCTTCCTGGTACTCACAGATGGCCCCAATTATGAATGAACCCAGCTGGAGCATGGGCTGTAAGGGCTCTGCCCCAGGGGACGCAGGGTCCCTGGGAGGTGAAGCATCCACGGTTCTTCTTGAATTAGCAATCCGCAGTGAGCTGACAAGCAGGGCTCGCCACAAGGGGAAGGAGGGAACATCTGGGAGCTGTGTGCCCTGTGTGAGGGTGGCAACCAGAGAGGGGATGCCGGGAGGGTGATGAGGCTGGGCTGGGAAGCCTTCCCTCCCTCTAGTGCCCTGTGGGGCTGTCTCTGAAGAACACTGGGCAAGTTGGTCTCAGCCGGGGCCCCACAGGACACCAGGCAGCGCCCTCAGAGGAGGTGACTGAGTGTATGAAGGGCCCTGGTCAGAAGTGGGGGCAGAGTTAGAGAAATCTGGGGCTGAGAACAGTGACATGGCGGGGTGGTGAGAGCGACCTGTGGCCACCGTGGGAGAGGGATGCCAGGCAGGACTGAGGCCCTCAGCTCGTGGAGAGGATGCCGCTGCAAAGCTGCCACAGGTGAGGAGGGAGTTAGAGGATGAATGTGCCGCAGGCCCCTTTCCTGCTGCTTTTCTCTGGTGTCTGCCAGCCCAGCCAGGGCCAAGGATGCCGAGCATGGGGCACCCACCTCCCCAAGCAAGGCCAGAAGGTGGCTGTGCAGGAGCAGGTAAGGGACGCGGAGCCGGATGTGGAACTGGGCGGGAGGGCGAACATGAGACGAGTGAGGATGAAGAACTCGGGGATGGTGGCTCCTCGCTGGATGCCCAGCTCCATGCCCAACCCTGCTCCTGGCCTGTGCTGTAAGGAACTGCAGTTCCCCAGGCTCTGCCTCTGATTTCTGGATAGTTTCAGCCACGGAGGAACAGTTGGAAGATGATAAGACAGAAGAAGTTGAGGTGCCAGGACACTTCTCTTCCCTCTGCCTCATGTGCCGTCTCCTGCTGTAGCTGCATCTGCCTCCCGAGGGTCCTCTGGGTGGTCCTGGCTCCTGCTGACTACTCCAGGACTTAGGCTTAGAGGGCAGCCTTCTCCCTGCTCAGCTACCTCCTGCTAATGGAAAGTCTGGGTTGCATCACTGTCTTGTTTGGCATCTGAGCTCCTCCATGCCCTGGGAAACGATTCCTTATAATAAATCCCCTCTATTTGAAAGACCTAGAATGCTCTCCAGTTCCCTGCCTGGGCCTTGAGTGATGCAGTCCAGTGGGAGATGGATTTTGCAGGGCCTTGTTGGCTGTAGTTAGAAGTTTGTTCTTAGAATATATTTCAAGGGGGTCCCACAGAAGATCCTATGCAGGAACGGAGCCCCACTTAGAATCAGAGCAGACGGGCCACCGACTGTGGGGACCTATGGATTCACTCAGCCGTTCATTCAGCAAACACTTTGTGAAAGTCTGATACATTCACCCACTTATTCATTCCCTAAGTAGTAACTGGAACTCTTTCATGGGGTCCCCTGGAATTCATACTCCTTCTCAAGCCCTGGTGTTCTGCAAAGGTAGGAAGTGGGCCTCAGTTCCTGCATCATGAAGCTGGGGACACATCTGCCCAGGTCGACCACCCCTCTAGGCAGGTGTGTCACAGCCTGGCTGCAGAGGCCCCTCCCTTCCTCGCTAAGCAGGACCACCAATGGCTCACCCCAGAGTGTCGCCCCAGAACCCCCCCAGTCCTCACACACACTGTTGCTCATCCACCCTACATCACCACCTTTGGGGTGCAAAGCACCCAAACTCAGCCGCAGAGCCTCCTCAGTGCAGGGGCCTCGGCCGGGCAGAGGGTGCTGTGAAAGTGCGCTTGCATGCTCTGTCCTTTTTGAGGAGGAGACGTGTTTTGGAGCCGCTCATTTGCAGAATGTTTAGAAATTCAAAGGCCATATATTTACTGGGAACAAAACAGAATACTGACTTATGTGGGAAATAGAAACATGCCAACCTTCCTTTGCTGTGAGAGCAGGTCCCCTGCACTTGATTCTTGGGACTGTGCACTACAGACCCATGTTAGAGCCGGAAAGAACATGACTGGCAGGGGAGGGCCATGCGGTGGTCTGGGCCCGAGCCCTCTCCGAGCAGGGTGTCTGTTGCCCAGCCCCCGGACTCGGGGACAAAACTGCTGCCTTAGAAAATGAGGTTGTCTATAAAACACTCAGAAGTAGAGAGGCTCAGACAGCTCACACTTGCGGATGCTCACTGCTCACTGCATGTCAGTAATGATGACGAGGTGCGTTTCTTCATCTTGAAATAAATACTCATCACAAACACATAGAAGAGCGACAATGGGAGGAGACACTTTAAATATTTATGCAAAAATAAAAAGGCAATAGATTCTGAAAGATGTGCTTTTCCAGGTGAGGCTTGGGAGCCTGACAGCAAGGATGCTCAGGGGGTCATGGTTTGTGGCTCTTGGGCGAGGGAGACTCCCCTTTGGAGGGGTCCACATAGTTTTGAGGGGTCCAAACTATTCCATCATAGTACTCAGAAGTTATTTCCTTTCTGCCCTCATGGTGTGGCAGTGATGATGATGATGAAGCTGCCCGTGCCTTCGCTTCCTGGACCAAGTCGGTGGACCCCAGCGGTACAAGCAGTCCTTGAATTCTCCACTGTCATGATCAACATTTTTAAAAATTCTAGCTTTACTTAAGGATATCCTTGATAAGCAAAAAAAAAAAAAAGTCTGAATTGTTTTACATAATCACTCTCTTTTTCACAGGGCTGGGTGCTCATCTGTGGTGTTGCACACGGAGAGACAATGGACCTCTACAAAAATGCACCTGTTTCATAGAACCATCTGAGCAGTTTTGTTTGTTGGTTTTGAGACAAAGTCTTTCTCTGTCACCCAGGCTGGAGCGCAGTGGTGCGATTGTGGCTCACTGCAGCCTCGACCTCCCAGGCTCCAGCGATTCTCCCGCTTCAGCCTCCTCAGTAGCTTGGACTATAAGTGTGCACCACCACGCCTGGCTAATTTTAAATTTTTTCATAGAAACAAGGTCTTTCTGTGCTGCCCAGGTTTGTCTTGAACTCCTGGGATCAAGCAGTCCTCCTGCCTCGGCCTCCCAAAGTGCTGGGATCACAGGTGTGAGCCGCCTCGCCCAGCCCATGCGTGGTTTTCAGGGAGCATCATTCAGACTTGGGTGATGTCTTCCCAAAGATGAATGAAGGAGTGATGATGAATGCCAACCGCTCTGATAGTGCAAGAAAAACAAATGAATGAAGTGAGCCCACCCCTCCAAGGAAAGCAACTGACAGCGTTTGTTGCCAATGATCACATTCAAGCTTTTTCAAATGAAATTTAGGATTTTGGAAAACGTGCATCCCCACCAGGATCTTGATGGCTCTGCAGTATTTTTCTGATGAATTGATGGAAATATTCGTGAGCGGGATTTCTTAAAATATTAAAAAATAAATTGTATCAATATTCTTCAGAAAACCTGCATAACTCAGTGAAGAAATATTTTCCAATGACCCATATATGACGTTATGAAATCATGCGTGAGTAACAGAATTATTCGAAGTACAAGACAGACCAATGGATTTTGTGAGTACAAAATTCATTTTTCATTTTGAGTGCAAAAATTCATTAATACGGTTTCAGATTCCACAATTCGAGTAACTTTAAGAAGCCACCACTTGTCAAGTTTGGGTGTAGTATCAAAGAAGATGGTCCGCAGTTATCTGGAAGAGCCATGAAAATCCTTTCACCTCTTCCAGCTGCATATCTGGTGAGGCTGGATTTTCTTTATTCCCTTTAACCAAAACAGCATATTGCAACAGATTGAGTAGAGAAGCAGATATGAGCAACCAGCTGTCTTTTCAATCAGACCAGGCATAAAAAGCAATTGTAAAAACGTGAAACGATGCCATTCGTCTCACTACATTACTATTTTAAGTACGCTATTTTTTAAATAAATATGCTGGTTATGCTAACTTGTGGTGGGTTTATTATTTTCACATGAATTAATAAATATTTTTAAAATCCTAAGTTTTAAGTTCTAATATGATAAATATCAATAGGTGTACGCCACATAGACAAGAACCTTTTGGGGTCTTCAAGCATTTTCAGGAGAGTGGAGGGGTTCTGAGACCCACAGTCTGAGAAGTGCTGCTCAGTGGGGCACGCCCTCCCCCCAGGCTGCCAGTTCCTCGTGTTAAAGCTCTTCCTGGTCTAAGCTGGGTCTCCCGGCCCAGGAGACGCCTGCAGCCAGGGGCTTGTCACTGGTTCCATTCTTCATTCATTCGTTCTGTTTGCTTTTGCTATGCATCCTCTCCATCAGGACCTGCCCTGCGCTGGTGGGCGGTCACCGTGGGCCTGTGAATGGACCAGCACTTTAACTCACTGCTGGAGGCAGGGAAGGGCGTGGAGGTGGTTGTCCCCATCTACTTCTGACACAGGCTTAAGAAAACTTGCCTGCCCCATGCCCAAAGTCACCCGAACCTTAACCACATAGACAACATGATCAATGCCATCTGTCTGCAAGAACATCATCTTGGGAACATAATCATCTCCAATAAATTTGCAACTGAATTTTCTTTGTTTGTTTCATTGAAGAGCTGGCTGGGTACATATTTCAGACAAGTCATGAGGCTCTTCTAGATCAGTGTCTGAGAAGACATTTGCTGTGCTTGTAGCAAATGCTGTTGTAATCTCTGCCAGGCTGCGGGAAAACAGGAAGACACGGGCACTTTGGTGGATGGTGGAGCTGGGGAGGTCAGCTCTTAGAGCAGCAGCGAGCTGGTGGAAAATTGACAGGAAGAGTCCCATAGAGGTGCCAGGCCAGCCCTTCTCTGCAAGCAGTGGGTGGGGCCTACCGTGGGCCTGAGGACCCACTGGTGGGGCAGCCCCTGGGCCCCTTTCATCTTAGGGTTCTCTCTGTGGCAGAGCCGACCCTGGTGAGGCAGAGTTGTGGTGTGGGGGTCCCATCTCTGGGCTGGAACCCCTGGGGAAGGTGTGGGTGTCAGAATGAGCCCTGTCAGGCCAGTCCCCCGCACGTGAGACCCAGGTGGACAAGCAGCCCCGGCACGTGAGACCCAGGTGGACAAGCAGAGAGGAGTGGAGGGAAAACATTAAGGTCTTGGCCGGACCCGAGAAACTGATCTGAAGCTACTTCAGGGCTCCTGAATCAGGGGAGTGGGGCGGAGCTCTGGGCTTGCTCTGCACCTGCACAGCTTCCTGTGAGGCCAGCGTGCCTAGGGCCGGGCCTGGCTCTGGCCTGTTCCCTGTAGCCTGCAGTGTTCTCCAGCATCCAGGCCAGCGATGGGGTGGCAGCAGGAATCCCAGGAGACAGGCCGGGCAGGCTGGGCTCTGTTCTAGCACGTGGAGGGGCACTTGGGTTGTGCCTGGGGGGAGCAGGGGGTGGGGTGTCCTCCAGGAGTGTGGTGGGCCTGGTGTTGGCCCTGTCTGCAGGAAGTGCAGCATGGCCCAGAGGCTCCCAAGCATGGCCTTTCATGGGGACCCTTCATGGGGATCGTGGTTCTGCGGTTCGAGAGGAAGGGGTGAGGAAGGGAGTAAGGATACATCGTGGTGTGGCCAGCAGCCGGACGCTCAGCCCCAGATGGGGCATCAGAGGAGCCTTGGTGGATTTGTCTGAAGATTGTCTGGGGGAAAGGGAGGTGTGCCTGTGGCTGGCATCCTGTGGGGATATCTACAGGGAAGCCCCAGTGTGGGGCAAGAGGCCCACAGCTGGGGCCTGGGGAGGCACTCAGACTGGAGGGGGGCCACCACAGGCCCAGGCAGCAGGAGCTGGTATTGGAGACCAGGGTGGCTCAGTATGTTGGAAGCGGTGCCTGACAGGGTCCAGCACATGCACCGGGCCCCATTCTGAACCTGATGGGGTAGCCGGGAAACTAGGTGTGGTTGGGTGCAGAAGCTCTGCGTGTAGGGGAAGGTGATGGTGCTGGGGGAGTGGTCAGAGTGGGTGCCCCTCCCAGAAATTGCTTCACCCTGTTTCTTCTCCAGTGGGGGGAAACTAGCTTTTCAGGAGAAGAGGCCAAAGCTGGGGCCCACAGAGGAGCTTGGCCAGGCTGCCTCTCCCACCCATGAGTCAGGATGGGCCGGCAGCAGGGGCTGGTTCTGGTGGGTGCACCGAACCTCGGCGGATCTACCCCTGCACCCCCATCTTCCACCCACTCCCCAAACCCTGAGTACCAGCCCTGCCCAGAGGCCCGGGTGTCTCTAACATGTGTGGTTTCTCCATCCTCAGCCCCGACTCTGCTGGGATGTTCTTCCTGCCGGTGTACTGCCTGGGGAGCAGCTGCTCCTGACTAAGATGCTGTCAGGATCCTAGCCCAGTCCCGTGCCCCCCGCCTCCTGCCCCTCCAGTCCATCCCTGCTCAGCCTGGGTCCTTCCTCCTGCAGGCTGCCTGCTCATGGGGCCCTCGAAGCAGATGTGGGTTTGCTGAGTGAGGAGAGGAGGAGTGTCTCAGGATCTGGCCTGCACGGTCTCCTTGGCCCCCTGGCCAGGCCCGCGTGGTAAGAGCCGATCCACACGGGGCTCCTGGGGCCCCGCCCATGGGCTGGCTGCTCACATGGACTATGCTGATGCTGATGATGCCGGAGCATAAATAAAGGTGCTGAAAGCTGACTTGGCCAGATGGGGACCAGCTCCACGGGATGTGTGGGTCAAATGGGGAGGGCCTAAGATCCAGAATGAGACCTCAGTGGGAGCATGAGGGGGCTCTACCAGCTAGGGCTCGTGCAGGGGCTGGCAGGGCTGGTGCAACTCTGGGACAGGCTGGGCTCTGGCCTCTGGTGGGAGCCCTGCTCTGGAGCGGGTCCTGCACTGGAGGAGGTCACATTGAGCCGCAGGTACATCCGGCAGGGCGGGAGGGTGGCTGACACCAGGCAGGGCCCAGGCCTCCAGCCGCATGCAGGCAGGGAGGGGTGCGGGGAGGAGTGTTGGCAGGGCCTGGCTGTGGTAAGGGAGAAACATCTGTCGTCTGGTGAGGAGGGGGCTCCTGGGCACCCCCTTCCCCACCCCGCCCCTGCCCTGTCTGACCCTGGTGGTCATGTGCCACACCATCGTCTTTCTAGTCCAGGGACAGACACAGCTCTTTGTCCCTGGAGGCTGTGGGGTGATACAGATCACAGAATCAGAGGTTCAGAGGCTCTGTTTGTTTCTCGGGGACTGCTGCCCATGCCGGGCAGAGCAAGCTGCAAGTCCCCCAGCCCCAATCCTCCAACCTCGGGAGCCAGAGACTGGCCGAGGAGCTGTCTGCAGAGGGCACAGCCAAATCTGGTGCCTCTAGGGCCATGTGCAAACCCCTCCCCAGCCCAACCACACCCACTTGCTCAAAACCCCCACTCACGTGCACCCCCCATGTTCATGCCCTGCCACCCACACATGTGCACCCCCACCACGTGCACACACCACTCACACACAGGGAATACAATATTTAGTGTTTTTTATTTAGTGTTTTTTGTTTGTTTGTTTTACAAAACCAAGTTCTTGGCCCATGAAGCAGCGCCTCTTGTTCCCAGCGCATGAAGGGCAGGGAGCACCAGGGAAAGACGGGAGGCTGGGCCCCACCCCAGACAAGCCCCTCTCCGTCTCCTACCCACTAGTCTGCTCTGGAAGGCAGAAGGCAGCAGTTCTGAGGCCCCAGCTTTAGAAGTCTCTCCGCACAGTTGCGCTCAGCCACGAAGCTTAGAAGTCTCTCCGCACAGTTGCACTCAGCCGCGAAGCTTCTCCTTGCACGGGAGCACCACTAGCCAGCCACATGCCGGGGGCTTTTCAGAGAGGGGGAAGTTGGGTCTAGGGGGTCACTTGTCAACAGGGAGTCTCTGCCCTTGTCGTCATGACCTGGTTCCTGGGCTCCACCTGGGGCATCCCTGCCTTGTCCCTGCTGCGTCTCCTCAGTTCCCAGGGCTGGGCCCAGAAAAGTCTCCAGGACACTGTGCCCAGCCCAGACCCAGGGGCTCCAACCAGAGCAAGGGCTGAGAGCAGTGCTCCCTGGCCCCTGCACACACACAGCTGGCACCTCCCTCCCTCCCTGGGTGTGCGCTGCCGCCTTCCCCTGCCCGGCCTCCCTGCCCCACCTCAGGGAGCTGGGATGGCTACTGTGTCCCCACACCTCCTCCAGGGGGGCCCTCCGCTACCTCTTCCCCACTGCCTCTCTGTCCCACACCAGCCCTGGGGCCCGGCCCTGCACTGCTCTCTCCAGAATCCTTTCCAGGGCTTGGGGGCAGGACTGCCTGGCCCCTGCACCCAGATCGCTGCTGAGACTCTCCCTGAGCGGGAGGCCCTAAGAATCACAGGCTCTCCAGCCCCACTGCCTTCTGTGCTCTCAGCTCCCGCCCATCCTGGGCTCAAGGCCTGGTGGATTTCCTCAGGCCTTGGCCCCTAGAGCCCACTCTCTCCTCCTTTCTCCTGGCCTGGGTACCTGAGGTCCCAGGAGGCCCGCTTCAGGGCACCCTTCTGACCTGAGACGGGACTCTTGAGTCCCAGCCAGCGTGGCCGATGCGCAATCCCTTGGTCAAATGCCCTTCGGTGGGTCAGCACCTCCGGCCCATCATGCTGTGCTGGTCAGTCCCCGTGGGCGTATTCTTACCCGTTCAGCCTGGCAGCTCTTCCGGGTCCCACAAGAGTCTCTGAGCACAGCGGACGCCCCTTCTTCACGAGCTCCACACCCTGTTCTGACTCCACAGTCTCTCTCTGATGACAGCTCGGAGGGCTTCCCTCGGGCCGACACCTTCCTGGAGACCCTGGATGTATCCGGCAATCGTGGTGCAGAAGAGGGGCCTCCAGGGCCCTCCAGATGGGGCACGGGAGCCACTCAGCAAGAGCACTGGGCAATTATGCACGAAATATTCATCCAATTATTTGCCTAACAAATTAACTTAGTTCATCATGAAAAAGTGGAATTAGTTTTATTTATTGGGTGCATGAAAGTCAAAGCAAGCCAACTTTTAAAACACATGTAATATGTACGCAACTATTTCTAGCACAATAAAGCCAATTATTTTTGAAAATAAAATCTAGTACTGGTTAGAGCATATCTATAGCAACTGTTGGGTAGTCATTCTTGTCTATTTTTGAGCAATGAAAAGTCAAAACTATGCAAATGGCTGGAGGTGCACTTTTATAATAAAATGTTGAGTATTTGCAGGCGTTCACTTGCAGGGCGGCTGCACACTTCTGATTGAAGGCTCTGTGGTAGCGTCGCTCTCCCAGGACACAGAGCTGGGCCTTTTGGGCTGCGCGCACATTCGGTGTGACCCCCTCTGTCCCTCTCCTCTCGCATAGGGGTCAGCGCTGCATGAGGATAGAGTGTGTCCCCCTCCTCGCATGTGGCTACTCTAGGGGCCATCCCGCTCATCGCTTCTTGCCCAGTGTTCTGTCTCCAGTTCTGTCTCCAACTCTGCACTGGAATCCTCTTTGACCAGACCTCCTTCCTGCACATGGGTAAAGCCCCTGCCTCTCCGAGTGGCACCCGAGCCCTGTCTACCACTGCTTCCCTGTGGACAAGCTGCCCAGACGGGGCCCCAGCTCTCTGTGTCCTTCCATGGAAGGCTCTTGTCTCTTATCTGTGGTGCGCCGTGCTCCCCAGGCTCGTCCTCTTTCAAGTCTCACCTCAAACTTTGTACCGGGGGCCTTCGTAACCCCCTTCTATCACCAGACAGAGCCATCTCCTCATCGGCCCGGCCTCCTCCTCACTCCCATTGTCCTGCTGCTCAGACCCATGGTCCTCCAAGGCTTCTCTCTGTATTTCAAACAAAGCCACTGCAGCCACAAAGATTCTGTTGACTTTGTAAATAACGAAGCAATAAAAATACCAAATATAGTGTCTCAAACTATACATGTGCCACTCTTCCTCTTCATCAATAATCACCATTTTAAGGTATGAGTTACAACAGGATGATAATTGCCAGGTGTAAGCTACGTGCTTGACTATTTCTATGTGTTAATTCATGTAGTTCTAACAAGAACTGTTTTATCTTGGTACTGCTATTTTCATCCCCATTTTCCAGGTGGGAAAGGTGAGATCCAGTGCGAATAATGACTTTGTCTAAAGCTACACAGATAGTGAGTGTTAGATCCAAGATGCTACTCTGAGTCACACCATTAACCCCTATGGATGTCTGAAACACGTTTGCATATCTGTGCCCCTATTAGACAGTTAAGTTTCTTGAGAACAAGATCATGCCTAAGTTGTCAGCATGTAATGCCAGTTGAATAAAATTAGAGCAATCGCCAGGGTTGATGGCTGCTGATGGGGTTGGGTGGGTGTTGAGTTCTGGCCTTGCTAGTTTCAGCCCCATGTAGGTGCAGACTTGGTTGGCATCTTAGTTCCACAAGGTGGGTCTGCCAATTCTGACCAGCTCAGCATGCACTGGGAGGCTCACCTCTGTCAGCAGAAATACTTTGTACAAGTCTACAGCTCTGAGCTAGGGGTCTAGGGAAAGCACCTCCAGCATGAAGCCTCCCTCTGGCCTCATGGTGCAGCTAGGGTTCTGCCTCCATTTGCTGCCTTGTTATACAGTTCTTAGAAGGAATTAGGCTCAGGAGCCCCACAAAGGTCTTATGCAACCCTCTTCTTGGGGCTAGAAGCAGTCTCTTCTTATCCCACACCTGGGGATCTCTTCAGAGATGAATTTCTTGGAATCTTGTACAGAAGTCAATTCCTTATCGATTAGCACTTAACTCATAATAGGATCTAGGGCAGGGAGAGGTATTAGGAATCAATAAGAGGTCCTTCACAGGGAGGAAACTCAGAGGGCTTCACATCCATGGGGACAATGGGAAAGAGTGGGTGCAGTCCTATTTTCCTAAGGGCTGGGACATGGCTTCTGTTCTTTCAGATGTTCTCTGTGACCTACATACTCCTAGATGTTTCAGTTTTTGAGTGTGTATGTTAATATTTCCAACTACAATTGTACAACAACTACATAGTTTTATCAGCTGTTATGTATATTGACACTATAGTATTTGATGCATATATGTCCATAATAACTATATTTTCTTTTATATTTTATTACTGTTTATGTTGTGTCCATAATACTCCTCTTTGATTACTGGCATGGGTTTCACCTAAACAGATTTTTTAGTCTTATATGAAAACATTGGCTGTTAGGCATTTCAATTTCTTTCTTTTTTCTTTCTTATGTGTCTCCTGTAGATATTAAATTACTATTTCTTTAAAAATATCTGTTCTGAGAACTTGTCTTTTGATTAGAGATTAGTATAATTCATTCACATTTACTATACTTAATGTTATATTAAGAATTATTTCACAATTATTATTCACAATTTTATTCTCATATTCTATGTACATTTCGTTTTTCCTTCCTAACTTCCATTGAACAGACAATTTTTTTGCTGATTTTGACATAATATATTTTATTTTGATTCTTTGGGTGGTCACCCATAACTTCTTCAGATCTATAGTTATGCTTATTCTCCCCAACAATTTCCTAAATTTACCATGATCTATCTCTTCCCTGTAAATAAGACAAGTACCTGAGGCTACTCTCTTATTTCTCTGAACAATCTCTCACATCCCAACCTCTCTCCTATACCATGCGAGTATCACCTAGAATTTCGGCTGTAGATTGACATGTATACTTTTGTTTCAGTCCTTGCTTTAATAACTGATTTAGTCACCCATATTTCTCATATTGCTCATGTTCATTTCTTTTCTTGAAATAGGATGATCTTTTAAAATGTTTTCTAAAGAGTCTTTGTGTGATAAAAATTCTGAAGCCCTACATATCTGAAAATATCCTTATTTGGCCAAGGCATATAAATGACAGGTTAGCTAAATATAAAAATTCTGAGTTTCAGGATTGTTTTCCTTGAATACAGGGACTATCACTCTACTTTCTTCCTGCATCCACTATTGTTGATAGATACAATGTCAATGTGATTTGTGTTCCTTTGAAAGTTACTGATTTCTTTCCCACTTTGAAAGTTTTATAATTTCCTCTCCTTTAATGTTCATAAATTTCTGTAGTGTACTGAGATCCCTCTCTCTCTCTCTCTCTCTCTCTCTCTCTGTCTGTCTCTCTCTCTCTTCTCTGAGATTGTACATCTTTCTCAAATCTGGGAAATTCTTGGCCAATAAATCTTCATATATGTTCTCTCTTTTCCTTATTGTTTTCTTCCTTTCTGAGTCTCTAATGTATAAACAGATGGCTCTACTTCAGTCTTCTATATCTCTTTACTTTCCACTTCTAAAAATCCTTTTAATATCTTCTTTATTTCTTTTGGAGAATTCTTAAGACAGATCTTTGTGCTTACTAATCTCTGGCTAAATTCATTCTGATATTTAGCCCATATATATGTGTGTGTGTCACACATACCATATACATACACACACACACACACACACACACACACACGGGCTAAATGTATGTGTGTGGGTGTGTGTGTATGCATGTGTGTGTATAGATTTTTTAAATCATTTTTATATATAATTTCTTATTCTTTTTTTTAAATCTTCCCAGTACCCCCTGCCTTATTTCTTAGAGGAAATTAAACAGGCTTATTTTAAACTCTTGTTCCATCTGTTCTATTTATTCTGCTTCATCTGGTATGAATTTCTCTTCTTGTTGTCTTTCTCTATATAGCAGTTGTATTCTTAAGAAGTCTCATTACTTTTACTGAGCTAATACACCCTTCTGAGATATTATCTATCTGTGCTGGAAGTGGATATTTGAGGGGAGGGGATGAAACCCATGTAGACAATTTCTCTGCTTCTGAGGATTTTTTGAGATGGAGGGAGGATGCATCCTCTGGTGAAGAGCATCTGGTATTACACATTACATCTCTCCCTTGGCACCGGTCTCACTTAAGCAACTCTCTCCTGAGCATGATTACCTAATCCTGGAGCTGTGAAGGGGGTACAGGGATAAAGGAATACTCTGTGGCTGGAAAGCCTGGATGAATGTGTTTTGAATTATCCTTCATCCAATTTGTGCGTAGTAGAATCTTTAATTTATCCTCCCAACCAGCTACCACTGGGATGGCTGCTCCCTCCTCACACAGGGTAAATGGGGCTTCCTTGAGCTTCTTAAATCAGTAGATTGAAGTCTGTCATCAGTTTTGGAAAATCTCAGCCATAGTCTCCTCAAATATTAACTCTGGTGTATTCTCCTTGTCTTCTTCTTCTGTGACTCCAGATAGAAGTGTGTTGGTCCACTTGCCCACCGTTTACATGTCTGCTCTTGCTAGTCTTTTCTTTCTCTCTGAGCTTTGGTCTTTCTGTTCGCTTGGCTGATCTACTGTGCCCCATCTGCTATGAAGTTTATTTAATGAGTTTTCAATTTCAGATATTCTATTTTTTACTCAGAATGTCTATTTGATTCTTTTTACAGATTCCAAAACTTTTTTTTTTTTTGGGAAATTCTCCATCTTTTCAGCCGCTTAGTGCATCTCTCCCCTCTTGGCTTTGATGCCTTTATAATTGATAATTTTAAGTCCTTGTGTGCTAATTTCTGTATCTGGATTATTTACAGATCTGCTTCTATTGACAGCTTTTTATCAATCATTAGTCATGTTTCCCTAGTTCACATTCATCTAAGTTCTGATTACAGGAAAGTCGTCGTGTATACAAAGATGATGGAAACTAAAGTTGTTGCTACTGTTTCTCTGACAATTTCTGCCTCTCCCTACCCACCTTTTTTTGGAAGATGGGGATTAGGTGCTAATCACCGCAACACAATTCAGGATTGAGCTGATTTGAGTCTGGGGTACAACATGAGAAGCAGTGCACCTGTTTTCCAAGTCTGAAGACTGAAGCCAGACGGTGGGCCTGGCAAGTGGGGCAGTGGGAGATCTCATTCCCTCTCTAGTGCCTCCACCCTTCTTGTACCACTGCAGAAGCCAGCAATAAACCTACAGGAGAAAACAGCTCAGTGTTTTGAGCTCCTCTAGATTCTGATCTCTTAGCCCAGCTCAAATTATTTTAAAAATAGCCACTGACTTATCTTTCCCTCAAAAGAGCCCCTCTGCCTAGGAAAAGCTTAAACCTCAGCCTTTTCCCAGATTCAGAAAATCTCTCCCACCCCCGCCCCCAGGGACAAAATGGTCAGTGATTGCAGCTCAGCTGGGAAGGGCTCTTCCTGCTCTGGAATTTTAATTTGTTTGGTTCTTCTACTTTCACTGCTAATCAATGGTTTTACAACTATAATCTTTATAATTTATCAATTTATTTTTCTAGTTGTGTTCGGAGCAGTGAACTGTTGATATTTACTCTAAACTCCCTAGAAACTGAAACCCTTACAGTGGTTAGGGATAGTAGATGGACCAGTTTTTAACTTCTGCCCAGTGCTGGAAGAAGGATTAAAGACACACCAGGAAAATTCTCCCCACATCCTATCTCTGGAGTCTCTTTTTTTCTACTCTAGGCAATAATTCCTCCCTATACTACCCCATCCCAGAAGCCCAAGTACCCAGAGTTCTCAATGTTTTAAGGGAAGAGGTGGGTTTTTGTTTTTAATGGATCCACTAACTTCCTTCTGTTTTTGTGCATTGCTGAGATTGAGTTTCAGTGCCCAAATCAGTAGTACCCATGTTAATTCGCCATTTGAATTACATCGAAAACCCAACTCTGCCACATACTATCTGTATCACCTTGAGAAAACCACTTCAGGCCTCTCCTTTCCCCAGCTTCAGAGTTGTGTCCGACCTAGTTAATGCCCATTCAAATGGGAAGAAAGTGTAAAAATCACGGGAGCTCTGACTGTTAGGCAGTTATTCATTCTCGCCCTTCACAACCACACGCTGGCTGGCAGGCACTATCTGTATCTCTCTGAGTGTCTGATGCTGTGATCTACCTTTTTGCCAGTCGTTCTCTCTAGTTTGAAGCACAGTCCATGAGGAGTCTTCACTGTCCTCACCACTAGCTCTTGGCTGGCTGCTTTCCTTTCGACCGACCTTTCTTCCTTCTGGATCTTCTCAGGCAGGTCCACTCTCCACCTGTGACTGCCTGAACTGGAGCATAATGCTGGTGAGCAGAGCTCATATGGAAGCTTCCAGAATGACTGTTGTTTGACATCTCATTAACCTCCACTTAATCCTGCCTTCCCTGGAAGCTTGATGAGTCAATGCTGCTGGTGGAATTGCATCAAACCCAAGATGGGTGGGAATTGCATTCCACCCATCAGAAGGAAGATGCAGGGCGGCCTGGTCTTCAAATCCCATGAGCCATTTCTTGCCTAATGGGAATAGGCAGCTCTGAGCTGCAAAACAAAACTGTGCATGGCTCACTCAACTGCTACTTCTCTTCACTTTATTTCTGGCCAGGCATGATGGCACACACCTATAATCCCAGCACTTTGGGAGGCTGAGGCTGGAGGATCACTTGAGCCCAGGAGTTGTAGACTGTCTTGGACCACATGGCTAAATCCTGTCTCTACAAAAATAAAAATAAAAAAATTAGCTGGGCATGGTGCACGTGTGGTCCCAGCTACTCAGGAGGCTGAGGTAGGAGGCTCGCTTGAGCCAGGGAGGCAGAGGTTGCAGTGAGCCATGATCAAGCCACTGCACCCCAGCCTGGGTGACAGAGCAAGACCCTGTCTTGAAAGAAAAAAAGTGTTATTTCACTTTTTCATGGATTCCTTTCCCAGGAAAACCACACATTTCAGCCAATTCTATGAGAAAATGAGTCCCCAGGGCTCAAAAATGGGAAAAAGCTTGCAACCATGACCCTTTAGAAAGAAGACACTGAAATGGTGGAAAATAGCAGTGAAGGCAGTACCGAGGACACCTGGGGGTGGGAGCTGCTGAATTGAATTGATTTTGCCTTAGCTTTTCCTGAAGCCGAAAACTTAATAATCATGTTTATATAATCACTGAACGGAGATATATACATAGATATGTCACTGAAAATGTTCATAGATACATTTTCCCCTTGAATTCTGCATTCAGTTAAATTACCCGTCTGGACTGATCCATCAGGACAGACCCTTGTTAATGCATGGACACAGCACTGCTGAGAAGCCAGGGATGCCGGGGGCAGGGACAGCGCTTGAGGCTCACCTCCTCATGGGGAGAAGTGAAGCCGTGATGGCATCACACCCGACCTACACGCAGGCTGCATTCCCACTTCACCCCTGTGTGCCTCTGCAACTCTGTGGACGACTTTCCTCCTCCACTCCTTTGTAGTGCAAGGAGAACCCACCCAGGCATGGAGAAGACTGACAGACTCAGGATCCGTCTGTTCCACAGGCATTGATTGAGCAACAGTCCTGTTCCAAGCACCATGGCAGGTGCTGGCCCCATGGAGATGAACGAGGTCTGTTTCCTGCTCTGGGAGAGCTCGTGGGGTGTCAGGGAGGTGGGAGGTGACCCTGGAATTATAGGACCTTCTGACAATCATGGTGGTGGGCTTCACAACAGGCTGAGGGAGAACAGAGGCCACCGCTGTTTGACAAAGAAGGAGAAAGCTCCTCCAGGGAGATGACCCCTGAGCAAGCACTGGGAGGAGGATGGGGTCGGAAGGGTCCAAGTGGAAGAGGCAGTGCGTGCAAAGATCCTGACCAACAGGATTTCCAGTTCTGTGAGTTACTGATTTCTTCTGCAGGAGCCTGATAAGGTGTGAGTGACATTAGAGAAGCCAGAAGTCCTGCATGAGTTTGAGGATGTCACATGATCTTGAGTGACAGGAGCCCCATTCCAGTGGGAAGGGATGAACTATCAGTCCAGCATTGTCCATGCCACCTGGCAACACAGTTGCTAATGACAAGGTGGAAATGATGCCTCAGTGTTCGTGCTGTCCCATCTTTTTAGGGGTTGTAACTTTTTACCTTGTATACAAATGCAAACTTACATAAAAGTTGCAACAGTAATACAGAGAATGGCCATATGACCTGTACTGAGATTGACCAACTGTTCTTATTTTCCTCCATTGGCTTTTCCCTTCTAGATAGAAAGATAAATAGATAATAGATAAATAGATGATAGACAGATGATAGAGGTATAGAGATATAGATGCAGATGCCCACACACATATATAGTTGTCCCTCAGTATCCACAGGGAGTTGCTTCCAAGAGCCCCGTGCATAGCAAAATCCACACATGCTCAAGTCCCTTATATAAATGATGTAGTATTTGCATATAACATACACAATCCTCTTGTATACTTTAAATCATCTCTAGATTACTTATAGTACCTAACACAATGCAAATGCTATGTAAATAGTTGTTATGCTGTATTGTTTAGGGAATAATGACAGGGAAAAAACAGGCTGCTTATGTTCAGTACAGATGCAACCATCCTTTTTTAAAAATATATTTTTGATCCACAGTTAGTTGAATCCATGAGTGGGGAACCCATAGATGTGGAGGGCTGTCTCTATGTGTGTACACACACACACAAACACACACACACACACACAATTATAGATATATTTCCCCCTGAACTATTTGAGGGTAAATTGCAGACATCATGTTCCTTCCCCTAAATATTTGTAGGCATTCTCTAAAAATAGAGATATTTTCAACAAAAGTTACACAATCGTATAATACTCTTAAGCATTATATGTATAGAGTATAGAGTTCATATTCACATTTCACTAATTATCCCATTTATTGTTTCTTTTTTTTTTTTGAGAGGGAGTCTCGCTCTGTCACCTAGGCTGGAGTGCAGTGGCATGATCTTGGCTCACTGCAGTCTCCGCCTCCTGGGTTCAAGCAATTCTCCTGCCTCAGTCTCCCGAGTAGCTGGGATTACAGGCACCTGCCACCACATCCGGCTAATTTTTGTATTTTTAGTAGAGACGGGATTTCGCCACATTTGCCAGGCTGGTCTTGAACTCCTGACCTCAAACGACCCACCTGCTTTGGCCTCCCAGAGTGCTGGGATTATAGGCGTGAGCCATTGTGCCTGGTCCTAATGTTTTCTTTTACAGCCATTTTTGCGCAGTCTAGGATCACAAATTGTAGTTAATTTCCAGGATCACACACTGTATGCCTCTTTGGACTGTTTTCTTCTGGAAATGTCTCGGCCTCTCTTTGTCATCCCTGAAGGTGACTGCTGTGAGGAGCAGTTACTTTGCAGGATGCCCCGGGCTTGGATGTGGGTGGTGCCTTCTGGCAGGGACTCCCCAGGGGAAGGGATGTGCAGCAGGAAGCTGGTGATGTCCCCAGACCCGGCCACTAGTTAGGGTGGTGTCCTCAGCTTTTCTGTTGGTTCTTAGTCCCTCTTTCTGATTAATTAGAACTTGAGAGGCCATCGTTGAGACTCCCACTCCCCGTCAGACTTTCCCCCAGCCATTTCAGTAGCCATTGAGGATTCCTGTCAGAATCTTTTTCACTCTGCTGGTTGTGAAGCCGTGACCCTAACTCCCTCATCCCGTCCGTCTCCGTGAGTTAGTCCACATACTACTGTGAGGAAGAGCTTCCCCCTTCCACTAATTATCTGTCCCCTTGGCTTTACATCAGCATGAGCTCCTGGGTTCTTGATGCAGCTGTGGGCTATAATCTGTTACCACTGTGTTTATTGTGATGCTCAAACTGGCACACATTCAGCCACTGAAGGACTGTTTCCATAGAGGCCTCCCGGGTGCCACCCCATAGAGCCACACAGGTCCCAGAGACTGCAGGATGAGGGGCAGGCTGGTCAGTGGGATCACAGTAGTTTGGGTAAAATCCCAAAGCCCCGGTGTCAGGCAGAGGCACCCGGCTGTGCCTCCCTGGTGTGCACCGCCTTTGCCCTGCAGGGCTCTTCCCCTAGCCTGCAGCAGCCAGGCTCCACCAGCTGCGGCGCTTCCCACCCTGCACCCTGCACGCAGCTCCACCGCTCCCATAGACCTGCTGGACAGCTCCTCCCTCACCATCTCAGGACCCTCAGCCAGGAGCAGCTCTCCCACTCCACATTCCAACCACCACCTCCGTGGTGGGGCGGCTGCCTACCTGCCCACTCCCACACTCCTGGCATTGCAAAAGGAGACGAGTTGTTTGGGAAAGCGTTTGGCAGCACATAACAAGAATCGTAAAATTGTTTGTTCCACTTGACCTCATGGCGACATTTCTGGGAAATCATTCTAAAAGAAAATTCCAAAAATGGCCAAAAGCCTATGCATGAAGAGGTTTATTGCAGAATTATACAACTCACAAAGTCAATTGGATGCCTGTCGGGAGGGGAAGGGCTAGGTAATTTATGATGCCCGATGGATTGAATGTTAGATGTCATCTCATAGAAGTCCCAAGATTATGAAGCAACAAGGAAAATGTTTGTGATGTATTGTTAAGTAGAAAAATGCAGAGCACAAAACTTGGCGTCTGCTGTAAGTACAGTTGTGGAAGATGAGGCAAATAGATGTTTTTCTTGGAATAGCTGGTGTCAGAGTTCTCCTGGGTGGGGAAGTGGCTTTCTCTGAGCGAGGGGTTCATTGCACACCTGGTGTGGAGGCTCCTTGTCTAATGCAGCCCTTACTACTGGTGAAAAATCCGAAAATCACACAGATGAAAATGATTTTCTCTGAGCTGGACCCACGCCCAGGGCCGGCATGGGGGGAGCACAGGAGGGGCTGCTTCCTCGGACCCGAATCCCAGCCCAGGGTGCCTGCTTCATGCTACGTTTCCCATGGAGGGCACGGGTATGAGGAGTGTGTGGTCTCCCCAAAGTGTTCACAGGGGTTCTCACAGCAGCCACGGTGAGGGCATCACTTGTGTGGAGGTGGAGATGGGTCATTTATATTTTCCTTGCACAGTACACCATGGAATTCCAGACTTTTTGTGTCTGGAAGTAAATTACAAAACCCCATGTTTTAATACTTATTACTAAGAATGTATCTGCACTCACTATTCCTCATTTTCAGCTCTCGTCACACCTTTATTGGGTTTGTACTGAAATGCACCTCCGAGGAAAGCTATTGTTTTATATATTTCATGTCGCCAGCATCTAGGAACACAGGGCATAAACAGGTGTATTTAAAAGGCAAACTTATTTTTCTAAAATTATAAACATACAGATTTCCCATAACACGATGGACAGCGCTGAAGTGGGAACTGGTTCAGCCAAAAATATTCAAGAATCATGGGCAGGGCCCGTGTGTGTGCACGCACCAGTGTGTGTTTAAGGATACAGCTGTTCAGGTGCGGTGGCTCAGGCCAATAATCCCAACATTCAGGAGAACAAGGCAGGAGGATTTTGCTTGAGCCCAGGAGTTTGAGATCAGCCTGGGCAAACAGGGAGACCCCCATCTCTACAAAAACTTTTAAAAATAATTAGCCAGGTGTGGTGGTACGTGTTTGTAGTCCCAGCTACTTAGGAGGCCGAGGCAAGAGGATGGCTTGAACCTAAGAATTCGAGGCTGCAGTGAGCCATGAACACACCACTGCACTCCAGCCTGGCCGGGCAACAGAGTAAGGTCCTGGCTCAGAGAAAGGAAAAAAAAAGATATAGCTGAGTTCAAAAGAAAGAAAAGGCAGTACCTGCGTGGCCTGAAACCTGAAGCAGGCTGGCAGGAGTGTGGTCTTGGCCCAGAGAGCAGAGCCCTGGTTCCAGCCCTGTTTCTGGGACAGGATGCTTCGGGCTGCTTCTGCCTCTGAAAGGAAAACAAGTCTCCCATGAGGGGAAAATACAAAGTCTCCCAAACTTTTCAGTGAGTCTGAACTTCTACCACTCATATGCCATGGGAACCTCAAGAAGAAAAATTATCCTAAAAGCCGGCCTCAGCCTGGGCCACTCCCGGGGCCTCCAGTAGCAACAAACTCACCTGGCTCTCCAGGGGCCCTTCCCAGCTCAGGGCCCAGTAGACCAGGGAGCGGTTGCCACGGAGGGGGCTTTGACAAAAGAAATACATGCATAAACAAGTCAGGAAGGTGCTGCAGATGTTTTTAAAATGCATGCAATGATGAGGAAACAAATAAAAACATCAAATGTTCCAACGTGTGTGGCTTCCAGCCTGCCAGGTGCGGATCCATATGAATGCTCACAAACCCTTTCTTACTGCATCCTCTTTTATTCCTTAAAAATTATAGCATAATATTTTCCCAGGGCTGTCACTTTTTAGATCATTTTTCTTTAGCAGATAAAAGTCAATACTGCTTTTCAGAAAGAAAAAAAATATTGAAAAAAATACCAGGGTGGGTGCAGGGGTGGGGCTGAGCCGAGGAGCCGGACGCAGCGAGAGCCAGGCGGAGTCAGGGACCCCGGCATCCCGGGCGGGCGGAGTCAGGGCCCCCCGGCGTCCCGGGGGGGCGGAGTCAGGGCCCCCCGGCGTCCCGGGTGGGCGGAGTCAGGGCACCCCGGCGTCCCGGGTGGGCGGAGTCAGGGCACCCTGGCGTCCCGGGTGGGCGGAGTCAGCACCCTGGCATCCCGGGCGGAGGAGTCAGGGCACCCTGGTGTCCCGGGCGGGCTCTGCCGCTCACTGCTTTTGCAGCAGTGCAGTCATAGAAACCCTCTGGCCCTCAGCTTTATCCTTCTGAGAAATGGGACAGACTGAGGCCACAGCCCCTCAGGAATCGCAAGAAGGGCCGCGGGAAGGACCATGGTCATCACTCTTGCCTTATCAATCTGCCGCAGCTCGTCTGGGCCTTCTGAGTCACCCAAACCCAAACTGCCCATCCCAGAGTCTAGTGGGATTTGAACTTGGCCAGAGCATCTGCTCAGGGCCCCACCAGACACTGGAGCCTACGAGGTTGGGGACACATTTCCTCTGCTCCTGGGGGACGCTTGACTTGTGTGTTGTGATCAGATCATGGGGCTGGCTTGTGCTGCAGGGGCGAGGGGCTGAGGAGGAAGGGCTCGATGGAGCTGCTGGGGCTCTGGGCCAGGAGCAGCAGCCCAGGGCTGTTATCTGAGCCGGTAGAGAGCAGATCAGCCGCGGATCGAATGTACCTCGGTCTCTCTCCAAAGGCAGTGCCCTGAAATGACCTGCACACAGGCTGGGCTGGGCTGCAGCCCTGGCCAGCAGGGACAGTGTGTTGGTCTCTGTGAAAGGCGAAGCTGCTTGAGCTTCAGGGACACACAGTTCGGGGCGTGCTGCCTCCCAGGGAAAGACGGGATGGGCCACCCCAGTGCTGGGCACACGGCAGGGGAGGGCTGGGGACCACGCAGAACAGAACCTGGGGGTTGAAGAGCTGTTTCCTGATCTTATTCATTCAAAAACCACTTACAGGGCTTCCCTTGGCTGAGCACATTTGCTCAGAGGGTGAGAAGACACCCTCGGAGAGAAGTGGCCTGCCAAGATGGCACAGCAGCATGGCCATCACCATCAGAGCACCCCAAGTATCTCTGGAACAGGCTTCCTGCCTTAGCTGTGGGCTCAGGGACCCTCCGCCAGTCACCCCAGAATGGCCCCTGGGCACCCCGAAGTGTATGTATGTGAGATTTGGCTGGGGCAGCTCACAGCAGAAAGGCCCCCCACCTTCCAGGAGCAGGGACAGTCAAGTTCGTCCAGTCCCCCTTTTCCTCGTGCGGGTGTTGTTTCCATGAGATGAGACCCTGTCAGCCTTGAATTCTGACTGCCTCGGGGAGAGGGAGGCAGACCCACGGCTTGCGAGAGAGAGTTATTCCGAAGATGTTTTTCAGCCCAAACCTGGTTGCTTGTAACTTCTGTCCTCTGTTCTGATCCCGGAGGCTCATATACAACGCAGCCCTGGGGTTCTAGGGTTCTCATGGCCTCTGGAGAGAAGCGCTGAGCAGGGCTGCATCCCCCGTTAGCAGCAGTCACCCTCAGCATCCCCACTGTTGGCCCATCCACTAACATCCCACCCACTTATTCAAACCCAGGCCACCCAAAGCTTCCCCTATTCCCTGAATAAATAAGGCGGGAGCCAAGGGATCAAGACGGAGTGAGGAGACTTGTCCCCACTGCCCTATTCAGCCCCTGCCAGGAGGAGGTGGGGCTGGCAGTGTCACATCCAGGCCCTAAGCATGGGAACCTGACACCTGGGCTGCACACTTTGCATCCAGCTTCTCCTCACATGTCGTTTCTTACCACCGATGAGCCTCGTCCACATCAGTGAAGCCTTGGCCAAGTGGCTGCCCAGTGCCAGGGACTCACTGGTGCCCTCACAGGGCAGGATCCACGGGCCGCTACTTTCATCTGGGCATGTCCCAGCAGCACAGGAAACTGATATCCAGGGCTGCACAGGTGGCGCAGAAATGCGAGATCCGAGGGGAGAGATCCCTGGGCTTCAGCTGCCTGGGAGTCCTTCTGGAAGAACTTGATTCTGAGCTGGGCCTGCAGTGAGGGGGAGGGCTTAATGAGGCTAATTAGCATCACTCTCTGGTACAGAGTGTCTTTTTTTGGTGACAGCTTTATTGAGATGTAATTCACACACCACACAATTCATCCATTTAAAGTGCAGAATTCAGTGGCATTAACATATTCTTAGTATTGTACAACTGCCACCGCAATCAGTTTTAGGACATTTTTATTACCTCCCAGAAGAAACCCCACCCCCTTTAGCTATGACCTTCCAATCTCCCATCAGTCCCCCACCCCAACCTAGACAACACTAAGTTACTTCCTGTCCCAGGAGATTTTCCTGTTTGGGACTTTTCAGTCCGAATGCAATCATACACTCAGAAGCTATGTGGTTCTTTGCCTCTGGCTTCCTTTATTAGCATTATGCCTTCAAGGTCCATGCATGTTGCTGTGCGAATCAGTGCCTCATTCTTTTTTATATGGCTGAATAATATCCCAGAGTATGTAGACCATGTATCACTTATTCATTCACAAGTCGATGGACACTGTGTTGTTTTCACTTTTTGGCTACATACCATGAATAATGCTATTATGCACACGCTTGCGTAGATTTTTGTGTGGACACGTGTTTTCGCTTCTCTTGGGTATATACCGAGGAGTGGGGTTGCTGGAACATGTGGTAACTGTGTGCTTACCCTTTAGAAGACCTGTCCGACTGCTTTCCAAAGTGGCTGCAGGGTTTCACAGTCTCCCGGCAGCTCCTAAGGGTCCCGCTTTCTCCACATCCTCACCAGCACTGTTCTCTGTCCCTTTGATTCTAGGCACCCTCATGGCTGTGAAGTGGCACCTCATGGTGGTTTCGATGTTTGGATCCTGACGGCGGATGACCTTGAGCGTTTTTCCCCGGGCTTGTTGGCCATCTGCAAATCTTCTGCCCTGGATGTGTGCCACCGTGTGTTCCTCAAAGCAGGCCTGTGCTTCCTGTGTGGTACGCATGGAGGCATTTATGTTGATCTGGCAGAACTTTCTTTCTCCTGGGAATTGTATTTTCCTCCCTTTCCCTCCATCTTCTCCCTAATATTTGTGGCAAATGGGTTCCCCTTCTTCTACTTCACCCCCTCCACAGCTGTGGTGATTGGTCTAGGGGTGGTTGTCTAGAAGGTTGGCCAGACGTGAGCCAGGAAAAAAAGAAGTAGAAAGATGGCTGCCAGGGCTGCAGGGCCATGGGGGGACCTGAGCCTCTGTACCTAGCCAGGAGAGACAGGAGGAGAGCAGAGCTCCGGCCCACACCCAACTTTGAACCTCTGGGGCACCACGAGGACCCATGGTGCACCAGCCCTGGGTTTCCAATAACTCCCTCTTTGGCTTATGTAAGTTTGGCTGAGTTTTCCACCCACCCACCCCTATGGCCAAAAAGTCCATGTGACTCAAACCCTTGCCAGTTCCTCTTGGGAGCAGGCCGGTGGGATCACACTTGCAGATGAGCCCACCCGGGAGGGAGGAAGTGGGGGCCCAAGGCCACGGCTTTTTACAGTGTGTGCCTCATCTACATTGGCACCCTCACCTGCTGGGGAGCCACTCAGAAGGCGTATAAACAGCCCGAGGCCTCAGTTCTCATATGGTGGAGTCAAGGGGTCAGACAGGCCTGACAGAGGCTTGTCCCACTGACCGATGTAGCCATCTCCATGGAGGACAGAAGCCTCAGCAGAGGATTTGCAATTTTGCAGAGAACAGGCTATAAGCACAAACGGTGCTTCCCACAGGCTGGTGAGCAATTCTCCAGGGAAAATTAAACATAAGCCACCAGAGCAGAGGGAAGAGCTGGAAGAGCTGGGGTTTCTATAACCAAGTGCTAAGCACTCTATGTACACTGCAGATGAGGAAACCAAGGCCTGATGGGTGAAATCATTCACCAGGGAGAACCAAGGAGTCAGTGCAGCCAGGATCCAGCCCAGATTCCAAGGCTGCCACTCTCCTGGCCTCCTGGATTGAGGGCCGTGGCTGCCAGGCTGCCCAGGAGGCATGAGGCTCAGGGTGCCTGCTCCTTCAGGAGGGTGGCACGGGGCTGCCACAAGCCCTTCAGAGCAGGCGCTGCTTTGGTGAACAGACAGGCAATCTCACAGAACCTGGGGAATGCAGCAGAGAGCCCCTCATGAGTAGTATTATTTTATATGCCTTTAATAAGGATCAAAATATGCCACGGAATTTAGGGGTTTGGCAAGGTTCTAAAGTTAGTTTTTAAGTACTTGTGGCTTGGCAAATCCATCACGCACTTTGGGGTGTTCTCTTCTAAACCCATACCGTGCTCTGAGAAGGAGGAATGATACAGATGTTGCCAAATGATTTTCACCAGTTCCATTAAAATTTCAGTCTTTGTAAACTGAAGAGAACGGTGGGTTTGAGTCCCACTGCTTGGCACCAGAATATGCACTTGAAAACACTAAGGAGGTTCCAGAGAGTTTTGGGCAAGTATATCTCATAGGTTTGTGCCAGCATTGGAGCTGTGGTCTGCACCTGTGGGTGGTGATGATCGTGGCAATGGTGGTGTGTGAGGAAGGGACAGTGAGAGATGTGGCTGGGAAAAGGTGGCCACTTGAGGTGTGGAGATGAGCCTTGATTCCTGTCCACCCTCTCTGGCCCTGTCCTGCCCCAGCTCACATGGTCTGGGCTGTGGGGACAGGTCCTGATTCCTGTCCATCGGGCTCCTTTGTGCTCCAGCTCATGTGGTCCTGGGTAGTGGGGGCAGTTCCTGAGTTCTCATCCATCTTCCCTGGCCCCAGCTCATGTAGTCATCTCCAGGGCTAAGCTCTGAGTGTTTGGCAACTGTGTATGTTGGCCACGCTCCTTCATGGGTGGCTAAGACCCAGCCATGGTGCCCAGGGACCCTGCCGGAGCCAGAGGGCAGGGAGAGAGAGGAGTAGACACAAGTTCTGCCATCCCTGCCCCAACATAGGCTTTGAGCCCTGGGTGAGGCTCCCACCCTACCGGCTGATCCGGAATGCTCCTTCTTGGGAAGTGCTTAGTCCTGCTCTTGCTTCTCTGTTTTGGTCCTGACAACTCCACGGAGACAGTTTATAATCCACTGATTTGTCTCAGTCTTCTTTTAAAAAAAATAACCAAATACCTTTTTGCATTGAGATAATTGTAGATTCACATGCAGTTGCAGGAACACTAGAGAGTGATCAGGGTGCCTCCACCGTCTCCCCCAGAGGTGCCGTCTTAGGTAACCACAGGACAAAGCCACAGCCTCGAGCTTGACCTCAGCGCTGTTCACGCCCCACACTCAGATGTCGCCAGTGTCACACGCACTTGCCTGTGTGTGGGTTAATTCTGTGTTGGTTCGCGTATCCACCGCCACAGTGAAGGCACAGAACCATCCATCCAGGACCCCTGCGGCTGCCCTGTGGAACCACGGCCTTCTCCCTGTCCCTCACCCCCCATGGCCCCTAATCTCTTCTTCACCTCCATCACTTTATCATTTCAAGATTACTCTCCATGACATAACCTTCTAGACTGACTTTTTCACCTGGCGTGGCTCCCTGGAGATGTTCTGAATTTTTGTATCCACAGTTTGTTCCCTTTCATGAGTAGTATTCCCTGGTACAGGCGTTCCGCAGTGTAACCATTTTGCTGTTGAAGGAAATTTGTGTTGTTTCCAGTTTTTGACTCTTGTGAAAGAAGACAATATAAACATTCATGTGTGGGCTTCTGTGTGACTATAGGTCTCCAGGTCTCTGGGATAAACGCCTAGGAGGGCAACCATTGCCTGGGTGACATGGGAAGAACATGTTTCATTCAGGAAGAAGCCGCCATGCTCTTCCTGGGCAGCTCTGCCTCCCTGCCCCGCACAGCAGTGCATGAGTGTCCTGTGTCTCTACATCCTCATGGCATGTTGTGTAAACTGCATTTCTTATTTTAGCCATTCTGATAGGTGTGCAGTGAACAATCTTCTTTCTTCTAGAGATGAGAATATAGGGTCCCTGGCAGTGGTCCAGATATGCTCAGAAGACCTTCCTGGCTGGAGACGTCTTGCAGGGACACACGGGGCACGGAGGACGCACCCCCAACCCCGCTCTGCCTCCCCAGGGGCCTCTCAGGCCCCTACTTTGCTCATTGTCTGTCTTGGGTTCGCTGGTGTTTGGCCTGGAAGCACATCTTGCAATTGAGGAGCTCCTGACTGCCCAGCTTGCACGCGCACCACCTACTCTAACACCCTTTGCCTGGAATTCTTCCCCCAGATCCTCACAGGCTGCTCTGCTCAGCCCCAGGTCTCCACCACCATGGCCTGGCCTGAGGGAGGCCTTTTCTGTCCACCGCAACAGACCCAGGCCCCAACTGTCCTTCACCACAGAGCAGCTGCTGATTTCCTTCTTGCTGCTTATAATCAAAGCTCTCGTATTTATGGCTTGTTCTCTGACTTTCCCAGCAGAGCGAATTCCTTGAGGAAAGAAACGCTCCCAGCCCCCAGCACAGGCATGCTACGTGAGATGGGATCAATAAGTACTGGGAAGAATCTGGATGAATGAATGTATAAATGTGTAAGCCCCTTGATTTTCTTCATGTAGAGCGGCAGTCCCCACCCTTTTTGGCACCAGGGACTGGTTTCGTGGATGATAACTTTTCCATGTACTGGGGTAGAGGGGATGGTTTCAGGATGATTCAAGCACATTACATTCATTGTGCACTTTGTTTCTATTATTATTACATTGCAATACATAATGAAATAATTAATTATACAACCCACCATAATGTAGAATTGGTGGGAACCCACCCTGAGCTTGTTTTCCTGCTACTAGATGGTCCCATCAGGGTGATGGGAGACAGTGACAGATGATCGGGCATTAGATTCTCATAAGGAGCACACACCTAATTCCTTTGCATGCACAGTTTACAGTAGGATCTGCACTCTGGTGAGAATCATCTGACAGGAGGCGGAGCTCAGGTGGTAATGTGAGCAGTCGGGAGAGGCTATAAATACAGATGAAGCTTTGCTCGCTTACCTGCCTCTCGCCTTCTGCTGTGCAGCCCAGTTCCTAAAAGGCCACAGACTGGTACTTGTCCATGGCCCAGGGGTTGGGGAACCCTGATTTAGAGTACCAGCGTCGACTTCACCAAGAGAGCAAAGTGTGTGGCCATAGACGCTGATGTGAAAAACTCACTGGGAACACCCGGGAGGCAGCTTTTTACCAGGCTGAGGTCCAAGGCCACAGGGTGTCGTGCTTGGGCCCACCATGCACAAAGCCTTCGGTGTCACTGCAGGGCTAACGTGGGGGAGGGCACCGTCCCGGCCCAGGCCTACCCCTTCTTCTAATGTCTCCGCATCTGGAGGGCCCACGCCCCTTCCTCTTCGCGGCGGCAGGCCCCGCCCCTTTTCCCTCCTGCTCAGTGCTGAGCAGCGCCATGTTTACACGTGGCCAGAATCACCAGCTTAAATATTTTAAATAAAAAGAATGATCAGTATGTTTTTTTCTCTATCAGAAATAAAGCCGTGGCTGTTTAACACACCCTCTCCCAAACTTATCATCTGAACAACCTTCTTCCACACAATTAAGCATGCATTTCTACACCCACACACTCAGACCCTGGAATCCAGTGTAGACGTGTCTCTAGAAAACATTCGTTTCCCTGATTGTGTTTTCAGGGGCATTTGTCCTTGAAATTAGAAGGCATGGGACGTGGTATGGATGTTTCATCCCAGTGGATAGCAACTGCTTTGGGCTCAAAGCCTCATTACATTAAAAACCATCAAGGACCCCAAACAGGTTTAGTTCCCATAGGTTATATCTAGCAATGTCTATCATATAAAAAATTAAAGCTAAATATCTCAGAGATGTATTCCCTAAAAATAACAATAATAACATATTATACGTTAATGTAAATAACATGTTGGGAAAACAGCTATACTTTTTAATGTAAAATATTTAGTGAAAACAGTGAGTTGTGTTGCTTTAGAATTGCACAGATCTCCTTAAAAGTCTGGGTTAATAGATGGTAGCTGGAGTCTCATGCCTGTTTCTCCAGCCATCAGTTAAATATGTTGTTTTGGTGGAAATACATGAAGAAAATCTGACAGATAGGTCTGTTGGAATAAAACTCTTTTAATAGTTTTTTTTTTATATATATAATTGTGCATTTCTGCTTTGACTCTGTACCAACCTGTCTGACTGGTAGTGTTTTTTATTTTATTGTGGTAAAAACATTTAACAAATATTTAAGTATGCAACACAATTTTGTTAGCTATAGGCACAACATTGTACAGCAGATCAATAAAACCTACTCATCTTGCATACTTGAAACTTTAAGCCTGTTGAATAGCAACTCCCAGCTTTTGCCCCCCAGCCCCCAGCCCCTAACACCCACCATTCTACTTTCTCCCTCTAGGAATTTGAATCCTCTAGGGACCTGGTGGGAATGGAGTCATACAGTATTTGTTCTGGGGCTGGTTTATTTCCCATGGCCTGTCCCCAAGGTTCATCATGTGTGGCTGCCTATGGCAGGATTGCCTTCATCTTTAAGGATGAATGATGTTCCATTGTGTGTACACGTTTGTTTTATCCAGTCATGTGTTGATGGACATTTAGGTTGTTTGCACATCTTAGCTGTTGTGAGTAATATTGCAATGAACACAGGAGTACTAATACCTCTTTGAGTCCTGATTTCAAATCTTTTGGTTAAATTCCAGAAGAGAGATTGTTGAATCATATGGTGGTTCTATTTTTATTTTTTATTTTATTTTTCAGATGGATCTCACTCTGTCGCTCAGGCTGGAGTACAGTGGCGCGATCTCAGCTCATTGCAACCTCCACCTCCCAGGTTCAAACGGTTCTTCCCCCTCAGCCTTCCAAGTAGCTGGGATTGCAGGCATGTGCCACCATGCCCAGCTAATTTTTGTACTTTTAGTAAAGACGGGGTTCCACCGTGTTGGCCAGGCTGGTCCCCTGACCTCAGGTGATCCACCCACCTCGGCCTCCCAAAGTGCTGGGATTATAGACATGAGCCATCACACCAGGCCCTATTTTTAATTTTTGAGGAAACTCCACACTGTGTTCCACAATGGCTGTACCATTTTGCGTTCTGAACAGCAACAGTATACGAGGTTTCTGGTTGCTCCACAGCCTCACCGATGGAAACTCCACACTGTGTTCCACAATGGCTGTACCATTTTGCGTTCTGAACAACAACAGTATATGAGGTTTCTGGTTGCTCCACAGCCTCACCGATGCGCGTCTTTTTTTTTTCTTTTTTAGCAGCTGTTCTCACAGGTAGGAGGTTGGTTTTGATTTGCGTTTCCCTGATGATTAGTGACATTGAGCCTCTTCATACCTCTTGGCCATTTGTGTATCTTCTTCAGAGAAATGTCTGTTCAAGCTCTGTGCCTATTTTTTAATTGAGTTGTTGGTGTTTTTGATATTGAGTTGTAGGAGTTTCACACATATTTTGGAAATTCACCTTTTATCAGATCTATGGTTTGGAAATATTTCCTCCCATTCTGTAGGTTGCCTTTTCATCTGTTGCTTGTTAGCTGTGCAGAAGCTTTTACATTTGACGTTCCATTTGTCTACTTTTGCTTTTGTTGCCTGTGCTTTTGGTATATTCATGAAATCATTTCCAAGACTAATGCCAGAAAGCCTTTCCTATATGTTTTTTTCTAGAAGATTTATAGTTTCTGGTCCAAAAGCCCAGAAATAAATCCACAGTATATGGTTGACTGATCTACAAGAGTGCCAAAAATACATATAGGGAAAGAATATTCTCTTGGGAAAACTGGATATGCACATGCAAAATAATAAAATTGGACCCTTATGCTATACACAAAAATTGGTAGTTTCTTGAAGATTTGTTACAATGTAGAGTCTGAATCCTGTTAATGAACGCTTTCATCTCTGTTACATTAAAATGCATAGCCCTATCATTAACTTTGAATGGATCTTTTACTTTGCATGATTTTATAACATCCTATCTTGGTCATTTGGAAAATAATGACTCACTGAGTTATACAGTGTTTTCAAATGTAGACACGTTTCATTATTCAGTATCCAAAAAAATCATATTTGCTAATATCACCACCCATCTCACCAGGGAAGTCTTTAAGTAATGGGAAGCTATGAAGACGTTGGTGGTGAATACATGCTTTCCAAAATTTTAATTTACACTCCAGTTCACATTTTAGCATTGGCAACAAATACTGTCAATGGTTTTCTTTGAAAAGGCTGGTTCACTTCATTTGCTTTCAAGAAATCTGCCAAAGACTGAACTCTGAATAGTTTGTAAGTCATTCTTTCAAGTAAAAACATTATTCCATGAAAAAAGTGGGTAGTGGAGCTCTTAGTTCAGTCACATGGCGCTTTTTCTCAAGAGAACCATTGTTCTTCAGCTTGCAGACGGGCTTTGTGTGTACTTTCTATTTAGTTAGAATATTAAAATGGCATGTGCCTCAAGCATTGAGCTTTAATAACATAAATAATTTTTCTCCTTCACCCAGAACATTCTTAAGTAACACGGAGGTTATGTTCTTTGTCCCTCCCCGTGAGTGCCTGGCAGTGACGCATGCAGTGACTGCTGTGTGGTGTGGCTCCGGCTTTGGTTCCAGGCCCAGCACTGAGGCTGTTTGGTACCATTAATGCGAACGTCAATATAGTGAAGAAAACAGTGGCCTCCTAGCATTATGAAAAGAGTTTCGACCTCAGAGACTTCTGAGAAAGTTTCAGGGACCCCCAGGGGCCTGACCACAGTTTGAAAAATATTGATTTAGCCAAAACATCATAGAATCAGTCTCATGTCTTTATTTCCTTTTTCCTTTTTATCATCTAATTTTTTTAACACAATACAATTTAAAGTAAGTTTACTGACGAATATTTTGCATCAAATGATAGAAGTTAAACATTGGTGATTTTTCACATTAACTGCAGTTTTATGATTTATGTATTTAACTGAACTAAGTTTCCAAAGCATCTGAAATTAACTATAATTTACGCAACTTTTTGGACATCTAAAAATAAAAAATGAATATATATTTAACATCCCTCATCTCAAAATCTAAAATCTGAAATGCTCCAAAATTTGAAACTTTTTTTTTTTTTTTTTGAGATGGAGTCTCGCTCTGTTGCCCAGGCTGGAGTGCAGCGGTGCAATTTTGGCTCATTGCAACCTCTGCCTCCTGGGTTCACGCCATTCTCCTGCCTCAGCCTCCTGAGTAACTGGGACTACAGGCGCCTGCCACCACGCCCGGCTAATTTTTGGTATTTTTAGTAGAGTCAGGTTTTCACTGTGTTAGCCAGGATGGTCTCGATCTCCTGACCTCGTGATCCGCCCACCTCAGCCTCCCAAAGTGCTGGGATTACAGGCGTGAGCCACCGCGCCCAGCCAATTTGAAACTTTTTGAGCACTGACATGACACCACAATTAGAAAATTCTACGCACAAGCACTGAACACGAACTTTGTTTCATACACGAAATTATTAAACATATTGGACAAAATTACCTTCCAACTATCTGTATAAGGTGTCTATAAAGCATAAATAAATTTTGTGTTTAGACTTCAGTCTCATCTCCAAGCTATCTCATTATGTAAAAGAAAAATTTCAAATTCTTAAAAAACCAAAACCCGAAACATTTCTCATCCCAAGCATTTTTGATAAGGGAGGTTCCACCTTTCTTTCATGTGCATGCATGAGCCCAACAAGCAGCCTGGGAAATAAAATGTGGAATCCATGTCTGCAGCCACCCATGTACCGCTCCTGGTCCTATTCCACTTCACACCCCCTGCCAAGAGAGGATCACCATCCTGACTTGGGTGTTTATCCTCACCCTGAGTTTCTAACCACTTTCATTATGAATGCATGTATTCCTCAACAAAATGTAATATTGCTAGGAATAGTTTTATAAAATTCTTCCTGTGCACTTAATGTTTCTCTAAGCTTCTAACATATGCCCAGGAGCAAATTGTTCCTCACCAGGTAGAGGCATCTTCAAATTTACTAGACACTGGCAATTTGTTATACAAAGTAATTACGTCAATCTATATTCCCACCAGCAGTATATAAAAGTTTTGTTTTCTCTACATCCTCTGCAGCACTTAAGTGATGAGACTTAAATTTCTGTTGCTTTTTGTGGGCAGTTTTGGAGTTTTAGTGTAGTTTAATATGGATTTATCTGACCTTTAGTGAGATTGATCATATTTTCAAGTTTATTTACCATTGGAAATTTTCCCTCCATAAATTGCCCTTCTGAATCCTTGAAAATTTTTTCTGTTGTTTATTATTTTGTACTTTTTGTAGGAATTCTTGACATATGTTAGATTTTAACCCTTCAGCCATTTTGCGTGACACAGACATCTTCCATGTGGTGGTGTTTTAGTAAATTTGTTGTGATGTCCTTTCGTGTACAATCTGAACTATAGATACAATCACATTTATCATTTTTGTCCTTTGTGTTGAACCTCTGTTGTGTTAGTACTTCCTTAATAAATCTTTCCCTACTCTGTGGTCACAAAATATTTATTTTTTTGAATAACAGTTTTAAAAATGTACTTTCCACAGTTATGTTTAATCCAGCCACATTTTATCTTTGGGGATTATGCAAGCAGAGATGTAATTTTATTTTTCTTTTCCACATGGATAGCAAACTTCTCAGCATCATTTATTCAATTATTTCCCCACTGACCTGCAATGCTATCCCTATCTTATATCAGGCCTCACATATTTGGAGAACTCTTCCTGAAAAGAATGTGGATTCTGTTGCTGGTGGGTGGGGTGCTTGCTAAGTTCTGTGGGTCAAGTTGTTTGATACTGCTCTCCAACTTCTCTGTATCCTCAATGACTTTTTGTCTACTTCTTCTACCCTTAGGCGAGAGGAACACTGATCTCTCCAATAGTATTAGTAGATTTATTTGATGTTTTAGTTCTACAAGCTTTTGTTTCCTACATTTAAGTTTGTTATATCCTGTTGATGAATTAACCATTTTATCATTAGAAAATGTTTCTTTGTATTCCTGGTAATAGTCCTTGTCCCGAAGTCAACTTTGATATAAATGTTCCCACTTTAGTTTTCTTATGATTAGAGTTTACATAGTATATCTCTTTTAGGTCTGTTTACCATTGATCTATCTGTGTATTTATATTTAAAATGCATGCCTTTATCTTTTGTTTTTTTGAGATGAGGTCTCACTATGTTGCCTAGGCTGGTCTTGAACTCCTGGGCTCAAGTGATCGCTCAGCCTCACAAAGTGCTGGGATCACAAAGTTCGTGAGCCACCACTCCTGGCCTGAAGTACGCATCTTATAGACAGCTTGTTGTTGGGTTGTGTTCTTTTTATCCAGTCTGACAGTTTACTCCTTTTATTTGAAGTGTTTAGACCATTTATATTTATTGTAATTGTTAAATTTACTTTTACTGATATTTTAACCCCCATAATATAGTTCTATTATTTTTGCATTAAACAGCCAATTATCTTTTAAATAATTTTAAAAACAAAAAAAGTATTTTATATTTACCTACAACATTTCCATTTCAGGTGCCCATCATTTCTCTGTGTAGACACAAGTATTTATACTAGTATCTGAGCTTTTTCCAGGCACTTCCACACATGTTGCATAATTTTGCTTCTGCAACAGTCGTAGGCACAGGACACTATCTCCAGTTTACAGAAGAGGCAGTTGAGGCTCAGAACAATTACAGGAGTTGCCTAGTCTCTAGAAAGATCTAGGATTGCAATCCAGGTCTGTTTGTCCATTAATCACTGTTTGCATTCCTAGTGAGACTTATCAGAGATGAGGAAAAGAAGAAAGTGCCTTCCATCAAGGAAGAAACCACATGCCTTTGTAGGCCAGAGTGCAGTTATCCCTTAGAAAGCTGTGCTGGGGAAGAGAGCAGAGGCTCTTGGCATGGTTGAAGTGTCTGGAGAGATGAAAGAGGGAATAGTTCATCCGGGAAGAGTCAGAGGACCCAAGCCAGGGCAGACTGCACAGCAAAGGACAGCCAGAAACAAAGCCCACCTCTCACCCAGACCAAGGAACTGGCAAAGTGAGAAGAGAGTTAGGTGACATATTGCAGAGTCCATGGTACTCTCTGCTCAAGTTTAGAGGGGTTGGCAGGGTAGAAGGGAGATGAGAGGAGGTATAGACAAGTGTGGGTGCAAAGGAAGGGGTTTGTTATTCCCCCACCTTAGACTGGAAAATTCACTGACTGGCCAGGCCCCATTCCACAGTTCCCCTCGGCACCCACTGCCGCTATCTGCTCTGAGGCCCCTGCGGGGCAGTTCTGAGAACCTGGGCTCCAAGGATAGGCTCTGCCTGCACACCAGCCTAACATCCTGACGAATGACTTCCCCTCCCTGCACCTCTGCTTCTTCCTCCCACCCAACATCCCCTTTCTCCCTAGAAAGATGTTGTAGGTTATTTAGGACCCGGAGAACTGAACATAGACCCCATGGGGTACCGACAACAGGGGAGACCCTGATCCAAGTGCCAGCCTGTCCATGGGCAAGTGTGAGTTTGAGGTGACTCCCTTCACCTCCAGGAGCGTCTGTCTCCTCAGTGCTGGAATGCAGATAGGGAGAAAACCCAGTTCAGGAGCTGTCCTAGACTAGAAGAGAGGACCTGCATGCAGATTCCATTTGCATTTCTAAGGCTCTTTCAACCCTTACTTCAAATGGCAGGACCATGACAGGAGGCATGACAATCCCCTTGTGTTTTGAGGCAGCGAGAGGGGACACAATCTGAAGGCATCTCCGAAGACTTGGCCACCCAGACCCAGGTGTCTGGGACAGCAGCCATTTAATCTAGCTTTTATTTTTATTTTTATTTATTTATTTATTTTTGAGAAGGAGTTTTGCTTTTGTTGCCCAGGCTGGAGTGCAATGGCCTGATCTTGGCTCACCACAACCTCTGTCTCCCGGGTTCAAGCGATTCTCATCCTCCTCTGCCTCCCGAGTAGCTGGGTTTACAGGCATGCACCACCACGCCTGGCTAATTTTGTATTTTTAGTAGAGTTGGGGTTTCTCCATGTTGGTCAGGCTGGTCTCGAACTCCGAATCTCAGGTGATCCAACCACCTCGGCCCCTCAAAGTGCTGGGATTACAGGCATGAGCCACCGTGCCCATCGAATCTAGCTTTTATTAAAGACAATAGCAAATTTATGATCTGATGGTATGTAGGTTAAGAACCAGAACAGTAGGAGAAAAAGGGCCACACAGTTGACTCTGTGGATGCGATTTCCCAGACTCATTCATGCCCCTGAGACACAGACCCTCTGGTGGGAATCCATTTGCTTAGAGGAAGGCTGTGACCGTAAGAGCTTTTCTGGGAAGGTGCTAATGGGAGGAGGAAGATTCTGGGGACCACTTGATGAGGCCTGGGGGATTCACATCTGGGTGGGTTTCAGGGTGGAGCTCCTGGCTGCACCATCAGAACCCTGAGTGTGGGGAGGGGATGCAAATGTGGGTGATCAAGGGGGCTCTTTTGTTGTTGTTAATTAGAAAAAAACTATGCACCCTGCAGACCCTGGGGCTGGCTGCTCATATGAAAGGGATACCACAGTGGGCTGTGTAAAGAGGGGACCCCTGATGCCGACCACAGCTCCATCCTCCTCCTCTGAGCTTCTCCTCCCTCTCTACCCCTCCTTTCTGCCCCCCTTTCTCTCTGTTTTCTTCCCTCTCTCCCTCCCTCCTCCTCTGTCTCCCCCTCTTTCTCTCTCTCTTTTTCCCTAAGGCCTTGTTAGAGTTGAACAGCACTCTTTTCCCACGAAGGGTCGGTCATTCTAGCTCTTCTAAAACGCTAACTCAGCTGGAACTTCGGAACTTTTGGGATCTCTTCCTCCAAGATTCTCTCTTTGCCCTCTGACCTACCTCCAGGGCTGCCAAAAGCAGCTTCTGGCTGGCGAAGTGTGGAATTCAAGGACTTCAAGTTGGCCAGTCTGGATCTGACCCAGACTCAGCAGAGACAGGCGTGGGAAGGGGGACGGGTCATCCTACATGAAAAACTCAGAGCTGGGAATCCAGGTCAGAGGGAGCCAGAGGGCACTCTGGAGGAGGAAGGTGTTTAAAACACTGAAAGTCAGAGAGGGGAAGTGTGCTCCGTCTCCTGGTGTGGAGCTAATCCTCTTTATTCTTCCCTGCTCCCCTCCCTACCTCTCTCCCTTCCCTGCCTTTCTTTTCCCTTCCCTTCCCTGCCTTTCTTTTGCCTTGCCTTGCCTTGCCCTGCCCTGCCCTGCCTTGCCCTGCCCTGCCCTGCCCTGCCCTGCCCTGCCTTGCCCTGCCCTGCCCTGCCCTGCCTTGCCTTGCCCTGCCTTGCCTTGCCCTGCCCTGCCCTACCCTGCCCTGCCCTGCCCTGCCCTGCTTTGCCCTGCCCTGCTCTGCCTTGCCCTGCCTTGCCCTGCCCTGCCTTGCCCTGCCCTGCCCTGCCCTGCCCTTCCCTGCCTTGCCCTGCCCTTCCCTGCCTTGCCCTGCCTTGCCCTGCCCTTCCCTGCCCTGCCCTGCCCTGCCCTGCCTTGCCCTGCCCTGCCCTGCCTTGCCCTGCCCTGCCCTGCCTTGCCCTGCCCTGCCCTGCCTTGCCTTGCCCTGCCTTGCCCTGCCCTGCCCTGCCCTGCTTTGCCCTGCCCTGCCCTGCCTTGCCCTGCCTTTCCCTGCCCTGCCCTGCCCTGCTCTGCCCTTCCCTGCCTTGCCCTGCCCTTCCCTGCCTTGCCCTGCCCTTCCCTGCCCTGCCCTGCCCTTCCCTGCCTTGCCCTGCCCTGCCCTGCCTTGCCTTGCCCTGCCTTGCCCTGCCCTGCCTTGCCCTGCCCTGCCCTGCCCTGCCCTACCCTGCCCTGCCCTGCCCTGCCCTGCCCTGCTTTGCCCTGCCCTGCCTTGCCCTGCCTTGCCCTGCCCTGCCCTGCTCTGCCCTTCCCTGCCTTGCCCTGCCTTGCCCTGCCCTACCCTTCCCTGCCTTGCCCTGCCTTGCCCTGCCCTGCCCTGCCCTGCCTTGCCCTGCCCTTCCCTGCCTTGCCCTGCCTTGCCCTGCCCTGCCCTGCCCTGCCCTTCCCTGCCTTGCCCTGCCCTGCCCTGCCTTGCCCTGCCTTGCCCTGCCCTTCCCTGCCTTGCCCTGCCTTGCCCTGCCCTGCCCTGGGGAAGGGCATAGGAAGCTCCATAGGAAGCTAAAAGCCAATCCATTCTCACAGAGTTTTAGTTTCTAGCTGAGGTCTCCACTGAAAACAACCGAGTTCTTTTCAATGTGTTTTCTTTTTATGCCATGGGGAGCCTTAGATCTGCTTCTTTCAACTCACAGAGACTTTCTGATGAATAGGACCAGTTAATCATGGTTTCCTTATAGCAGCTTCATTGAGATATGTTCATATATCGTACAATTCACTCACGTAAAGTATCCAATTCAGTGGTTTTAGTACATTTACTAATGCACTAATTTATATATACTAATATGTAATATGTATTATTAATATATGTTATATACTAATATATATTATTTTATGTTATAAATAGATAAAAATATATACTAATATATATGTACTTATATATACATCAATATATAATGTATTATTTTATACTAACGTATATTATATATACTAGTATATAATCTATATTATTTTATATGTTATAAATATATAATAAAATATATAAATATTTTATGCATATATTAATATATAATATATACTAACATGCTAATTTATATATACTTATATATAATTTATATAGTATATAATATATAAATGTATATAATACATAATTTATATATTTATATATTAATAGTTTATATATTAGTATATATACTAATTTTATATACTAATAAATAAATTATATAATATATAAATTATATATTATAGTACATAATATATATTATATAGTTAAATAACTATGTAACTATAATATATAACTATATATGATATACAGTTATATATAATATAAATTTTACATACAGTATATAAATTATATACTATACATTTATATACATATGGTATATAAATTATATACTATACATTTATATACATATGGTATATAAATTGTATACTATATAATGTGTATTAGTATATATACTAATATATACTAAATTAGCATATTAGTAGTATATATTACTATATATTATAGTAACATATATATTAGCATATTTAGAGAGTTGTACAATTATCACCACGGTCAATTCTAGAACATTTTCACATGCTCAGAGGACCCCTGTGCCCATGAGTAGTAACTTGCCATTTCCCCTAACTCCCCGGCTCAGCCACTAAGTTACTTTCTGTCTCTATATGGTATGTGGTCCTCTGTGACCGGAAGCTTTCATTTAAAATAATGTTTTCAAGATCTATCCCTGTTACCGTGTGCACAACACTTGAGTGGTTGTTCTTTTTATGTATACACCACATTTAATGTGTCCATTCATAAGTTGACGGGCATGTGGGTTGCTTCCACTTTCTGGCTCTGCTGAACAGTGTTGCTATGAATATTCATGTGCAGGCTTCTGTGGACCTGTTTTCCTTTCTCTTGGGTATATATCTAGGTGTGGAATTGCTATGCTGTATAGTAGCTCTAGGCTTAACCATCTGAGAAACCGCTGAGCTATTTTCCAACATGGCTGCACCATTTTACATTTCCCCTATCGGTGGATGAAGGTTCCAATTTATTCACATCCTTGCCAATAGTTATTATTATCCATCTCTTCCATTACAGGTATCCTAGTGGGTATGAAGTGGTGTCTTCCTAGTTTTGATTTGCACGTCTCAGGTTACTCTTGCACATTTGTGTATCTTCTTTGAAGAAAAGTGTATCAATTCTTTGCACATTTTTTATTTGAGTTATTTGTCTTTTTATTACTGAGTTACAAAAGTTCTTTATATATTCTAGATGCAAGTCCTCTATGCAAAGTATGATTTGCAAATATTTTCTCCTATTCTGTGCGTTGTCTTTTTATTTTTTTGATTCACAAAATTTCTTGAAGAACAAAAATTTTACATTTTGTTGGAGTCCAATTTATCTATGCTATCTTTTGTTGTTTATGTACTGTCAATAGCTGAGATTTTGAGAAGGATTGCATTAGAGCTGTAGATCAATTTGGGGAATATTGCCATTGTATCAGTTAGTGTTCCACCAGAGAAAGAATCAGCAGAATGTTTGTTTATTTGCAGGAATTAGCTTAGCAGTTTTGAAGGCTGGCTAGGCAAGTTTGAAATCCATAGAGTAGGTTGCCAATCACAAGAGGCTAGGACTTCTGGGCACAAGCAGAAGCTGCTGTCCATAGGCAAAAGTTTTTCTTCTTCAGAGAACCTTCAATTTTCCTGTCAAAGCTTTTCAACTGATCAGATCAGGTCTATTCATATTATCTAGTGTATGCTCCATTACTTAAAGTCAACTGACTATGGAACTCAGTCACATCTAAAATGCCTTCACAGCAACATCAAGGTTAGTATTTAATTGAATATCTAGGGACTGTAGGCTAGCTAAGTTGACATGTAAGACTAACCACCCCTGTCATTTTGCCAATAATATGTCTTCTGATCCATGAACATGGTATATCTTTCCATTTATTTGAATGTTTTTCATTTCTTTAAACAGTTTTGTAATATTCAGATTACAGAGTATGTGAGAGTATAAGTTTGGTACTTCTTTGATAAATTTCTTCCTAAGTATATATTCTTTTTTATAATATTTTAAATGGATTTGTTTTGTTAATTCTATTTTCAGATTGTTTATTGCTGGTGTCTACAATTGATTTTTGTAAATTGATATTTTATTCTCCAGCCTCACTGTGATATTAGTTCTAACAGTTTTTTGTAGATTCCTTAGGATTTTCTATATATTATGCCATTCTTAAATGTGTTTGCAATATATTAATTTTTGAAGAACATGTAAACATAATCCAAACCATTATGCCTTTCTCATTATGTCTTAGTTTAGCATTACAAAAAATAAAGTAAAATAGATCACTCTTTACTAATAATTTTATTTTGTTTTAAATGAAAATTCACAATATGGTATTAAAATATAAGGTAATCTAAGTACCTAGGCACATAATAAATATATTATTTATTCAGTTATCAACTTCTATTAGCTACTGCTCAATCTAATTCATTATCTTTTTTCTTTTTCTTTGTTTAGGGGAAAGCTGCCACTTCTGCAAATTGTCCTCCTCTTAAGACAGTCTCTTTTGTGACTGCCTTCTGTTCATCTCAAAGAAAGAGCCCAGCACACGGCACCTTGTTTTCACAGGCAGAATCTGCTTCTGTGAGTTTTTTGGGTTTCCTTGGCCTCCTACAAGCCAGTGTGTGTGAGTTCGCATCTCTTATCCCTACATGGTCAATAGTCCTTGAAGGCATCTCCTTGATGTTTTCTGCTCCTTTGCTTGTGTTCCCTTTCCTCCTCCATTGTGACTGCTCTGTAGGACCTTCCTCCTGTCCTGGAGCTCCTGGGGCTCACACCTGTGACCTCTCACCACGGCCACAGCTCCAGGTGATGCCCACATGCCAGGGGCCCACCTGGACCTCCAGCTCAGGTGCTTCCTCTGAGCTCTAGACCAGAACAGCCAAATGACCTGGACATATCTTCCTGAATGTCTAAAAGGCATTGCAGACTCACTTTGCCCAAACCCAACTTGCAAACTTCTCCTCCTAACCTCCCCGACCCCATCCAGTCTGTTATACAAGCAGAAGCCTGGGGAGGTCATTCAGTGCCCCTCCTCCTCCCCCTTCAGTTTCATTCAACCTTCAGGCCTCCCCATTGTCCTGTGATAGCTCACAGTCTGCTGCCTCCTGCCAGCCCCTCCTCCTCCTTTGTCCCTGGCCACCAACACCCAGCCTGGGTGATAGCATTGGCGTCCTCACTAGGCTCCTGTGGCCCTGTCACCGACCCCAAATCTGCTCCCTACACTTCATAGTGGACTTTCAATCCACAGTGGATCCCATCACCCCCTTCTCTGGGTGGAGACACAAATCTGTGCACGGCCATCTGGGCTGGCCTGGGCCCAGCCTCACTCCCTGGCCCATGTCATACATTCCTCTGTCTGCCCTCTGCCCTCCGGCCTCCCATCCTCCTCTTTTCTCCTCAGAATCTGTGTCCTGCACCTGGGAGGCCCTTGGTTAGCTTATCCTCCTCTGCATGTTCCCCATGTCCTCCAGGGATACCATTTTCTCAAGTCAGTTCCCGTTCCAGCCCTCCTGGCCCCATAGCTTCTGCTTCAAACCATTTCCTACAATGTGACTGCAGCAAGTTGGTGAATGTGAAGATACCCAGGCTTGAATCTGATGAGTGTGAGACCCCCAGCCAATGCAGCACACCAAGGGTGTAGCCACTCAGGATAGAAGAGGTGACAACGGCATCTGGGAGACATCTGTCAAGAGGTCTCAAGGCCAAGGTGTGCACTGGCTCTTGCCCCACAGCAGAGTGAGGGGTGCCCCCCCCAAGACCTGACAAGGATTAGTGTCTACCTATCCACAGTGTGTGGCGCCATGGTTGGCAGTGGGGGTAGGGGGCACAAAGTCCTGCCAGGAAAGCACTGGTGAGAGCTCAGGCGAGGGGCCGCTGGCTTGAGACAGCTCCTCTGTGTGTGCAGAGCACACATGTGGGTGCATCCCACTAAGTTCCAGAAGGAAGGGAGAGCCTCTGCAGCCACCACCGAGCCTGCCTGGGGTTGCAGGGTGCTGTGCAGGGTGGGATTCTCCCACATTAAGAGGGAGGGGTGCCCAGTGTCCAGCCAAAGCAGGGGTGCAGCCTGGGCCACGAGCCTCTGTCGAGGTCCCTGCATGGTGCTCCGGAGAACCTGAGTGGGGCTGCAAACTGCACCCATGTCACTCAGCACATGGAGCTGAGAGCCAGAGGCAACCATGAGTGGGTCATGCACTTCCCTGCCACTGCTCTAACAAATGCCCAGAACCCAATGGCTTAGAAGTACAGCAATTTATTCTCTTACCTTTCTAGAGGCAAGAAATTTGAAATGGGACTCACAGGGCTAAAGTCAAGGTGGCTCCTTCTGAAGGCATCCGTGGGGAATCCGCTCCTTTCCTCTTTCCACTTCTTTCTGGCAGCTTCTGCACTTCTGGGCTTGTGGCCACTTCACTCAGGTCCTTGCTCAAGTCACAGGTGGCTGCTCCCCTCTGACCTCTGCCTCCCTCTGGTTCTTTTAATTGGAGATGGTGTTAGAAACCAAGATCTGAACACTGGGTGTGCTCACTGCTACTGCAGTGTCATTGCTCTTGGTCCTCTCAGCAGACAGAGCAAAGGGCAGTGGGCATCTCCAGTTGTCTTGGGGGAAGCAGCTGCCTTGTCCCTAGAAATTGAATAAATGTGATGACATGACAAAACACCTGCAGAACCCCAGGTACGTGGTAGGTGATCACAGAGGGAAGAGTGTTATCGGAGACAAGCCCCAGGAATAACTGAGGGTAAATCAGCCTAACATGGAAGTTAGAAAATATTCTGAGTGAGCAAAAATTAAGAAGGTGCTATTTCTCAGCCTTCTGGCATTGTCTGTATTTGCACGTGTGTGTGTGTGTGAATGTGTCTGGGAATGTACTGTTGTACTATCTGCGAGGTGCTGATATGTCAAGAACATTTCCCCATTTCTTGAACCCTTCACACGATTTTTAATGGCCGTATACTAGTCCATGGAATTGGTACAGCTGGATTTAACTGTCTCTTGATGGGGCATTTAAGCTCTTCCCAGATTTGGTTGTGATTGTTGTGGGTGGTTGTTTTGGCCATTCTGCCTTAGACCCTGAGGACTTTATTGTACTAAAGTTGTGTCTGCTTCTTTGGTTATTTTCTCAGCACATATTTCTAAAAACAGCAATGCCAGGTCAAAAACCTGTACCTTGTCTCTGCCCTTGGTTTCTGTGGCCAAGTTTCTCTTGGGAAGCTGTGTCCGTTTCCCTGTCTACACAGGGCAGGAGGGTTCCCACTTCAGTGCTGCTTCACGAGCAGGAATTCAGTCTTCCAGTTATTTCTAGCAATGGAATAGATTTAAAAAGTATTATTCATTTTTGTGTGTTACTTTGTGTTTATTTAACTTTTCGTGACATTAAAATTGCTTTGATATGTTTAGGGCCGCTTATTCATGTCCTCTGCTCTTTTACTGTTGGGACCTTTTTTCTTACTGCTTTACAAAAGGGAATCAATGTTAAAGGTACAGAAATAAGAAATTTGAGAAAATATCTAGGCTGAATGTTCACATATATTAAATGTTTTTGAAACAAGGCAAGAAAGAAGACCATGTAATACAAAAAAAAATTGCCTTCCCATTAACTCATTCCCCTTTCATTTCAAAGTCAGGCAGGAAGTAAATGAAATAAAGACAAGTTAAAGAAAAAGAGCAGTGACAGCATTAACATCTGTATCCGACATGGTCAGGTTCAATGCAGAGGAAGATGGTGTCAGCGATGGAGACCAGGCTTCCCAAGATCTCATGGCAAAGAACTAGTTTCTTCCTCCGATCTGCTGAGGACCAACACTTTTGCAAAATTCAGTAGAAATGGTACAACAAAGTTGAATTGCTACAACAAAGTTTCTAAACAGTGTACATTATTAAACTTAACTCATGGCAGGCCCCAACAGGTGGTCTGTGGCCCGGGCCAGCCTGTGGACCGCACTCCGTTGCTTTGGAGGAAAATGTGAGATGCTCCCTTGAGCTCAGAGTAGGGGAGACCCTGGACCCAGAATTCAGAGCACTGGGGTGGCTCAGAACCCAGAATGCAGAGCAGGGGGGTGGTCCTGGATCCAGAACACAGATCCGGGCCTGTAGATGCAGATGACAATGCCAGGGCTTCCAAAGTAGACCCACTGCAGAGACACTAACAACATGGTGGGAATGGGGTGGCGGCCTCAAAAGAGAATTCATACTGGATGCTTTTGGGACGTCTGGTCAACCAAACCTAAGCGCTCTCCTTCACATCCCAGCCCAAAATACCTTCCAGGTGAATTACCGAGATCACTGTGAAAATGGGGACATGCATCAACTAGAAGTAACTACAGGCAAGTTCCTCATCTCATCCTATTGTTGAAAAACTAATAAGAAAATAATGAATAAGTTTGACTGCATAAACACAAAAATCCTGCATATCACAACACAAGAAACACAAAGAAAGGTAAATCAATGAAGAAAATCTCCCATCAGACCCTCCAAGGTGCAAGCAAGCAGGATGCTCTAAGGATGCTGGGCGGCATGCTTTCACTTAAAAGGTCAGAATCTAGGCTGGGCGCGGTGGCTCACGCCTGTAATCCCAGCACTTTGGGAGGCCGAGGCAGGCAGATATCTGAGGTCAGGAGTTTGAGATCAGCCTGGCCAACGTGGTGAAACCCCATCTCTACTAAAAATACAAAAATGAGCCGGGTGTGGTGGCACGCACCTGTAATCACAGCTACTCAGAAGGCTGAGGAAGGAGAATCGCTTGAACCCCAGAGGCGGAGATTGCAGTGAGCCGAGATCATGCCATTGTACTCCAACCTAAAAAAAAAAAAAGTCAGAATCTAAGTGTCGGCCCGCAGGGGCAGGGGCAGCCACTCAGACATGCTCCTGTGCTCCCTGCTGCTGGTCTCCCCCAGGTCGTTGTCAGGCTCACTCAGCCACTGCCCCTCCCCTGCCAGCCCAGAAGAGAGACTATGCCTGGCGCCTGGTCAGACAGTGTAGCCCCCGTGGACCCACCAGCAGCCCCTCTCTCCCTTCCCGGCGTCAGTTTCTCCATGGTACTGGTTCTGAGGCAACACTGTTGCTTTGCTCATCTGCGGGTTTGCTGCCTGCCTCTCCCCTAGATGTGGAGCTGCCGGGGCAGTCTGCTTGCACTGCCGTGAACAGTGCTTCCCTGGTCCTGGGGGTGCCCAGCGCAGAGTGTGTTTGTTGGGGACACAAGCAGCACCTGAGCACTCATCTGGGGTGCAGGCCTATATTGGGTCACAGCTCACAGTCAGGAGCACTGGCTGTCCTGCATCTTACTCTGAAAGGAGCTGCAGGGCCGTGGAATCAAAAGGCTGGGGAAGAGTCGGCCTCCGTAATGCCAGCCGGCTCCGGCCTCTGCATTCCCTTCCCTGCACTCGCCCAGCATCAGCCCCGCAATCCTCCCACAGAGATTTTTCACCAGGTTTCCTAGCCCTGGAAGCCAGATCCAGGAGGCCACAGCAGAGCAGGTCCCCGAGAATGGTCCTCAGGTTGGCCCTTCTGCTCCCCTGGACCAGGGGCGAAGGCCCCGCTGGGCTGGCTTTTTGCAGGTGTTTCGTATTCACCTTGGCGGGCATTCTGGGTACGGGACACATTTGCTCACATGCACAGTTTGCCTGCTGTTGTGTTGCCGGACAGAGGGTGGTGCCTGCTGGCCGTGCCGTCTCTCCACAGGGAGTGACCACAGAGCTGGTGCTGGGGACCAGGCAGGCCGAGTCTAGATGCTGCTCTCCCACCTTGAGATTGTGTGTGTGTGTGTGCAGATGTGTGTGAGAGTGTGTATATGTGTGTATTTCTGTATGCATGTATGTGTATATGTGTGAGAGGGTGTTTGTGTGTGTGTGTTTCTGTGTGCCTGTGTGTATATGTGTGTGAGAGTGCGTGTATATGCGTGTGTATGTTGGTTCAGTGTGCATGTGTGTATGTATGTGAGTGTGTGTGTATGTGTGTGTTTGTGTGTGCATATGTGTGAGGGTGTGCGTGTGTGGGGGGATAACAGAAAACATTTGGAAAGTGAGGGAAAAATCGTAAGAGTAGAAACATTTTTCTTAAAAGCAAGAGCAGCACAGACACCAAAGCCGAGAGGGAATGGGTGTTGCTCAAAGGGGTCACTGGGCACAAATGTGAGCCCATCTTATGTTATTCTCTTGGGACATGGGGACCTGAACTGGGGGAGTTCCCGGGGACTCTCAGTGCTCCCTGCCCCAGTTACTACCTGGCCCTGCAATGTTGGAATTTGTGAACAGGGTTTCAGTGAGGAGCAAACAACCAGTGTGAGATCTAAAACCCTCTGGGCTGGACGACCACTACGGGAGAGCTTGTTGAAGAAGGAGGTTCCAGCCTCTCAAGGGCCTTAGAACACAGGCCCTGCAAAGCCTGGCAAACCTAGAGGACCCTGTGTCTGGCTTTCCTGAAAGGATCACAGTTTCGTAAGCAAAGAGCTGACATTCACTGGCCAAGGGCTCACTGTCGTTCCTGTGAATGTCACGTCTAATTCCATGATCCGTCATGCGGAAGGTTTTGACCCCGGCCAGCGGTTCCTCCAGTGACGCTGAACTTGACCAGATGTGAGTGGGCACTCCGCCCACTTCCCTGAAAACACATCAGATCAAATTTCACAGCCCCGCTGTTACTTGTTAATTCTGTTTTTGATTTGTGGCTCTTATTTGACTTTCAGATGAACTTAATAATTGCTTTAAAAGGAGAATTGGAAACACCACACAAGTGGCTTTGTGTTGCTCCAGGCCATCCCAGGCTTTGGAGTTCTTCTTTCCAGAGCCACGGGTGTGTTTTGAATCACAGCTGCCTGCCTGGCCTGCCAAGTGGTGGTTCTGAGCTGAGAGAGAGACCTTCTCTCTCACTTTCTTGGTGCCACATAAGCAGGGCAGCTGCTCTGCAAGAAAGGGGCACAGCCGTTCACAGTCACACCGAAGTGTTTCTGGCAGCACGTGAACTTGACATCCCTGGGCCCAGTGTCTTGCTTTCTGGGATTTTTTTTCTTTTCAGGGAGAAGGAGACGCAGGCACAGCCCACATCCTCAAGCCCACATCCTGGCTCTTCCACACCAGGCACCTGAGAAGTTCAACTCACACCCAAGTTCCACCTGAGCTGGGCTGGTGGTCAGGGCCTGGAGTGAGGAACGGGCTCTGAGTCAGAACTCATGGGTTCCCCACATGCCCCTGACTCGTCCCAGGTGCCCTATGCTGTCTGAACCTCAGTTTCCTCATCTGTAAAACTGAGATCTCTCAGCACGGAGACAGCCCATGGATGGGGGTGGCAGTGCCTGGCAGATTGCAAGCTTTTAATCAACACTAGCAAATAAAAACAAGAATGATGATGGCAGTAATTGACATTTAGACATGCTGTGATGTTGCCAGTACAGTGCTACCCTCTGACCACTACAGCAGACCCCTGAGGACGTGGGCGATGCATCCTGTTCTGCGCAAGGACACCGAGCTGGGCCAGGTAACAACTCGTCCTGGGCCACGGGTGGGCGGGCGGCAAGGCAGGATCAATGCTGAATGTTTGCAGCTGGGCCCAGCTGACTATCGCTGCGGACCCTCAGGCTTCTCTCACTGCCTCCCAGAGGCGCAGGCCTGAACTGATGCCTGGGGAGCTGTGTGAGGTGTGCGGCCCCAGGACGTCAGGGCCTGTGAGACCGGGCACCGCGGCTCCACCATTTCGTGGGTTAGGGCGTGCCACACAGCACCACCGGCAAGGGCGCGAGGGGGCCGAGGAAGGCAGCTGTCTCCACAGGAAAGGTGGCTTTTCTGGATGATGTTATGTTTTGTTTTCCACATAAATTAAAATACAGGTGGGAGAGGATTGAGCTAGGTGAGATGATTTGCTGAGGTCACACAGATGTAAACAGCAGGGCCAGGATTGAACAGGAATCTTTCTAGCCCTAAAGCACATTTCGAAGACGTTAAGATGCCCTCAATTTAAAGACAGAGCCCTGAGTATTTTCCAGGGAAAAAAAATTCCCAAACAGAAACATGACTACATGAACTACACACACTATCTGAAGACACATCAGAAGATCTGAAAACAGGAAGAAAAGGATTTGCGACTTCCAGCTGGGAAAACGGGATGGATATATGTGTGGCATAGAGACATTTGCCTATACTCAGCCATCTCCCTTCTCCTGGCCCTGCCACTGCCTGGGACAGGTACTGAAAGAACCCCAGGATCTCAGCTTAGGCAAAGTTACATTAATTAGAAGTGCTTGGGCAGGGAAGAGTGGAGGAAAGGTCGTGAACTTGGAGGGGGGAAGCAAAGGTTTTGTGAGAGCTGTACTCAGAGCAGCCAGCTGGGTGCCCATTCATCCAGGTGACTGTCCATCCAGGTGACCATCCATCCAGGTGACGGTCTAGCTGGTTGACAATCCATCCAGGTGACTGTCTAGTCGGGTGACCATCTATCCAGGTGACCATCCATCCAGGTGACTGTCTAGCCAGGTGACCATTCATCCAGGTGACTGTCCATCCAGGTGACCATCCATCCAGGTGACGGTCTAGCTGGTTGACAATCCATTCAGGTGACTGTCTAGCCGGGTGACCATCTATCCAGGTGACCATCCATCCAGGTGACTGTATAGCCGGGTGACCATCTATCCAGATAACCATCCATCCAGGTGACTGTCTAGCCAGGCGACCATCTATCCAGGTGACCATCCATCCAGGTGACTGTCTAGTCATGTGACCATCAATCCAGGTGACCATCCGTCCAGGTGACTGTCCATCCAGGTGACCATCCATCCAGGTGACCATCCATCCAGGTGACTATCTAGCTGGGTGACCATCTATCCAGGTGAACATCCATCCAGGTGACTGTCTAGCCAGGCGACCATCTGTCCAGGTGACTGTCCATCCAGGTGACTATCTAGCCAGGTGACCATCTATCCAGGTGAACATATATCCAGGTGACTGTCTAGCCGGGTGACCATCTATCCAGGTGACCATCCATCCAGGTGACTATCTAGCCGGGTGACCATCTATCCAGGTGAACATACATCCAGGTGACTGTCTAGCCGGGTGACTATCTATCCAGGTGACCATCCGTCCAGGTGACTGTCCATCCAGGTGGCCATCCATCCAGGTGACTATCTAGCCGGGTGACCATCTATCCAGGTGAACATCCATCCAGGTGACTGTATAGCCGGGTGACCATCTATCCATGTGACCATCCATCCAGGTGACCATCCATCCAGGTGACCATCCATCCAGATGACCATCCATCCAGGTGACTGTCTGTCAGGTGACCATCCATCCAGGTGACTGTCTAGCCAGGCTACCATCTATCCAGGTGACCATCCGTCCAGGTGACTGTCCATCCAGGTGACCATCCGTCCAGGTGACCATCCATCCAGGTGACTATCTAGCTGGGTGACCATCTATCCAGGTAAACATCCATCCAGGCGACTGTCTAGCTGGGTGACCATCTATCCAGGTGACCATCCGTCCAGGTGACTGTCCATCCAGGTGACCATCCATCCAGGTGACTATCTAGCTGGGTGACCATCTATCCAGGTGACCATCCATCCAGGTGACCATCCATCCAGGTGACTATCTAGCCGGGTGACCATCTATCCAGGTGACCATCCATCCAGGTGACCATCTATCCAGGTGAACATCCATCCAGGTGACTGTCTAGCCAGGTGACCATCTATCCAGGTGACCATCCGTCCAGGTGACCGTCCATCCAGGTGGCCATCCAGCCGGGTGACTGTCCATCCAGGTGACCATCCATCTAGGTGACCATCCATCCAGGTGACTGTCTAGATGGGTGACCATCCAGGTGACTGTCTAGCTGGCTGACCATCCATCCAGGTGTCCACCCAGCCAGGTGATTGTCTAGCGAGGTGACCATCTAGGTGACTGTCTGGCGGGGTGACCGTCTATCCAGGTGTCCGTCCATCCAGGTGACTGTCCAGTTGGGTGGCCATCCCCTGCATCTATAAACCACATGAAACTGTTCACCTCATGGGGTGTCCTGAGGACACCATGAAGCCACGGACATGGGAGGATTGAACCTGAGCTGGCAGGAGTCACCTTGGGGTTTGCTCGTTGAGTCTGGATTGGGAAAAATAAGCAAAAGCAAACAAAGCACATGCACTCAGGCGGAGCTGGACTCCTTCTGCCCGGAGGGCTTGGCTGGGCAGGTCTGTAGAGTCGGAGGATGAACAAGGAGCCGCTCCTCTGCCACGGCCTCCACGGCCCTTCCTCTCCTTGCAGCCGGGCCATGCATCCCTTCCATCCCGTTCCCATTAGACACTTTAAAGTGGTTCCAGAGTTGGATTTCAGCTGTGAAACCACAGTGCCTCAACCTAGACTTCGCCCCACGCCAGTGCCTTCTGGAAGGGAGAACGCACCGGCCCGGCCAGGGTTTCCATTCAGATTGGACTCCTGCCCTGGTCTCAGTCCTGATCCAGGATTTCAGAAAAGGAATCTGTCCCCAGAAGAACTGCAGGTCAGACCCTCTCGATGTGAGGCTGCCCACAACATGGGTGCTGGCATCGGGGAGGCTTGAAGGGGAGCTGGGGCATGGGCAGACCCTCTCGATGTGAGGCTGCCCGCAACAGTGGTGCTGGCATTGGGGAGGCTTGGAGGGGAGCTGAGGCATGGGCAGACCCTCTCGCTGTGAGGCTGCCCGCAATAGCGGTGCTGGCATCAGGAGGTTTGGAGGGGAACTGGGGCATGGGTGGACCCTCTCAGTGTGAGGCTGCCTGCAACAGCGGTGCTGGCATCGGGAGATTTGGAGGGGAGCTAGGACATGAGCCAATGGTGACCCCATGACAATGTGGCCGGGTTTAGAGCTGGCATGCCCCTTCCCTTGTGTCAGGAGATGGCCTTGGACTTGGGGAGCAGGGCCTCTGGAGCACCCTGGTGCCAGCTAAGGGCCTCTGAGCCTGGCCCAGGCCCGAGAGGAATTCAAGATGGCCAAAGAGATGCAGAGGCAGGGCCTGCCCTGGCAGGGGCCTCCTTCTGCTCTAGGGAACAGACTTAGATGAGGGGCCGACCCACAGTTATTGATTCAAAAAGTAACCTCGGCCCATGTGGGGATGGTGTCATTTCTGGGTTTTTTCCCTTTATGTGGAGACAAGGAAAGGGCAGAACAATCGTGGAAAAATTCCAGGAAATAATTCTCAGTGTGTGAGTCCTTCAGAGAGGCATTTTCTTCCGAGTAGCAGCTTCCTGCTCTCAATAGAGGCCCCATCAGGGTCCCAGGGACCCACTCTGGGTCTTCAGCACCTGCATCTGAGACCTGTGATAGGGAGTGAGCTCTGCAGTAATGTCCGGGGAGCTGTTGTCTCTGGGAATTGCCTTCAGTCAGGTGAAGTCGCCTTGCCCCAGGCTACTCCCCTGCCTGGGGGGCAGCTCTTGGCCGGCGATGGACCCAGAGCCACCCCCACATTGGGCTGGGGCAACCCCAATGCACCCTCACCGGATTTCAGAGGCCTCTGTCACTGTGACGCAGCAGCCCCATTCTCCCTGCCCCACCCAGGCCCTGGTGTGATCAACGATTCACAAACCTCGCGCCTCAGAGTCTAACCTAAGATGAGGATCCGCCCCAGCAACCTCATCTCATTTATTCTTTTGATTAATTTATATCGAAAAGAATACTGTTCAGAGGGGCACGTGAAGCTTTTCGTCTCATCAGCACCGGAGAGGATTTCCACTCCAGAAAGGGCCTGAGAGGTGACGTAGTCCAAATCCCCAGTGTTACAGAAACTGAGGCCTAGAGAGAGTGAGTCGCTCCGGGGACACCTGGATTCTGGAGCCTGCTCCTGGATATACAGGTGGGGGCTGGGGGCTTGGACGTGTTGGGGCTGCCCTGCAGGACAGGAAATGGGTGGTCCAGGAGATGTCTGAAGCATGGGACCCTGGACTGAGACCACAGAGGCAGAGAGACGTCCCCACAGCCTGAGAGGTGCGGAAAGCGCCTGTGGAGCCATCTGGTCTGTCACAGCTCCACAGGGCCAGAGGGCCCTGCTCCCGGGATAGGCAGGCAGGATGAGAGCCCGGCAGCACCGGGCCACACGCTGCACCTTGTGTGGATGCCTGGAGCTGTCAACAGCCCGTCAGGAGATCCGTCTCAGAGGAGTCCAGCACCCGCCCACAGTCACGCAACTGGGGATGGATGGAGCTGGAATTTGGGATGGACTACTGGCCTTCGAAGCTGATGGCTGCACCCCACACCATTCAGGTGGGGTCCTGGAGCTCTGGAGGGCTCCACAGCCTGGGGAGGTCTCCCCATCCAGCTGCCTCCTTGTTTCCCACAGCTGAGGGAGGCAGCCCCGGCCTTGAGGTGCAGGGGGAGTTCCATGCTCAACCCCACAGCTAAGGGTGGTGGCCTGAGGGTCCTTGCAGGCCTCAGTGTCCGGGTGTTGGCTGTAGCAGAGGACACACCTGGCCCTGCAGGAGATGTGGTCAGTGATGGTGCATCTCTGTGGGCTGAGTGACCCGGCCCCACTCAGGTGGTACCTGAGCCTCGGGGGGTGACCCGCCTGCCCACATCATCAGGCAGGCCCCAGAGAGGGCAGCAGCTCCATGTGCATGACAGCACTCGGCCCAGTGGGGATGGCCAAAGTCCAGCTGAGGTGACACCATGCCCTCCCATGAGAAATACCTGGACACTGGGGCATTGAGGGGTGGGGAGGGGCGCTGAAGGGCTGGCACATGGGGGAAGACGGCTGTCATTCTCCTGTCTGGTGTGTGATAGGGCCATGGAGTGGGGGCTGGGCATCGGAGAGGCACGGCCTCCTGCTTTCCAGCTGGCAGAAGGTGGACAGGGACGGTGGCCAGCACAGACGAGGGGCAGGTGGAGAAGGCGGGCGCAGCAAAGTGGACAGATTGTGGCCCATGTCTCTAATACATGGAAGGGAAAGGAGGGACACATGGACACTTCCAAGCTGGAGGTCTCTTCTCAAGGGCTGGGACTTGTGTGTCCAGAAAGCCTCCTGCTCTGTCCTAGAACTGCAGTGCAGGGATGCGTTTGCCTTGCAGGTCCCACTGGGGGCCCAGAGAAGCACGCACAGCCTGAAGGCCCTGGGAGCGGCTGCTGGGCCCAGGACAAGGCTTTCGTGAGGATGTCAGGCCTGCTTTCCAGGGCCAACTGCCAGCTCCACAGTGGTACCTCTTGCACCCTGTGATTTGCATGCCTTAGGAAACGCCCTGCCCTCTACTGTACTTGTGGAAACTGCTTTCAGGGGACATTAAAGGTGGCAGAGGACTCAAGGGCATGAGGCTGTAGCACACTCCCCTGGATGAGTCCCAGCTGCCCTGGGACTTGGGAACTGCAGTGCCTTGCCCCAGGGTCACCAGCTGTCAGGTGCAACACTGGGACCTCTAGACCTCCAACTCCAGGCTCCTCTGTGGCTCTTCCAAGTTGTCCTGCCCAGAACACTGAGGGGCCACTGCCCACCTCCTGATTGCTCTTGCCCTAGGCACCAGGCCCTTGCTTGTGCAGCTGTGTGTGAGTGAGCATGTGTGTGTGATCATGCGAGTGAGCAAGTGTGTGTGTGACTGTGTGTGCGCATGAGCGTGCATAAGTGTATGAGCATGTGTGTGTGCATGTGTGAGAGTGCATGTGAGTGTGTGTGAGCATTGTGAGTGTACGTGTGAGTGTGCTTGACTGCATGAGTGTGCATGTGTGAGCATGTGTGTGCATGTGTGTGCATGTGAGTGTGCATAAGTGTAAGCGTGTGTGTGAGCATTGTGAGTGTACTTGTGTGAGTGTCCAGGACTGCATGAGTGTGCATAAGTGTGTGAGCATGTGTGTGCATGTGCGTAAACATGCATGTGAGCATGCATAAGTGTGTGAGCTGTGTGTGCACGTGTGCATGTATGTGAGCATGCATGTGTGTGAGCATGTGCGAGTGTACGTGTGTGAGTGTGCATAACTGCATGAGCTTGCATGAGGGTGTGTGAGTGTGTGTGAGCGAGCTCAGTCGCCAGCTGAGCAGCATCTGCAGTCACCTGTTTGGGTCCTGGAAGGGGTCACATGCCTAGGTCCTTGTTGGCTTCACCTGCCTGGTGGATAGTCCTGGTGTGGATGGGTCTTCTTCTTGGGTCCCTAAGCTATTGTGCCACTTCTTGGGCGCTTGGTCCTCAGCTCTTGCCCGTGCTTTGCTCTGCTCTGCCATGCTGGGCTGGGCCGGGCCCTGCAAACCCTGTCTCTCCTTAGCCAGCTGCTCCGGGAGGCCGTGCCGAGAAAACTCACCCCGCCTATCTTGGCTTCTCTGAGCCTCTCCCCAGGAGCTCCTCTTGGCCGAGTTTAAGCCTCGGGAAGGCTGAGCTGCCGCTGTGTCCCCACTCTGTTGGAAGGAGACCTTGTTGCCCTGAGAATCCCGGGGCCAAGGACGGGACTCAGCAGGGAATTTTCTCCCCAGGAGCCAGGTGGGCATCTGCAGGTGTTTGCCTGCAGGGACTTGGCTAAAAGGAGCCATTGAGAGGTTGGGTTAATTGGCATCTTCCCACCCACCCGTAGGAGTTTTCTGGAGTGGGGTGCTCTGTAGGAGGTCATGACGCTCATTTTCCCCTTGTTAATGCATCGCTGACTTAGCCTACCTGGGGAATGTGGGGTTGGCCCACTGTTTCCCAGCCATACCTGGGAATGTCTCGATCTGTGCCTTTCTGCCCTCGGATCCCAGTGCTTCTGCTCCTCCCCCTCCTGCCAATTGTGTGGGCACCCGACGCCTGTCTCCCCGCTGCCAGGAGAGGCTGATGCAGGTGGAGACAAGGCAGAGACAGGAGGAGGCCCCGAGTTTACAGCAGGTCAACAGCCCTGGGCAGTTACAGTCAGTCGATTGTGCCCACAGGTGCCATGCAGAAACCTACCTGCAGTTCCGCCCTGAGTCCAGATGAGACTGCAGGAGCCTTCCTGGGAGAGGCGCTCATTTACCCAGAGGCTCTAGAATGGGGAGCAGGTTGCCTCAAACAGGCTGATGGGAGTGACTGGGCAGTGGGCACCAGGGGAGCCTGAGGAGGGAAGGGACACCTCTACCCTTGTGGGGCCATCTGAGTTGCCACATCACACAGACCCTGAGCATAGAGGGCAGTCCTGGGAGGTGTAGGGAGCTGGCAATTAGGCTACATCCATCCCTGCCTTCAGCGCTCCGGAGCAGCTGGGGCCTCTCCTCATGCTAATTACAGGAATGTTAGCCCCAGCTACGGGGTGCCAGCACCCAGCAGGCCCTCTTCGTCCTGTGGCTACAGCTGCCTCCACCCTGGTGCAGCTTCAGGAGGGAGAAGGTGAGTGAGGGAGGAGTGGCGTCCATGCTGGCCAGAGCGCCGGAGTCCTGCCCACTATGTGGGCCATCAGGTGACAAGATCCTGCCAGCACCGGCGTGCGTGTGGACCGGCCATTTGCACCTTTGTGGTGCCTGGTGTGGATGACTTCATGGACCACTGCCTGGGTCCCAGATGGGGTAACCTGCCTGGGTCTGGAGGAGGTCACTTGTCTGAGACCTGGATGGGGCCACCTGAGTCTGGATGCAGCCTCCAGCCTGGGCCTGGGTGGGGTTACTTGTTTGGGTCCTGGAAGGGGTCATATGCCTAGGTCCTTGTTGGGTTCACCTGCCTGGTGGACAGCCCTGGTGTGGAAGGGTCTTCTTCCTGGGTCCCTAAGCTACCGTGACTCTGCTGCCTGTTCTATGATGGGTGCTCTTCCAGCTGGCTCCAGGGAATCCTCCTCACCCTGGGGTGAGAGCTGAGCATTTGACCTCACAAACTGAGCCCTGCAAAAGGCCTCTCAGACATGGGGGCCACACCCCTGCAGGGGCACTCCCGTCCGCTCCTCTGGGTCAACTGTTCACCCAGAGGGCAGCACTGTGCCCAGGACTCAGGGACTGGGTGAATCTGCCCCTGTAGGTGACAGTAAATTGCAGACGAGCCCGCAAGCCTGTTCCGGAGCCTGAGCAAAGAGGAACAGTTGTGTTTAAAGAAAGACTCGGCCTGTCGGAGGGGCGGTGCTCAGCTTGGGAATGAGGAATGTGAAGAGCCCGCCTGCGGCTAGTGTGGGGAGGGTGCTCTTGGAGACGGGCCCTCCAGCACCTCTTCCCCAGGGAACACGGAGGCACTTGCTCATCTCTTGGCAGGCTCAGGGCCCACAGCTGAGATCAGGGCTGTGCAGACCCGGACACAAGCCCGTGAGGACAACACAGCCCCACTGCGACCCCCATCAGCTGGGCGGACATCAGAAGACAGTAATGCAGCTCCCTGCGATGTGGCCTGCCCGTGAGGTAAGGGAGGTCTCAGGGACACCTGGCTCCACCACAGCGATGGGAAGCTTCTCCATGGAAGTGACTCCCATCTGAAGTCCCACCCATGGTCTGCTGTAATTCTGCGCCCACATCAGCACCATGGCCTTCCAAGCCTGTACGTCAGTCTCCTGAGTTTGGCTGATGAGGCTGACCTGAAAGACAGGGCCTGGCTCTCAATCTGTGGGAAGAGGTCCAGCCTCTGAACCTGCAGGATTGAGCCCTTGGGTGTCGAGGCCTTGCTATGGTCAAGCATGTGATGAACATGCCCAGAGTAGCAGGGGTGGCAGGCCCCAGGGTACAGCTGCTGGTGTTCAGGCATAGCGGGTGGCCAAGGCCTGCCTTGCCCTGTGGGGATCCCACGGCCTCTGATGGTCAGCACTCCCTGTGCAGCAAGCAGCTGGCCCACACCAGCCCTCCTCTGTCAGCCCCTTGGCTGGCCGGCCTGGCCTCCCCATCCTGCAGTGAGAAGGTGGAGGCCGCGTGGCCCCAGGTGTGCGCCAAGGCTGAGATTCCCAGTCCTCTCTGCCTCCCCGTGCATCCAGGGCTGGAGCCATGATGCAGGCTGAACCCCGAGGGAAGTGCCCACCCCGTCTGGCTCAGTGCCCTCTGCAGTTCGTGAGGGCTCAGGACATTGTCTGACCATGGTGCTTGTTTTACCAGGCACAGGTCTGAGATAGACAGCAGAGGAGCACACACGGCCGGAGGGCATAAGCCAGCAAGGAAGTTTTCTTGCTTCATTTTACCCGGGCCTAACGAGCCGTCTGCCACTCACGAACAAAAGCCCAGGGTTCCCAGACAGGCTCGCACCTGCTGGGAGGGCCAGGCCCTGTGCAGGGCAGAGTGCTTCTGTGCCGAGCCCTGAGGGGCCCACTGTGCTTCTGGAGGGGAGGTTATGGGGAGCCAGCACCCGACAGGCCATCCTCATCCTCTGGCTGCCTGAGCCCCTGGCCAGGGCACCCACTTCTCACAGAGAGCAACCTCCACCCGGGTGCAGCATCAGGTGGGTGTCGGGTGAGTGAGGAGAGAGTGCAGCCGGGCCAGAGCGGCAGAGTCCTGTCTGCCATGTGGGTCACCAGGTGACAGGGTCCTGCTAGCACCTGCGTGTATGTGGTCCAGCCGTTTATCTCGGGTGAGCTCACCTCCACCCACACCCTCACCCCTGGGCTCCTTGCACCTGCCCTTTCTTGTTGTTCAGTGGCTGCCTCAGTGATGGGCCGCTGGTGCTTCCCGGGCACCTCGCAGATGTCCATTCATCTGACCCCTAGGACAACCCACACTCTCATTACCCAGTTCTACAAATAGGCAGCTGGGGCTCAGAGCAGCCGAGGCCCTCCCCACCTCAGGCTGCTCACCTGTGGAACAGGCTCACAGCACTGGCCTCAGAGGGCCACTCAGAGCAATGGCAAGCAGGAGCACTCCACAGCCTTGCGGGCAGCACTGCAGCTCCACGTCTGCCTGAGCATCCTGGCGTCTGGGATTAAAAGGGCTGAAGAGCCTGCCTGTTTGAGACTCCTCCCCGAGATGCCCCCACCCTGTGATTTTCAAGGGCAATGAGTGGAGGGGCACCTTGGCTTTGCAGGACGCCCAGCTGGGCACAAACGCAAAGGAGCCAGGTGTCCAGTGGGCCTCCCGTCTTCCTGGCTGCTTCGCAGAAGGGAGCCAACAGGCAGTGACTGCTTTAGCATCCAACTCTGCCCTGGGCCTTTGAGTTCAGCACCAGCAAGTCCAGCTCTCCTCCTCCTCGCGGCGTAGCTCTGGCGGCGCTCCATCAATGCTGGTGGAAAGAGTCCCAGGAGGATGACTGGGGCTGAGGTCGGCCATCACGGGCCTGCTCCCTGTGCACAGGCAGGGACAGTTGTCCGAGAGGCGCTGGGCTGTCTCTGCCGAGCCCCGGCCCCAGCACGCGCTCTCCCGGCTGGAACTGTTACTACGCAGGAGGGGAACATGCGTGTGTGTGGAGGGGGACCTGTGAGCGGAGGATGTAGAGAGACAGCTGAGAACTGTGAGACAGCGCCAGTCCCCAAGGCCCCAGTGGCTGTGTGGAGGTCAGAGGTGCTGCCGTGTGGTCCCGTCTCATGGAGACAGTGGCCGTGCTCCTGACCCCAGGCCAGTGCCTGCAGCCCCTTCCTTCCTTGCCTGCCTGATCACACAAGCATTAGCAAGATGATTCTGCTCCTGTCTTGAAAAGTGTTCTTTCAGCACGGACCTCCGTCTGTTACGTTCAGAAACGACATGACTCTCATCACCCATGAAACGACGGGGCTCTCATCACCCATGAAACGACGTGGCTCTCATCACCCATGAAACGATGGGACTCTCATCACCCATGAAACGCGATCATTACTGGGCAGTTTTCTCCCCTCTCCAGCACAGACCCAGCCACGGGCCAGGAGGTTGATCAGGCTCAGAGGTTTGATCTAATCTCACAGGGGCAGTCTGGGGCTGGCGTTCAGGTGCCATCGGGCATGGGGCTGAGGTGTGAAGCAGCTTGTGAATTCACTGGCTGAAACCAGTTCTGCCCAGACCTTCTCACCAGATCAAGACCTTCCTGCGATTTTCATTTTGTCACACTCAGCATCAGTTTTTCAAACTCTTGGGTCCTTAATGTTCCTAATGCCCTGCCTGACAACTGCCTGACACCTGCCCATGGAACGTTCCCTTATGTTGAGAAAAAGGTCGGAGAACCGCCAACGCGGCCGGGAGACCAGGCCAGGTGGGTCGGGCCCCTGGAGCTCTGGGTGGGCTCAGCCTCCTGCAGGACCTGGGGCCTGCTGTGGGTGGGGGAAGCTCCAGCCAGCTCCGAGGGTCCCCTGGGGGCTGCGGGGTCTAACCTGAGGGCGGGGCTGTCTGAATCCCAGGGGAAGCCTGTCGGGATCCCAGGGCACCTTCGGTCCTTCGTACGTGGGGAAACCTGGCCTCTCACAAGCGCTTCCCCTGCTGCTAGGACCTGAGGAGCACCGGGTGGGGCAGAGGGAGGCGGGGTGGGGCCACCTCCTTTCCAGTCCTACCTTTGAGCTGTGTGACTTTGAACAGCAGCTCAGCCCTTTGGGACAGTCCTGCTCGTGGGGTGGGGTTGAAGGAGATCAGGCCAGTGGGTATTTGGAGACACACCCTGTCCCAGGGCCTTCTGGCAGAGAGGTTGGTGAGGCCGTGGGCAGGGAGGTGCTACCTGAGGAGGAGGACGGGTCCAACTCCTAGCCCCAAAGCCTCAGGCAGGCACTGCCACAGGTGAGCATAGGCCCTGCCAGGCTGGTCAGCTCTGAGCCATGTGCCAGAGGCCAGGGCAGCCCTCGGGGTGGCAAGGGAAAGGGGTTCTCAGCTGGGGTGCCCTGGCTCAGGGGTTCCACCCTGACCCGCTGACACTCCGCTTCCCGGGGTCCTTGGGGATGAGAACTTCCCTGCCTGGGATCATTGCTGCTGGCGTTGGAAGGGACCGTGTCATTAAAGCTCTTTCTTGATCCCTGGGTGAGGTAGAAAGAAATCTGGGGGCCTGGGGCGAGGCTGGATTTACAGGGTGGTGTGCCGGGCTCACTCTGGAGCTTCCTCCAGTGGTGCAGGAAGCCGAGGTGCAGGAGGCAGGCTTGGAGGGCTGCTGGTGTGGATGGGACCCCAAGCTGATGGAGAAGGTGGGTGGTTAGCCCTGACTGCGGCTCTCCAAACAGACTGAGACCAGCCCCAGCCCCTTCAGCCCTCTACCCTGGACATCACATGGGCTTCCTGCTTCTCCATTTCCCCAGCATCAAATGGAGGCCGTGAGTTTACCCAGTGGGCTTCAGAGGCGTCCACGGGAAGAAAGCTGTGACCACCACTGGAGGAAGCAGCACTGCAGCCACGACCGTGTGCTCCTCACAGGCTCTGCACCTTCTCCAACTGCTGTGTGACCTTGGGGAGTTCCCCTGACGTCTCTGTGCGGTACTGCAGCCACGACCGTGTGCTCCTCACAGGCTCTGCACCTTCTCCAACTGCTGTGTGACCTTGGGGAGTTCCCCTGACCTCTCTGTGCGGTACTGCAGCCACGACCGTGTGCTCCTCACAGGCTCTGCACCTTCTCCAACTGCTGTGTGACCTTGGGGAGTTCCCCTGAACTTGACCTCTCTGTGCGGTACTGCAGCCACGACTGTGTGCTCCTCATGGGGCTCTGCACCTTCTCCAACCGCTGTGTGACCTTGGGGAGTTCCCCTGACCTCTCTGTGCGGTACTGCAGCCACGACTGTGTGCTCCTCATGGGGCTCTGCACCTTCTCCAACAGCTGTTAGGGAGTTCAGAACTGCAACAGAACTTGGGGAGTTCCCCTGCCCTCTCTGTGCGGAGGCTTCTTTGTCTGCACAAGGGGAATAATACTATGGTCCATGAGATATTGTGTGTAAAGCCTCGGCACCACACCTGGGGCTTCATCTGTGCTCAAAAAGTTAGATATTGTCGTTTTACTTATGCTGATAATTATGTCTCTTTTCTCCCACATCTGTCTACCTCACATCTGGTCCTGCCCGACGGTCTTATCGCTTCATCGATGGTAGGTTCTGGATTCCCCATTGCTCCCCCTGGCCCTGCTCCAGCCTCTGCGGGTCTCTCTGCTTCCCGGCTGGGTGACCTCTCCTGCTTTGTTTCTGCTGGTCTCTGCAGCCAGGCTCCCAGCCCCTGTCCTATCTTCCTGAGTCCTGCCCTTCCTCAAGGGTCTCATTGCCTTTCCTAATTGTATCCTCATCCCAACAGGATCACCACCCACCCCTGGATGTCCACAGTCATTGTCCTGCCCGCCCTGGACACTGCCTGCTTTGCATTGCGATCATGACACCCAAGATGTGGCTCCCACAGAGTCCCATGGGATTCGTCCTTGATTCATTCCTGAGCTTTTCCCACCATGGGGTTTGGGGGAGCATCTGCTGGTGAAGCCAGGAAGCAGGGAGACGACGGAGGAACAGTGGAACAAGAAGAGGGAAGCTTGGGCCTGGAGGGTGTGTGGGCCTTCATCTCAGCCCCAGAGTGCATCTTGTGGGTCGTGGAGGGCGTTGGGGTCCTGTTTGGGTTTAAGTAGACCAATCACCAGGTGCCCGCCTGTTTACATTCCAATGTGCGGTGCATTCACTCAGACCTCGGCCAGGCTCCTGGTGGCCACTGGGAGCGCACTCCTGGCTCCAGTGGGCCTTCCAGACCCCAGGGCTGAGCAGTGACCCCCTGTGCCCTCCAGAGCGCTGACTCTTCTGTGCCAAGGCTGCTGGGAAGGAAGGACCCAGGGTACGGGTAAGGTGTGACCCCCATATGCCAAACGTGTTTCCCTACAGAGAAGACTACAGCAGAGTTTGGAGGAGGGTTGTGGTCATGAGACAGACGGGAAGGGCTCACACTCAGAAACATGCAATCAGGCAGGGCAGAGATGCGGGCAGCAGGACTGGCCACTGGCCCCAATAGGTGCTGGTGAGCTGGGCAGACACTCGAGGTCTTCTTCCCACCCTCCTTCCTCCCCTCCACCTCCCACCCTCCACCTCCCACCCTCCACCTCCCACCTCCCACCCTCCCACTCCACCCCCAACCCTCCTTCCTCCCCTCCACCTCTCACCTTTCACCTCCCACCCTCCACCTACAACCTCACCCTCCCACCCTCCACCTGCCACCTTCCTTCCTCCCTCCACCCTCCACCCTCTCCTTCCTCCACCTTCTACCTTCAACCTTCCTTCCTATCCTCCACCTTCACCCTCTACCATCCTTGCTGCCCTCCAGCCTCCTCCCTGCCAGGCCAGTGAGGCACCCATCCTGCCTCCTTGGACCCACAGGGAATTCTCCAGAGCCTCTCCAGAGCACGGACCTGGAGGGATACAAGCCGGCTCCTGCAAGGGGACACACACAGGTTTCCCTCCTCAAGTTCTCCCATGCTGGGTGGCTTCCTAAAGGCATGGGCTCTGACCCCAAGAGTCCTTGGGTGATGCCTGAGCCTCATGCTGGGCACAGCTGTGAACCACCGGGGTGGCAGGGGTGGTCACGTTGGCAATGCCTCCTGTGCTCCTCCACCCCTCCTGAAGCGGGTGAGAGTGCTCCCTGCTCTCAGGACCTCTGACCAGCATGGGGCAAAACCCAGAGCTCCACCTGGGGACCCTGTGTTTCCCCGGCACCCTCGAGGCTTGGGAGCCCCCAGCACTGAGCTCTCTCATTCCCACTCCCCAGTCAAAAGAAGGAAGAAGGATTCATGCTCGGGAACCCTGCAGCCTGGGAGGGTGGGGAGGGACACTGGCCTCACCTGGCAGACCTGCAGCAGAAGGACACTCAAGTCCAGGGCCCTGGAACAGGAAACGGAGGAGTCCAGGCCCCTGGAATAGTGAACGGGGTGTCCAGACCCCTGGAATAGTGAGTGGGGGTGTCCAGGGCCGACCACTAGTGAGTGGAGTTCAGGCCCCTGGAATACTGAGTAGAGGAGTCCAGGGGTCTGGATTGGTGAACTGAGGAGTCCACGGCCCCTGGAATAGTGAACGCAGGAGTTCAGGGCCCTGGAATAGTGAGTAGAGGAGTTCAGGACCCTGGAATATTGAGTGGAGGGGTTAAGGGCCCTGGAATAGCGAGTGGAGGGGTTCAGGGCCCTGGAATAGTGAGTGGAGGAGTCCAGGGCCCTGGAATAGGGAGTGGAGGGGCTCAGGGCCCTGGAATAGGGAGTGGAGGAGTTCAGGACCCTGGAATAGTGAGTGGAGGGGTTCAGGACCCTGGAATAGTGAGTGGAGGGGTTCAGGACCCTGGAATAGTGAGTGGAGGGGTTCAGGGCCTTGGAACACTGAATGGAGGAGTTCAGGGCCCTGGAATAGGGAGTGGAGGAGTTCAGAGCCCTGGAATAGGGAGTGGAGGAGTCCAGGGCCCTGGAATAGGGAGTGGAGGGGCTCAGGGCCCTGGAATAGTGAGTGGAGGGGTTCAGGACCCTGGAATAGTGAGTGGAGGGGTTCAGGACCCTGGAATAGTGAGTGGAGGGGTTCAGGACCCTGGAATAGTGAGTGGAGGGGTTCAGGACCCTGGAATAGTGAATGGAGGAGTCCAGGACCCTGGAATAGTGAGTGGAGGGGTTCAGGGCCTTGGAACACTGAATGGAGGAGTTCAGGGCCCTGGAATAGGGAGTGGAGGAGTTCAGAGCCCTGGAATAGGGAGTGGAGGGGTTCAGGACCCTGGAATAGTGAACGGGGCAGTCCAGCTCTACAGCAGGTCTGGTCCCTCCAATCCATGTCCTTAGCCCCAATCCTCACAGAGACTCATGCTGGCCCACAGACAGCAAACACGGATGGAGAGAAGGCAGTGTCCAGGCCCCGTGTCAATGGCTGGAGTGTGCTAATTCACAAAAAGCTTCAGCCCATCCCTTCTCTAAGCGCCTAATCTCTACCAGTGGAGCAAAAAGTTTAAAAAACAGCCTATCTTCTCCCCAACTCAACTCCCAGCCAAAGCTCAGGCCTCAAGGAAGGGGACCCCATTCCACACTACACCTCTGGGGGAAAGGGAAGGGTGGCTCCTGCTTTAGCTCTTATGGAACTGCTGTGTGACTTTGGCCAAGTCACTGCCCCCTCTCTGATGCTTAGTTTCTCCCTTGGTGGCGGCTGAGGCTGAATGAAGGCAGCAACACGTCATGTTGTATTAGCCCATTCTCATGCTGCCATAAAGACATACCCCAGACTGGGTAATTTATACAGGAAAGAGGTTTAATTGACTCACAGTTCTACAGGGCTGGGGAGGCCTCAGGAAATTTACAATCATGGCAGAAGGGGAAGCAAACATGTCCTTCTTCACATGGTGGCAGGAAGGAGAAGTGCTGAGCAAAACGGGAAAAAGCCCTTTATGAAACCATTAGATCTCGTGAGAACTCACTCACTATCATGAGGACAACATGGGGGAAACCGCCCCCATGACCCAATCACCTCCTACCAGGTCCCTCCCTTGACAGGTGGGGATTACAATTTGAGATGAGATTTGGGTGGGAACACGGAGCCAAACCATACAGATGCAGATAGTATTGGAAACACAGTGGCCTCTGGGAAGCCCTGTCCTAGGTCCCTGGTGAGCCATGGGGGCGGGTCAGGCCTGGTCCTGTCACCCACAGGTGACCGAGCCAGTGAAGTGAAGAGCCCAGGGTGCAGAGTGAAGGCCAGAAACAGTCTGGGAAGCTGTCATCGGCTCTTGCTTCATCGGTGTGGGCCTTTCCTGGCAAGCAGGAAACTGGAAGGATGATATTCATCTCTAGTAAAAGGCTCATTTGCATGTGTGGCAGAGGCGGTGGGGTGAGGGGGCTGGGGGGCCCACTGTCTTGCCAGTGCACACCTAGGGCCACCCCTCTGCTGAGCCTTCTCTGGAGTCTTGGGAGTGGGCATGCCAGGTTGTGGCACCCACTTTACCGATGAGGAGACTGAGGCTGGTTGGGGGATGACTCCATTGTGAGGGGTGAAACTGGCCCCCCATGGGTAGCCGCAGTCTGCCAGGGCCTCCCCCAGGATCCCCAGCCACCTCCCCTATGCAGGAGCATGCAGAGGCTGGGGTCAGGTTTGGCTTGCCCTGGAGCACAGGAAATGCCCCATTTACACATGGACCGGAGGCCAGTGTCTTTCGCACCAGGATCCCGGCCCCCAGGCTCAGAACTTGAATATCTGGGCCATGCTCTCCAGGAGTCTCTCTGAGAACCAGGCCAAAGTAGCTGCTTATGGTCTAGGATACACCTAAAATAGGAGTGGGGGCGGCCTGAGAGGTGAATTTCCCTGGGCTGGTGCATGGGCTGGGCTTGTCCTGGAGCCTCCAGTGCCGGCACTCATACAGGGCCCCCTGCCGGGGCCAGGAGAAAGCCGTTGCTGTGTGTAGCCTGGAGAGTGCGTCGTCACGTGACAGATGCTTGTAGCCACCCGGGACCTGCGAAAAGCCTGCAGCTGGTGATGCTCCCCTCCCACCAAGGGGTGCAGAGCTGGAGGATTGCTCATAAATTGTTCCTGCCCTGTCCAATAAATAAAATATGCCTTCTGGGGCGCAGTAGCGGGGCGCAGCAGCGGGGCGCAGTAGCGGTGGAATTACAATGCGGAGCCTGAGCCTCGCTCCCTCCAGCTGCACAGTTCGAGCTGCAGGCAGCCGGCACGGGTGGGGGTTCTGGAGGCCTTGCAGGTCCACCCACCCCAGCAAGGCCCTGAAGACAGCTGCTCCTGTGGGTGAACACCAAGACCCCTGGGCACTCAGCATCGAGTCTGGGCCCTGCTTGCCAACTGCCTCTTTAATGCCAGTGCTGCCTTGCAGTGACAGCCAGCTCCCAACTGGGAGCAGACGGCTTCCATGGAACCCACCGACTCTGCCGAGGCCAGCAGCGTGGGTCGACTCTAGAGAGAAGCAAAAGGCTGGCCAGCACAGCCTCTGGATTGCCTTCTGACCTCAGGGGCACTGTCGGCAGGGACGGGCCGGGGGCAGGGCCCCTCTGGGCTGGTGGCCAAGTGTGACCAGGCAGCATGGGGCAGGATGGCTGAGCCTGGGTGGGTCGCGTCATGGGAGCTGTGCAGGCGAGGACTTCTCTCGGAGAATGAGGACTGGGAGGGTTCTCTGGGCATCCCTGATGCTATGGTCCTGGGACCATCACTCCAGGTTCACCCTAGAATTTGCCTTGGAGATGCAAGAGGATGTCTGCAGGCACAGACCGGCAGGAGGAGCCTGGCTCCCCTCTCTGAAGATGCCAGTGCATGAACAGAGGGACCAGGAGCACCCCTGCGGGTCCCAGAGCCCGGAGCTGGCTCCAAGGAGGAGACTCCAGAGGGGCCAGCCCTGGTGGGCAGCGGGCTGTGGTCTCTGCCCGTGGTCTGTCACCTGGGTCCCCACTGGGCAGTGCAGCGAGGAGGCCGCAGCCCAGACCACTGGGAGAGCCTGGAGTCCCGGCTGCCCCTGGGCCTGAGCCCTGCTCTCTCCACCCCGGGCTGCGTCTCCTTGGTGAGGTCGCGTGGAGGCAGTGATGTCTGTCGGTACCCCAAGGCCTGTGTGGAGGCAGCAAAGTGTCTGGGGGACGGACTGGTTTCCCGGCTTTGCTCAAGCTCCGATGCCCACGGGAGGAGGGTAGGAGGCAGTCGCTGGTCTCGGTAGGACACGGGATGCCACGCATGGCTGGTTGGCCAATCTGTGTTTGGGTCAACGCGCCCCTGTGTGCTCGGACCTGGAACTGCACCTTTGTCGGGCACCCTGAGATAGGAAGGGCTCACACCCTGACAGGTGCGATCAGTCAGGGCAGGGAGGCGGGCAGCAGGACTGGCCACTGGCCCCGATAGGTGCTGGTGAGCTGGGCAGACACTCGGGGTCTTCCTCCCACCCTCCACCCTGAGGACAAGGCAGGACCCCCAGGAGCCCCCAACCCAACGCCCCCCAACCCAGCGCCTCGCTTCTTCCCTCTCCCCTCCGGCCTCCGGAATGTGGCGCCCAGCGACACAGACAAGCCCATCCTCAAAAGCACCGGGTCTTTCAAGGCAGGAGCTCTGACGTCATCGGAGTCACGTGAACCTGGTTCCTTCACAGGTTCTGAAAAATGGACGCAACAAAACTAGCGGTGGAAAAAGCCTTTGACTCCCGCCCTCAAATTCTTGCCAGTGAAATACCCGGAAAAGGAGACATGGCTTTTCCCTTGCAGGCAAGTCAGGCTCCTGAGTGCTTCTCTCCAGGTCGCAGCAGGGCACGGGGGGCAGGGAGTGGAGCCCGGCACTTCCACAGAGCTGCAGGCCCCGGGGCCCCGCTGCCGCCACCACACAACGACCCCAGGACTCATCACCCCTCCCCGTACCAATGCCCAGCCCATCCCACCTCTGTCAGCCACAGCATGCAGGAGGCTGCAATCCCCTCTTCCTGCCGCACCCCAACCCCAAACCCCAGCCCCAGCCCCAGCCCAGCCCAGCCCCAGCCCAGCCCCAGCCCAGCCCCAGCCCAGCCCCGGCCCCATCCCCAGCCCAGCCCAGCCCCGGCCTAGCCCCGGCCTAGCCCCGGCCTAGCCCCGGCCCAGCCCCAGCCCAGCCCCAGCCCAGCCCCAGCCACAGCCCCGGCCCCATCCCCAGCCCAGCCTAGCCCCGGCCCAGCCCCAGCCCAGCCCCAGCCCAGCCCAGCCCAGCCCCAGCCCAGCCCCAGCCACAGCCCCGGCCCCGTCCCCAGCCCAGCCTAGCCCCGGCCCAGCCCCAGCCCAGCCCCAGCCCCAGCCCAGCCTATCCCCAGCCCAGCCCCGGCCCCATCCCCAGCCCAGCCCCGGCCCCATCCCCAGCCCAGCCCCGGCCCCATCCCCAGCCCAGCCTATCCCCAGCCCAGCCCCGGCCCCATCCCCAGCCCAGCCTATCCCCAGCCCAGCCCCGGCCCCATCCCCAGCCCAGCCCCGGCCCCATCCCCAGCCCAGCCCCAGCCCAGCCCCAGCCCAGCCCCGGCCCCAGCCCCAGCCCAGCCCCGGCCCCAGCCCCAGCCCAGCCTATCCCCAGCCCAGCCCCGGCCCCATCCCCAGCCCCGGCCCCATCCCCAGCCCAGCCCCGGCCCCAGCCCCAGCCCCGGCCCCATCCCCAGCCCAGCCCCGGCCCCATCCCCAGCCCAGCCTATCCCCAGCCCAGCCTATCCCCAGCCCAGCCCCGGCCCCAGCCCCAGCCCCGGCCCCAGCCCCAGCCCCGGCCCCAGCCCCGGCCCCATCCCCGGCCCCGGCCCCATCCCCGGCCCCGGCCCCGGCCCCGGCCCCGGCCCCATCCCCAGCCCAGCCCCAGCCCCATCCCCAGCCCAGCCCCGGCCCAGCCCCAGCCCAGCCCCAGCCACAGCCCAGCCCCGGCCCCAGCCCCGGCCCAGGCCCAGCCCCATCCCTGCCAGCAAGAAAGTTCTGCCCTTCCTCCCTGCGGCCACTGTTGAACAAGGACGCGCAAGTGAATGCACACACGCTCACACATTCACACATGCCCACACACACTCGGGCACAGACACACACATGTGCATGTGCACACTCAGACACACACACAGGCACACGTATATACTTATATACACTCAGCCACACACGCACACAGACATATACACTCACACCCACACTTACACATATTTGTATACACTCACACCCACACTCACACACACACATGTATATACTCACCCACACTCGCACACATACTTGTATACACTCCTACACACAGTTGCATGTGCACACTCGGACACGCTCACATACACTCTGACACACACACTCACAGCCACACACGCTTATATACACATACATCCACACACTCTTATATACACTCACACTTATATACACTCACATCCACACTCACACACATTTACATGTACGTGCACACACGCACACCCACTCACACATACACTCATGCGCACACACTCTTGCACAAACACACAGACAACCCACTCTGGTGCACATAAACCCACACACTCATATGCACGCATTCAATCACTCACATACTCCACACACCCCACTCAGATACACACACACTCACATATGCTTCACACATACACCCTCACACACGCACTCAAACACACACGTAAATACATTCACACACAAATATACACATACACCCTCACATCTAAGAACAGCCAATTTCAGGAACAGTGTCAATTACATCCATATTTAGAATAAATTTCCTAAAGAAAACATAACATAAATGCAATTCTACCACTAGGAAGATGGCTGTTTACCTCATTACACGAAGCAATTTAGCTCCTTGTAGACTAAAACTTTTCTGTTGCAGAATATAATATTGTTAGACCCGTTAAAGTTATTTCCTAAAACAAAGAACCATATGCCACCAAAGGTGACCTTAAGATGCCACTTCCTGAAGGTCAGAAGGACTCCCTGCGGCATCACAATTTGTAGCTGCCAAGTTTTGAGCAACCTCAGGTCTGGCCTCCGCTGTGGGCTGGCGTGCTGGGTCTGACTCCCTCCCACCGCAGGGACCTCCGAGGGCGAGGACCGAATCTCAGCATGTTGTGTCTGCAGCCAAGTGCTAGGCCTGTCACATGGGAAATGCTCTTGGATATTTGTAGAGCAAATGAATTTTATAATTTTCACAACTGTTCTAGCTGAAAGCTCAGTAACTAAGGGTCAAGGAAACTAAAGGACAAAGAGATGAAATGATTTCCAAACAAGAGTGTTAGAAGAGATCATTAAGATATTCTCTATTATCAAAAATGACTGTCTTATAAAACTAAACTCTCCCCTACTTTATAATACGGGAATTCCACCAAAAGACCTGGGCAAGAATGTTCTAGAAGCTGTGTTCATAAAAACCAAACACTAAACATAGTCCAGATACTCCTCCACAGACAGAGGAAGGTGAACATCCTATGGAATACCCATACAACAGGATACTGCTCAGCAACAGAAAGGAACAGATTGCCGACATGCAAAAAAGTGCGTGAATCTCAAAACCATTGTGCCCACTTAAGGAAGCCTCACATCGGAGGGTGCACACTGTATGATCCTGTCATGGGAAGCTCTAGAATAGGTACAGCTAATCTACAATGAATGCAAGCAGAACAGTGTTTGCCTCCGGGGGTCTGGTTTGACCAGGAAGGGGTCTGAGAGAACGTTCTAGAGTGGTGGCAGGTGCTGTGTCTTTAGAGGGGTTTGGATTATGTGGGCACATGGATTGGTTGAAACTCATCGGATGACTAACTTATGGATAGCAGTGAAGACAGGGTTCAGAGAAAAACTTACAGCTGTCCATGTTCTATGCTGAAAAAGAAGAAAGGTCTCAAATCAATATCCTAACTGTACACCTTCAGGAGATAGAGAAAAGTAAACTCAACAAGAGCTTAGCAAAAGGAAGGGGATAATGAAGTGCAGTAGAGAGAAGCAAAGCTGTAGAGAATAAAGCTAAAATTGGTTCTCTGAAAAGATCAAGAAAATTGACAAACCTCTAGCTGGGCTGATGAAGAAAGAAGGAAATCTATTCATCTCATTGAATGCAGAACTTGCAGAAAGGCCCATCACCAACTGTTGAGCTCTAGTTAATTATGCAAAAATACTTGGGGAGAAAGGCACTGATGTCTCCTACTTACTTTGAATGCGTAAAGTAAAAGATGTATTGATGAAAGGCTAGAGACACAGACAGATGGAGTGATCAGTGATGCCCAAGGGGAGAAAGACATGAAGAGACCAGGCGATGGGCTAGGGATGTTCATTGCAAAATGCTTTCACTTTTTCTGTCTATTTGAACACTTCCACCATAGAATGTCTGAAGCGGTGACTGTCAATAGATCACACCACCCACAGCACCTTCACAGCTCTCCAAGGTGCTTTCTGCAATCCAAGAACTGACTTGTGCGGATCTGCACATTCGACACTCACATTTGTGCGTCTACACTGTGGACAAGGCACTGGTCTAGGTGTTGAGCTATGTCAGGAAAGAAAACACAGCCTCCGTGCCATGCAGTGGGGAGAGAGCCCAGGAGTGAGCAATCAAGTAATGTAGCAGCTTGCCTGGTGGGTGCTGTAGAGAAATAGGATGGCTGTTTAGACATCTCAAAGGAGGAGGAGGCTGGTGGACACGTGCTCAGAGCCCTTCCAGGAGGCGTCTTGGGGGTCTCTCCCTATGCTGTAGTGGATGTGGCTGTTACAGAGGAATGACCCCAATTTGGCACTCCAGAAGATAGTAGCATTGTTATGACTGTGGCTGGGAGCGGGGTGCACAAGGAATGTTTCAGGAGCTTTGCTGGAAGACCTGAGGTCTGGTTTTCTCAGTGATGTGGGTGGGCTGTGGGTAGGATGCTGGGGAGGCACACGACCTCTGGCATCTTAGACTTTACTTAGAATCCATGCCCTGGCACTTGCAGGTGAAAGTGGAAGCTGCAGGCCTACTTCAGAGCATGAGGGACAGCCGGGTGGCCGCCTTCATAACAATGTTCCTTCAAAAATCACTGCTTTTCAAAGGAAATGAATTCCACAGAGCCATCTGTCTGACACATGAGGGAAGCGGGCCCTTGGAAATGAAGATGTTCTAAAACCCATGTATGGTGACAGGTGCCACTCGGTAAAGTTACTAAAAATAACACACATGCGCATGCACACACACGCACCTGGAACTGCCTGGGTTCTAATCTGACCTCTTCCACTTTCATAGAATCTCAGTTTCATCAGTTTTATACATGGGAAAGATTTGCCCACAGACAGAGCACCAAGGTGCAGCTGGAGATCCATCCACACACATGGAGCTGGGTGGAGCCTGGACGGGGCAGAAGGTGCCCGACTCTGCCCTGGCCACTGCGTCTCACCCAGATGAGCCCCATGGCCTTATGAGCACACATGTCCCAGCTCCAGGGGAAGGGTACTGGTATTTGGTTGGAAACCTGGGTTGTGTTTTTTCCTGGCAATATTACCTGAGTCGCCTTGGGTCTCGGATTTGTCGTGTGCAGACATAAATGTCTCCCCAAGGGGTTCCTGCAGATGCCATGGAATCCTGCCTGGGAGGCCACATCGCCAGCAGTGCCCTACAGCTGACCGTGGCCCTGCTGGTGGTGGGCACCTTTCAGTGTGTGTGTCCACACTGGATTCTGATAGCAGGAGGCGGGAAAATCCACATCCCGGTCATTAGCAACGGGGTGACCAACCATCCCAGTTTGATCAGTACTAATGGGCCCTCCTAAGATGAGGGAGATTCAGTTTTAAAACCAGGACAGTCCCAGGTACCCTAATTAAGGGTGACCTTTGGACTTTGTAAGGGAGCCAGGAGCTGTGAGCAAAGGTTTCTCTCCGTGCTATGAGCACCATGGATGGTGAAATGAAGCTCTCTGGGATGCAGATGTGGGAGCTGGGGTGTCCTCATGCCACCCCCTTTCTTGGCACTGAGGCTAGCAAACACCAGGACTGAGGAGACTGGTCCCTGCGCCCAGTACTGCCATGCCTTAGGCTGCAGAGGGCCGCTTTCTGCACCTGGACCCTCATTCTGCACGCAGCTTCTGCCCTTCTTCAGTGAGTACCCGGGGAGAAGCCCCTCACCCGGTGGCCTCGCTAAGGCCTCTCTGCTCCCTGAACGCCGGTCCCGGACCATGACCCAGCCTCTGCCCAGCAGCCACTCCCCTCCCCACAGCCTTTGCTCCCAGCAGACCTGCCTGCTCTCTGTGCTGCTGCTCACCACGGCCGCGTGCCATTCCCCTGCCAGGGAGCCTTGGGACGGGACTCCCGTTAGAAGTCTGATGGCAACACGTGTCTGCCTCCCCCAGAGCAGATGAACAGAACCTCCTAGAGAGCAACTTTCAATGCCCCGACCTTCAGCAGAGGATGAAGAGCAGATCTCTCCTCCTGCTCCCGGGAGGGTGGGACGGCAAGGCCCTCCCGGTCCAATGTGACGGCAGGATTAGCCTAGTGGCTGCTGACACTCTGGGCACTGGGCTTACCTGGCCACCAAGACCTAGTGTGGAAAAAAAAAAAACAAGAAAAACAGAAGAACGAGGCTTGGAAGACTGGCTGTGGGTGATGATGTGGAAGCTGGGGGTGGGCGTCGGGGAGAGTCACTTCTCTATGTGTTGTTTTTTCCTTTTCTTGCTGCTTTGGTATTAGATAACATTTTATTTAGGCATATTTTATGTATCCTCAAATTCACCCCTTCCAAGTATACAGCTCAGTGATTTTTGGTAACTACCGTGGTGGAGCTGTCACCCTAAACCGGTTTGAGGACATCCCCCCCAGTCAGCCCCCTCCCTCCCGTTCTTAGCTATCCCCAACCCTACACCCAGCCCCGGCAGTCTTCAATCTACTTCTCTGCCCAAATACCTGCCTTTTCCAGACCTTTCATATATATGGAATCATAGGCTATGCAGCCCACTGGGTCCAGCCTCTTTCACCTGCGTTTCTCATGACTGGAGCCCCCACTGATTGGCTGCAGCCCACTGGGTCTGGCCGCCCCCCAGGTGATGGGCATTTGTATGGCTCCTTGTCATGGGCTGGCATCAGTAACGCTGCGAGGAAGTCTCAGCGTGGATCTAAGTTTCCATTTCTCTTGGGTAGAATCTCTACTTCTATAGTATGAAAATTTCACATGTAAAGTTCAAGAAATAGGGTTTGTAAACCAAAGAGTATCTGAGACAGGTCTCAATTAATTTAGAAAGTTTATTTTGCCAAGGTTAAGGGCACGCACCTGTGACACAGCCTCAGGAGGTGCTGACAGCATGCGCCCAAGGTGGTCGAGGCACAGCTTGGTTTTATACATTTTAGGGAGACATGAGGCTTCAATCAATGTATGTAAGATGTACATTGGTTTGGTCCGGAAAGGTGGGACAACTCAAAGCTGGGATGGGGCTTCCGGTCATGGGTAGATAAGAGGCAAATGGTTGCATATTTTTTTTGTTTTTGAGTTTCTGATTAGCCTCTCCAAAGGAGGCCATCAGATATGCCTTTATCTTAGTGGGCAGAGAGATGACTTTGAATAGAAGGGGTTTGCCCTAAGTTCTCAGTTCTCAGCTTGACTTTTCCCTTTGGCTTAGTGATTTGGGGATCCTGGGATGTATTTTCCTCTCACAGGTTTGAGGAGAGAGAAGAACATGCCTCCGGAGGAAGAACGAATGTTCCTCAAACCAAATGGGGGTCAGAGGGAGAGGTGTAAAGTACCACTGAGAAGTTCCTCTGGGAGAAGTTCTTTGCAGGGTGTGTACAGAGCCCCTCTTGGAGTCACATGGAAAGAACTGATGGCAAATGAGAGCGGCATGTCTGACTCTGGCACTGGACCTTGAGATGGCATCATCCATGCACCTGGAGGCCAGGAATTCCTGCAGCGTGATGCCAGTGGGCACAGATGGAAGGAGGCCCAGGGTGGTGACCCCAGGAACAAGAGGAAGCGGGAAATGAGCAGGTAGGCCCCCCAAGCCCCATGTGGATCTCCACGTGCTCACACATGTACCTGCTGTTTCAATCTATTCATTCTTGCCCTATGTTAAATTTCGTATTTATAGGGGATGTGGTCCACAGCCATATTTGTTTATCACTGTACCAATAACTATATTTGACCACATATGGTTTTACATAATATAATACATCAATATATAAGCAAATATAAACAAGCATATATACCCACATATATAATTTATATGTAACTATAGATATATAAAAATGTGTGTATTATATATATGAATGAGTGTACAAGATACATATATATATAATACAGATATATGCATATGCACGGAAACAGATTCAAAGAATATAGTCATCATTTTTCTGGGAAGCAATGATCATATATAAGTTTAATGTAGTCATGTTTATCTATATACCAATATCTGTATCTATCGCTATACAAACATAAATCTGCACACCTGCTGTGTGTCTGGGGATGTCAGGCACAGGCAGTGCTGTCACTTGGGGGCTTGGCAGAGGCTCTCTGGCCTGGGGCTGTGCAGGGGAGCCTGGAGAGAGTCAGGCTGAGGCTGTGGGACTTGTCACAGGACAAGAACACCCAAGGACTGCAGGGTCACTGTCACAAGGCACATCGGAAGCCTCTCTGACTCGGAGAGGACTTGGAGCATCTCTGCCCTCCCGTGAGGCCCATGAGAGACAGCACTGAGAGTCTGGCCGTCTGGAAGCCAGGACCAGCTCTGCCCGGAAGTCGTAGAGCCAGGTCAGCCTCCGCCTTGCTCCCTGCCTGCGCTGCGCCTTTGCGGCAGCAGCAGCTTAGAGGAGGAAAGGTGGCTCCGAGCACCCTCATGGCTCCCGAGCGCCCGAGCCCAGGGACTTGGGGGACAGCATCGGCGCTGAGTCCTCGAGGCTGGCACCACCAGCTTCCACTTTTACCCTCCGCTCTGAAGCCTGTTGGTGGGCACAGGGTCACTTTCCTGTCCGCGGGCTCTTCACAGTCGGCACATTCAGGGCCGACTTTTTAATGACTGTGCTTTTGGCCACAGCAGTGGTAACAGCAGGGAGTATTTATGGAGCCCCCCTGTCCCTGCACTGTTCCAGGGGCCTCCCACACATGAATACACTTGGTCTGCCCATGCCCCAGAAGGCCTGAGGCCCACCCTGGCAGGGGCTCCCAGCCCCAGCTCCCTGTCTCCTTCCCCCTCCATCCCCTTCCATATTGATCAGGTGTGTCCGTCCTCCAGGTGGTCACACTCCTCAGGGCGCTGGCCCATCCCAGCCCCAGAGCTTCAGTCCGATGGGCTCCGTCATCACTCTCCGGCTGATGGGGGATCAGGCGTGGACTTCAGACCCGATTCTGGATGAGGAGATGTGGGCGTGGGGAGGGGCCAGTCAGAGAAGCCCCAGAAGATCTCCTCATTGTTCCAAAGCTTCAGATACGATTGAGTGAGAATAAGAATGATAGCCGCAATGAATCGTAACACCGCCACTGTGTCTACATCCATGAGTTCATAAGAAAACAAAAAGATAATTGGTCAACTTCGGCTGCAGCTGGAGAACCACCTCATTACTCTGAACACGGATAAGTAAAGGATAAAAATGAAGCCTTTACTGACTTCTCTATGCAAACCGTCCCTCAGGGCAGCTAAGTTGGTATGAAAGGGAAGTTTGTTTTGGTGGGAGTGTTCCAGCTGATAAACACAGGAGCAAGCCTAGAGTTAGGATATTGTTGTTTTGCAGTCCCCGAGGAAGCCATGAACCGAGGCAGCTAATCAGCCGCTGCACACATCCCAGAGAAAGCAGGACCCCGCGTGCCTCCAGATGAAAGCCAGCAGCAGGGTCTAAGCGCAGCCTCCCCAAAATACCCGGCGGAGCCTGTCGACAGCTTTCAGGAATTACAGGGGACAGGGAAAAAGGTTGAATGCCACCCTTGGGATGTATTCAGCAAAACTCAGAAAATGAGAAATGATCCAATTTCTTTAACAACCACCACCACAAAAACAAACAAATAAGTAGTAAAACATTTTAAAAGTTAATGTAAAAACAGATGTGGAAGGAGACCTGCAGGCTAAAACGTATACCCCAACCAATCACAATGCACGGCCCTTAACTGCGTCCTGATTCCAATTGTTTTTAAACCTGTAAAACAAAGGATAGACCATCAGGAAAATGTGAACCCCGATACTGAGGAATGAGTGTGCATTTTCCACAGGTGTGGGGGGCGGGTTGGGGCATGAGGAGAGAGGAGAGGAGGGTGGACAGGCGGAGGGAGCACCACCCACATGCCGAGGTGGGGCCTGGCGCCCATTCTCCGGTTCTCTCCACTTTTGTCCATGTTTGAAATTTGCCATCACAAAAAGCTTCTTTTTTGTTTTGTTGTTTGTTTGTCTAATAGGTCTCCTGGGCAGAGAGCCACTTCCCACTTCCTAGGGCATTGTCCCGGCTGGAGCTGCAGCTGTGGTCTTGCTCTAGTTCTAGGATGAAGCAAAGCCACGGGGGAAGGTGAGGTAGGATGGAGAAAGGACTCGGGGTTCCAGTGCACCCCTGAACCGGCACAGCCTCCCGGCCCTCCTGCTGGGAGTTGGGGGATTGCTTCTAATGGACAATGGATGGACTGTGTCTGATGTCACCCCATACACGTGGAACAGGGCAGCTGTCTTGTGTTCCCAGCCTCTGGTAAGCTCCTTGAGGGCACAGACGCTGTCTGGTTCATCTCTGCACCCCTGACAGTGCCCCGCTGGGTGCCTGGCGCGGTGCCCACTGCTTAGTAGACCCTGGAGTTGTTGGGGAGAAGGCGCTTGGGCCATGGTAGCAGCAGGTGGAGGCTGGGCTTGTGTCCAGTGTTCAGGAAACTCGGAAACCTCCAAATGTGTGACCCCGATGGGATTTTGATTTCTTCCCATCTCTTGAGCCTAAGGCACAATTGTTGGGAACCTCCAAAACCCACTGCTTAGGGAAAAGCCCGCATCCAAATTTCTGCTAAGCAGGAGGGGAAGGTGCCGGGGTGGGTGTGGTCTCGCAGTGCCTGTCCCCTGCTGCTCTGGCTTGCTGCCCTCATCCCTGTGGCCGCTTCTTCCCCAGCATCCTCAACAGCACGTGTGCTCACAGCCCGGACCCCGCCCTGATGGTCTGACTGCACGGCTCCCGCGTCCTGACTTCCTCCCACTCTCCCCTTGTGCGGAGCACCTCTGCCCACGCCCAGTGCCCGGTGCTTGCCCACAGCGGAAGCCCCGCCCTGGAGCTCACCACACCCCAGCCCTGACCCTACAGCAGCCCCCACCAGTGAGTTCTGCCATTAGAGTCAGAATGTCTCTTCCCTCTCGTGTGACAGGTTTGCATGCTACTCAGAATTTAGTTCTCCAAGGACCCCTGAATCACAGTCAGGGCCAGGCCCAGAGCAGGCCCAAAGCTGAAGAAGGTGCTCACCCTCAGGGCTCTCAGAGACAAGGGGGAAGAGTCCGGGGGGCTTTTGAGAGGCACCAAGTTCAAGTCTGTGTCGCCCACGCAAGGCTCCTTCTCTCTCCAACCTCTTCACCCCAGGGACTCTGGAATCCTGCCTTCCACACCCCACATGGCTAGAACCACTAGTGCAGGAACATGCAACTCCGCAATCAGCCTGCCTGCCCCTCACCTGCACACACCTCTGCTGCACCTCCACACTCAGCCTACCTGTGCTCACCTGGGCAGCAGCTCCATACTCAGCCTGCCTGCCCCTCACCTGCACGCACCTGCTCCTCACCTGTGCTCACCTGGGCTGGAGTTTAGCCTTTCCTTCTGCAGCCTCTGAGGTGTGGAAAGTCACATTGCTCCTCACAGAGCCCCCAAAACAAGACAGACACAAACCAAAGACAAAAAGCAAATGTTTGGTTTTTAAACTAGCTTAATAATCTGCTCAACTGGCCTCTCCTCTCTGAACTGTGTTGGGGATCCTGGTGGAAGAACTGAGGCCTACCTGCCCTGCAGATGCAGCCACCACGTGGGCTCCCACCCCTGGCCAGAGCCCACCATGAAGAATGTCAGTGTTGCCAATGAAGGCGGGGGGTGGTCCACAGAGGAGGGCTCTGGTCCAGAGCAGAGTCTGGGTGTCCTTGGAGTGCCTGTCCAGGCACGGTGTGGGGGGACAATGTGTGGTCAGGTGGTGGGGGCCGTGCCCCTGACAGGTCTGCACTCAGAGTAAAAATGGTTGCACCAACCAGATGCCACTCAACAAATGGCTCCCAACTGCCCCCAAAGCTCTGAGCCCTGGTTCTGAAAATTTGGCTCTGCCTGGGGGAGGGAACATGGGCTGTTCCCTCCCATGTTCTGAGCAGATGCAGACATTTCTGATTGCACACATGACTACCATCTTGTCATGTGGTGCATGCTCCACTCACGTGCCCAGGGCTTCGCATGCGATCTTTCGTTTAATCCCTGTGAAGACCTTCTGGAGGAGACGCCATTGTTCCCATTTTACAGAAAGGCAAAACTCAGAACTAATAAGCTCCTTACCCAAAGAGTCTCAGGCAGCCAAGGGCAGAGCTGGGCTCTATGACTCCACCCAATGCCAAAGTGCTCGCCACTGAGGCCACCCAGGGGCCCCTGCTCAGGATGATCTTCCCGGGAAGCCAGCCTCCCTGATCTACCCTGATCTACCCTGGGCTGTGACAGGGCTAGGCCTACAGGCCAGCTGAGTGGTGGCCGGGTGAGACCCCAGGCTGGCCACTTCATCATCTGCAACAACTGGCCAGCCGGCTCGCGCAGAGTCACCTGGGCCGAGCATGGTAGTTTAGAAAGCCCTGGTAGGTTTTACATCTTCGTGGAAGTAAAAACCCCTCCTTTGATGACACACAGGACTATGCATAGGGCCTGGGGAAGCTCCCTCACCCCAAATTCCGTGAGCTGATTGTTCGGGGTGTGCAGTGGGCCGGGATCCTCAGTGAGCACCCAGACTCCCAAAGGTGGCCAGAGGTGCTGACCGGCCATCCCTGGAGCTGAGAGGGCCCCATAGACAGAAGCTGTGGCCTAACTCCCCGACAAGTTGCAGGACTAGAGCCATTTACCCAGCCTGGGGGTGGACAGCCCCTCCTTCAGACACCAGCCAGGCTGCGGGTGCACCAAGACCACCCCTGAGGGGCGGAGTCTCGACTCTGGCGAAGCATCTGCTACCGAGCCTGAAAGCAGGAGTGGACACCATGTGTGGCTGCACAGCTTGCCCCTCTCCCCGTGCAGGGCCCGTCTTTCTGGCCCCGTCACCCAGCCCTGGCCTCCAGCACAGCCCTGCTCAGTCCCTCACCCCTCAGTCCTGGGGCCTTGGAGGCAGGGACTGGGAAAGGCCAGCATCTCCCATCTTCCTGCTTGGCTGGAGGAGCTCCCAGAACCTGTGTTCAGCTCTGGCAAGTGGGAGGAGCAGCTCTTTAGAATAACTACCTGCAGCAGCCATGGCCTCCTGGGGGCCGCTGGGAGCAGCTGCCCCCGCACCTCTGGAGCAGCTCTGCTAGTGGTGCTCAGAGTAGAGGCTGTCTTGGGGCCAGGGCTGCAGAGATGCTACCTTCTGAGCAGGGACTAGGGAGGACAAACAGTAAGCTTCTCTTCCAAAAAAACAAACAAATATATTTCTCTCTTATTCTCCATCACAACTGCAAAGCAGACAGCAGTAGCAACGAACCAGCGACTGTCAGGAAGCAGTTGTGAGCTGGGATGAGAATTCAGGCATTTTCAGATGCTGAGGCAACAGCCCTCAGTTCTGGGGCTTTCTCCATCTGCTGGGACGCTTACCCCCTTCCTCACGGCGTCCAAGGACACCCCCAGACACAGGGCAGACATAGATCCAGGCCTGGAAGCTTGGGGCTGTCTGAGGCGGGAGGGCCACACGCAGGTCTTGCAGGAGGGTGGATGGGAAGCAGCTCGGGAAGCCATCACGGTGACAATGCCCTGGCCCCCCTCGTCCCCTGCGCTCATCCTGCAGCCGCCGTCCCAGGGGTCCAGACCCCTTCCTTGTACCCTGATGGCTGCCCCTTGCTCTCTAGGCTGCCTGCTCCGCCTTGGCACCAGCACACCCCCCAACCAAGCTCCCCGCTTTCTTCTCCTCTATGGGCTCCTTTCCCAAACATCCATTCACACCTGCAGAACGAGCATGGCCTTTGGATGGGCCCAGGCCCTCGACACCCGCTGGGCTGGTCTCTTTTGCAGCCTCTCAGGCATCGGCGCTTGTCCCTGGGATCTCCCTGGGCAGGGCCAAGCCAGGCGGGTCATTCTCCTGGGAGCACCGCACTCATTCCCAGGCTCTACCTAGCGGCGCTGTCCGGACCGCCCATCAGGACCACCTCGAGGATCATCCACATCCCACATGCAGGAGCCCTGGAGAGGCCCTGGATGCCCACCTCCCCACCTGGACACCTCCACTTGGAGGGCAAGCCCAGGGCGTGGGGCCTGGCACATCCAGGCTGTCCTAGCCTCCTCGGGCAGCGTCCCTGGGCTGTGGGAGGTTTTCTTGCCCAGAGAGCCAGAGAGGAGCCCCCGGAATGTTCCCACAGACGTCAGCTGTTGCTCATCCCAGGCTCTGTGTTTTACAAGTGAAGCCCAAAGACAGAGAGAGGCAATGGGCTGCCCAGGTCCCCAAGACCACAATGTGGCCTTGTCCTGGGAGAGGCTGCTGGGGGGACCTCCTGAGCTCTTCCGTGGCCGTGTCTACCCCAGTGGGTCCGGTGGGTTCCGGGGTCTGCTCTGAAGCTCTCCTCTGCAGGCCCGGCTCTCCACAAGGCTCCAAGGTTTCACACGGACGACTTCCTCCCCATTCCCCTGCCCGATCCCCAGGGAGCCGTCCTGTTCCAGGACTCAGGCAGGAGCGGAGGCACCTTCCCCATCCTAGCACCCACCCTGTCCCTGCCAGGCCACTTCACCATGACCTCAGGTCATTCTCACCTAGCCATGGCAGAAAGGTAAGATCCCAACGAGGAAACTGAGGCTCAGCCAGGTAACAAGCCCACCAAGTGGGAGGTGGCATCTGAAGGACCGCATGATGCTGCCCCCAAGCTCCCAGCCACTGCCCTCCACACATGGCCGGGGTGGCACAGGGGCTGCGGCTGCTGGTTCCCAGACAGAGGGTACAGGAAGCCTGGGGAGGATGGGCCTCTGCGGCCTGGGAAGGAGCCCCTCCCTGATGGGGGAGCCCCTCCTGGACAGGGCAGGCACGTGGCCACAGTCACTTTACACCTCCAAAGCCCGGGCAGTAGACGTCACCCAGGGGACACCCAGGCCAGGGAGGAGGGGGCCGTTGGCCCGCACAGCTGGGTCGTTGGGTCCATTCTGTGTGAGGAGTGGTCCCCAAGGGCAGGGGTAGTGCAGTGCAGGCCCTCTGGTGGTCTCGGGGGCAGAGCTAGGGGCTTCGTCTCTGTGCTGCCTCCATACCCTGGTACAGAAACACCAGGTGAACCCCGGGCTGACCAAGCTCATCCTGGCTGCCAGCACCCCAGGCCCGCTGGAGCGCGGCCCGGGGCCCTTCCTACCCCTCTGCAGCTGGTATGTACTTCCTGCAGTGTGGGCGGAGAGGGGGAAGGGCAGCCTTCCTGCACTGTGCAGGCTTGGGGAAGAAGGGAGGCTGAGCTGAGGGCCGCGGCACCCAGAGGCCCAGCAGAGGGGTTTTGGGCCAGCCTGGAAGTCACCACAAAAGCAGGAGCGACTCTGCCGCTCCCAGCAGGAGCAGGCTGTGGAGATGGTAGCACCAACTCTGCCAGGGTTGAGGATGACTCTGCCCAGCTGGGTGGGATCTGCGGGGCTACATGAAGACCCACGTCACCCACCATGACCGGGCCCAGGCTGACTCCTGGACATCTGCCCCGCATGGGAACTCTGCCCTGCGTGGGAACTCTGCCCTGCGTGGGAACTCTGCCCTGCGTGGGAGCTCTGTCCTGCGTGGGAACTCTGCCGTGCATAGGAACGGTGCTGGCAGAAGCCCCTTGTTTTGAGCAACTCATGGGTGAAGCATTTTTAAAGAGAGAAGAAACTCACTGCGCGATGGACAAAAGGAATAAAAATAAACACCATCCGAGTAATCTAGGGAAGAAATCACCAACTCTACAGACAACGTTTAATACGTGAGCTCTAGCATCACCCACAGAGCCGGAGAGGGAAGGGTGTGAATGAGGAAGACATTAGGTGGCCTGGCTGGGTTTCCACACTTGTTTTCCAAACAGGGGCAGGCCAACTGTCTGGAAAGTGGGAGAGAGAGGCCTGGTGGCAGCAGGCCGGCCAGTGGTTTGCACGTGGAGCCCCCGAGAGCACACTGGCCCTGTGGGCACAGGGTGCTCTGTGGGTCCTGGTGCGTCGAAGCCCTGGTCCCAAACTCAGGAGCCGGCTGTCCATCTCAGGCCATGCTGCTGTGTGAGCCTGAGCACATGTGGCTGCACCTCTCTGAGCCCCTGAGAGGTTAAGACTCTTAGCCTGGACGCCACAGGATTGGGGTGTCTGGAGATGTCCACCAGATTTTCTGAATGCAGCACAGCGTTGAATCTGGAGGCTACATCAGGGCCTGGCTGGTACTGGGAGGTCCCATGAAGCCGGTTCCCCAGCTTGTAGCTCAGGAAGGGTTGGGCCATCATTCTCATTCAGGTTTTAATGTGCCCCTAATAATGGGATTTCCTCACCCTCCTGATGGGTGACATACACCCTGTGGTCCCCCCTTCACCCTCCGATCTGGACGCTCCCAGTACCTCAGCCTGCGGTGTGCAGTTCTCAGGAACGGGCCTCGGGAACACGCACCAAGGAGGCCTGTGCTTAGACCTAATGTATTGAGTAAGCAGGAAGTAAATCTGCCATTGCAATGCCCTGCGTTTTGGAGAGTGCCTGAGAATTTTTGCTTCCTCTGAATCACCTCGCCATCCTCTCCTGACCAGGGAGAGAGCATAGTCATCCTTGTTCTGAAAACACAGCCTTATGGAAGCAGGAGGAAACGTGGCCTAAGTGCCCCCGGATGTCCGTGCACATTTCAAGTCAGATCCTGGGCCCCTCCATGTGTTCTTCGTGCTCTCCGTGTCTGGCCAGTGGGGACAGCGGCCCACCCCTTCCCTGCTGCTCCATTCCGCCCTCCATGGCATCAATCTGGGCTGTGTTGTGGGGCCTAATGGACCTGCTCCAGACGCCTACCCTCGCTCCTTGTAATGGTCCTCACAGAGCACAGAGGGAGGGGCCCTGGGAGCCGTCTCCCCCCAGCCTTGTCCTCATGGCACTGGCTTCGACTTCCAGAGCCCCCAACGTGTCTGTGTTGGGAGCAACCGAGGCATCAATCACCGGTGACCTCATCCTCCACTCGATAAAATGTGCATAATGACTCTTTCCCCTCCCAAGCCTCCGCAGGGACCCGGGGCTGATTGCAGCTGCTTACTCCAGGCCAAGCAGGAGGCAGGGGCATACAGAAAGCCAGCACCTGTCAGGCACTGCCCAACGCCATTCCTCTGCCCGGAGCCCGGGCTCCTCCCCAGCCTCTGGCTGTGCTGCGTCCAAGGAGATCTTCCTGGTGCCCTGTCCAAGCAGGTGTCGCCTCGGCATTGTGCACTGCTGCCACTTGTCTGTCCCTTCTTAGCTCTCATGCCCCTACATAGGTACACTTCTCATTAACGGTGTACCTGCTTCTTCTCCACCAAGCATGTTCAGCCCTCGTAAGTGTCCACTGGTATCTGTTGAGTGAATCAACCAAGGAAGGCACCAAGCAGGGAGCAAGACACTCAGTGCACATTGTTTTGTGTGTTCATGACAACATTCCTTAAATAAGTATAATTATCTCCATTTTATAGATGAGAAAAATTAGATTCAGAGAAATTAATATCCCAAAGCTAGAATTTCAAATCTAAATATTGCTCTAAGACATTTTGTCAGCAGACACAGCACAAGAAGAGAATGTTTCTCAAAAGGTCAATCCAGGCCAGCTTAAGGAGCAACTATCCCGTGGGAGGCCAGGGTGGCATTGTGACGATGGACACAATTACCCCCTCCTGTTAACTGCTACAACACCTGTTCTGTGCCTCCCTTTGGCCTTTCCTAGTACAACTTCTCGCTGACTTGTATTCTCATGATTTCTGGTATTTCTCAGTCTCCAGCTAGATCTCAGTTGCTGGGGGGCAGCAGTCTCATCTGAATAATGCTCATATTCCCCAAACTGAAGAAATTTTCCATGCCCCACACGATTCTGTTCTGAGATAATTGTGTGGGTGTGTAGAAGTTTCTTATTGGCATGCCTTAGTCCCCAATAGAATGTGAGCTCCTGGTGGTCAAGAGTCATTTTATTCAGTTATTTTTCTCCTGAATTTAGCATAGGCCTGGCTTGTAGTAAGATATTGATAAGTGGTGGATGGATAGATAAATAAACAGATGAATGGATGGATGGATGGATGGGATGGATGGATAGATGGGTGGATGAATGAATGGATAGATGGGTGGAGAACTGGATGATAGATGAATAGATGGATGGTTGCATAAATAAGTGGGTAGTGGATGGGTGGATTGATTTTTGGGTGGGTGTGTGGATGGATAAGTACATGGATAGATAAATGGATGGATGAATGAACAAAAGAATGAGTGAGTGGATGGATGGATGGATGGATGGGATAAATGGATAGGTAGGTGGATGGATGGGTGGACAAATGGATGGATGGAAAGATGAATGGATAGATGGTTGCATAAATAAATGGGTAGTGGATTGGTGGATTGATGCGTAGATGGGTGGGTGGGTGGATGGATAGGTGGATGGATGCATGAATGGATGAAAGGATGTGTGAATGGGTGGATGGATAGATGAATGGATGGATGAAAGGGATGGGATGGATAGATGATGGGTTGATGGATGGGTGGAAGGATGAATGGACAAATGGATGGATGAATAGATGAATGGATAGATGGTTGCACAAATAAATGGGTAGTGGGTGGGTGGGCTGATGCATGGTGGAGGGATGGATAGATAGGTGAATGGATGGGTGAATGAATGAAAGGATGGGTGAGTGGATGGATGGATGGATAGATGGGTGGGTGGGCAAGTGAGTAGATGCATGGGTGGTAGGTGGATGGACAGGTAAATGAGTGAATGGAAGAGCTGGTGGATGGCTAGATGCATGTACAGGTGGATGTATGAATGATGGGTGGATGAACGGACGAGTAGATGGATGGGTGGTAGGTGGATGGACAGGTAAATGAGTGAATGGAAGAGCTGGTGGATGGCTAGATGCATGTACAGGTGGATGTATGAATGATGGGTGGATGAACGGACGAGTAGATGGATGGGTGGTAGGTGGATGGACAGGTAAATGAGTGAATGGAAGAGCTGGTGGATGGCTAGATGCATGTACAGGTGGATGTATGAATGATGGGTGGATGAAAGGACGAGTAGATGGATGGGTGGTAGGTGGATGGACAGGTAAATGAGTGAATGGAAGAGCTGGTGGATGGCTAGATGCATGTACAGGTGGATGTATGAATGACGGGTGGATGAACAGATGAGTAGGTATGCGGGTGCGTGAGTGGATGGATGGGTAAGTGCATGGATGAGTGGATGAAAGAATGAAAGTCAGGCGTGATCAAGCGTTGACGATTATGGTCTCTTCTAAAGGATTTTTTGAGAGCTGCTTAGGGATGTAAGTATCTGTGAATGTCGCCAGTTATCATCAAGTGGAGAACATTTCCCAGCTGCAGTCAGAGAGAGAAACGACAGTGGAAGAAGGGTCAGAGAGATGCGTTATCGCTGACCTCAGATATGGATAAAGGGGCCACAAGCCAAGAAACGTAGGTGGCCTCTGGACACTGGAAAAGATAAAGAAATGCATTCACCCTTTCAGCCTACAGAAGGAACACAGCCCTGCCCTGAAGACACCTTGATTTTAGCCCAGTGAGCCTGAGCTGGAGTTCTGGCCAACAGAGCTATGAAGTAATCACTGCGTGCTGTCATAAGCCACTAAATGTGTGGCAATTTTCTGTAGCAGAAACAGAAAATTAATATGGGGGATTTGCTGTTTAATAGAGAAGTGGGCAAAGTGCTTGAGGAGTGTCTCTGTATGGAGCCCAGGGAAAGCAGCCTTTCCTCTAAAAGGGCCTGGACCCAGCCTGCTTGGTCAGTGAGTGGAGCCTCCCTGGGAGGCCTGAGCATGGCTCTGTTAGCCTCCTTCGCAGGAGACACACGGCCGTGGGAAGGAAGCTGCCCTGTGTTCACTCGCATCAATGTTCATTGTTCTTCACGGCGGAAATGGGTCTGTCGTTTATGAAGTGGTGCCAGAGCCAGTGGGTGCAGGATCTGCCCAGGAACCAGGGCACTGGGAGCTGGTGCCTTTCTGCCCTGCAGATGGAGAGACCAGGACCAGCAAAACTCATGTGATGTGCCCAGTGTAGAGGGCCCCAGACAGTGACCCCTGTTGGTAGCCCCCAAAGCCTGGACTCCTGGGCATTGCTGGAGTGAGGTTTTCTGCAGTGCAGTCTTATTTCAGAGACACTGGTGCGCTGGCAAGTCGGGGGAAGCCCCCGGCCTGGAGTTGCACGACCTCTGCGCTGATGCTTTGAAAACACTGTTTATCAGGCAGGCTTCCTCCATTCTCCTGTGTAAAGCCAATGTTTCTCATTCCTCATTCCTTACACCTAATATCCGAGTGCTTTCCAAGCAAAAGCATACTCCTGACCATAGGGCATGTGAGACTGAAACAGCTGCTATATTTAACAAAAAAAACACATCCTGTTGCCATGACAACCTGCGTCTAAAATTAGAAACGTCACGTACCACGGGATAGATACCATGAAATGGGCTGCTCCCGTCGCTCTCATCGATTCTCCAGGCTGGGGCTGGGTGCTCCTGGCCCGCACCGCATCCTGCAGTGGATTCGTATCAGAGGGACTCTGTGTGGGTAGACAAAATCTCTCTCCAATTTCCTTAGACCCTGGCCAGCCCTCTGCATGGGAGGCCTCCTGGTGTTCGTGGTTTCCAACGGTTTGTCTGTCAAGCTAGGGTCGCCTCTCAGGAAGCGTGGACAGAGGCATCTGGGAGAGAGGTGGTCAGGGGCCCAGGACCGGAGAGCCAGCCGGGTGTCCTGGTGACACAGCAGTCCCCTCCCTGACCCCACTTCCCACTCTCACATGAGCAGCGCTTTGCTGGCATTTCAGAGGGCTTGGCCCTCAGCACCTTCCCACATCTCAGGATCAACTCTCCAAGCACTGCCCACTCAGGCCTGACCCATGCCACCACACGAGAGGCTGCTCAGGGCCCTGGACCCTTGTGGCTCCCCCTGCCAAGTCCCCGGCCAGGCAGCCTCATGGGCAATCTTCTTGCCTCTCAGACGTGCGTGACTCCTTCCCTCCTCCCATGGCTGCGAGGCACTGCCTGGCTACCCCTCTCTCCTGTCCCCTGGATACCGGCCCTGCCCTCGGAGGAGGTTGCCCGCAAGCCCCGACCCCAGTCTGTCTGCTCCTCCACCACGTGTGCTTCTGAAACGAGCAAGGCTCAGACGCCTAAACCCTGCTTGGCATGCCGCCTTCGCTACCCCGCGAGCTACTTGGTTGAGGTCCTGGGCATCTGGGCCCAGAAGGGAGCTCCCCTGGCTGTGTAGTTGTCACTGTCACTGATATGGTTTAGACCTGTGTCCCCGTCCAAATCTCACGTCGAATTGTAATGCCCGGTGTTGGAGGTGGGGCCTGGTGGGAGGTGATCAGATCATGGGGGTGGAGTTCCCCTGACTTAGCACCGTCCTCTCAGTACTGTTTAGTGGGTGAGTTCTCACGGGTTGTGGTCGTTTAAGAGTGCAGCACCTCCCCGCTGTCTCTCTTGCTCCTGCTTCAGCCACGTGCGACATGCCTGCTTCCCTTTCACCTTCTGCCATGACTGTAAGTTTGCTGAGGCCCCCCAGCCATGCTTCCTGTACAGCCTGCAGAACTATGAGCCAATTAAACCTCTTTTCCTTATGAATTACCTAGTCTCAGGTATTTCTTTACAGCAGCAAAGAACAGACTAATAGAGCCGCAGTAGCGTTGATTGTCTGTGCATGCTTCTGTGAGTTCTAATGCACACAGAGATTTGTGTAACCACCACCACATTCCATCCGCACAACGCCCCCCTGCTGCTCCGTGTAGCCACACCCTCCTGCACCGAAACCCCCGGGCTGCTGACCTATTTACCGTTCCTCCAGTGGTGTCTCTTCAAGAATGGAGCAGAATCAGAGCCCCACAGTGCAGAGCTACCTTCACTCAGCGTGACACCTTGAGACCCACCCCAGGTTGTCGCCTGTATCAAGTTAGTTTGTTTTTATTTCTGGGAAGCGGTCCATGACACGAATGTGCCGTCATTTATTCCACTGTTAGAGGGCATTTGGGCTTTTCCAGTGTTTGGTGATTATGACTAGAGTTGCTATAAACATCCACGTTCAGGTTTTTATTTATCTAGAGAAAATGCCCAGGGGCCCAGACTGCTGAGTCATGTAGTGGTATGTGGCTGACGTTTTAGGGCACAGCCAAGCCACTCTCCAGGAGGCTATCCCCCTTTTGCACTCCCCCCAGCAGCGTCCTCACCTGCACGTGTGCTGTTTTACCAACCGTTCCAATAGGTGTGTTTGGCTGTGCTGGTAGGGCTGTCACCCAGTTTTTAAAGGACAACACTGTCTTTCCACACCTAGTGGAAGCTAATTTCTAGTTAACTCTTTATAAGCAAGAAATTAGCTTCCATTAGGGGTGGAAAGACAGCGCTGTCCTTTAAAAACTGGGTGACAGCTGAAGCGTTAGCTGACCGGGTGCAGTGGCTCATGCCCGTAATCTCAGCACTTTGGGAGGCTGAGGCAGTGGCTCATGCCCGTAATCCCAGCACTTTGGGAGGCTGAGGCAAGCCGATCACCTGAGGTCAGGAGTTTGAAACCAGCCTGGCCAACATGGTGAAACCCCATCTCTACTAAAAATACAAAAATTAGCCGGGCGTGGTGGTGCATGCCTGTAGTCCCAGCTACTCGGGGAGCTGAGGCCAGAGAATCACCTGAATATGGGAGGTAGAGGTTGCAGTGAGCAGAGATCGCATCACTGAACTCCAGACTGGGTGACAGAGTGAGACTCTGTCTCAAAAAAACAAACAAACAAACAAACAAAAAAGAGCCGAGGTTTCCAAGGTCTGTGTTTTGCAGGAGAACTATACAGGCTGCTCTAACACATGCTGCCAGTATTCACTTTACAGTCTTGTGGAGACATTTGCCAGGGTTTACAACAGTAAGTAATGATAAAGCTCACCTGTACCCAGCACTTAGGAGTGGGCTGGCACCTGCACGGCCGCACTGACTCTCCACAGCCCTGTGTGGTGGGCGATGGCACAGCCCTCACTTTGCTGCTGAGAGGCTCTCCTGCCTGGGGACACACAAGCTCAGATGAATTTGCATGAAGCTAATAAGACTGAAGTTCCAGGAGCTCTAATGTGTAGTTCCCGTCCAATGGGAAAAAATTCTTATAAGGAATTTGTAGTTTTTGCCACCTGAAAACCCTCTATCTGTTCAACAAAAGTGAAATTAGTTCAAAATATCAATCCAAAGTATTTAAGAGTATTCACTACCCAAGAAAACATAAAAAGCATTAATATTTTACAGATTGGGTGTGAAAGAAATATGATAGAGATTTTCCTAAATTTGACAAGAATCCTAAAATTTCTCGTCATTACCAATAGTGGGCTGCCAAGTTAAAATGAACTTTTCTAAACTTTCAACAACTGAGATAAAAAAGAGGTCACTCATGCTGAAGGAGACTGGATTATCTTTCCATTTTCTTCATAGAAATGATGTTGTGTACTTGTATGAAGAGACCATCAAGAAGTATACAGATAAACAGTTGGAGAGAAATGTACAACAGGCTGATAATTATTAAATGACTGTTGCTGCTATTTTTCTTCATGTTGTGATGCTTGTAGTGTTTGTCAGCTTTTAAAGTGTCATAATTGGTTGCAATTTTCTTCTGGGCACATGCCCTGATCTCCACCCGCAGGAGAAGCTCCTTCCCGGAGAAGGGAGGTGTCACACTGCGGGGAGGCTGTGCCAGAACTGCTCGCCATGAAAACGGAGGATTCTGCAGCGTCTTCATGTGCTCCTTCCCGGACATGACTTCCACTCTTCCAACCTCATTTACGGGCACATGGTTTGATCGTTATGCCCTGGCCTCCCAGGAGATCATGGTCAGAGTGCAAGACCATGGAAAAACGGTGCTAAACTGAATCTGCTTCTGTTTGGTTTCACTGGTTTATTGCCTACTGTCACCCCTTCCACAAGCAGGTGGCTCTCGCTGTACATGTCACAAGTTATTCACCTGGGCCAGTGAGCCAGGGAGCATGTGCCATGGTTGTTATCCAATGCAGTGTAACAAATCCCAACTCTTGCTGCTAATAACAATGGCAACCTTTATTTTGTTCATGAATCTGCAATTGAAGCAGAGCTGGGTGGGACGGCTCCTCCCCGAGCCGGGGACACCAGCAGGGAGGGTTTACGGGCTGGGTCTGAAGTTGCCTGAATGCTCACTCATGTCGGGTGGCTGATGCTGACTGTGGGCAGGGACCTTGGTGGGACTGTCAGCTAGAGCACTTGGGCTTCCTCACAACATGGTGGCTTGGTTACAAGATCGAGGTCCTGACAGAAAGGAAGTCCAAGAAGAAGCTGTCTCATCTTGCATGTCCTGGCCTTGGAAGTCATATGGTGTCACTTCTGCAGCATTTTATTCAATGAGGTGGCCATCAAGTCTCATGAGTTCCAAGAGCAGAAGAAAGAGATTCGCTTCTTGGGGGGAGTGGTGGCACGTTCTGGATGAGTGTGCTGGACTGGAACAGTGCTGTGGGGAGACCCAGGCTGCCACGTGGTGTGTGTGCCAGGCATTCTAAGATGCCCCAGTGAGGTGATTCATTGTCGGGACACATGCATTAGACACAACTTTCTTTTTGCATGGTGAAGATATCTGGGGGGGTGTTGGTTGGAGCAAGTCAACATTACTTTAAAATTACTTTCTCAGGGAATATCAACCCTGACCCCCGTTCTTACCTCTGAGTGAGGCAGCCCCGCCCAGATGCTGGACTCTGTTGAGAGCCTCAGTTTCCACAGAACACATGGGTCCCACTCACTCCCAACAGCCCGATGTGGAAAGGCATGTGGTTCCAAGACTCACCTCCCACCTGAGTAGCAGAGGTCAGGTATTTGTGGGGGAGCACAGGCTTGCCTGATACCATCAGAGTCCTTGGTTGAGGGATTAGAATTTATGCTGTGTTCCCTGGAGGGCATCCATCCTTCTGCTTTTGCCCCAATAATCTCTCCTTCTCTGTCCATCCTCCAATTCAAGCAGGTGGTCAGCAGCACCAGGCTTATAGCCTCACAGAGGGTCATGACTTAGTCAAAGCAGAAATCTCATCCCCCGCAAGAATTTATGGATTTTGTTTCCAAAAACCCAAGCCCTAGGTTTGAGTGGAAGAGCGAGAATCCGAAGTACAAACTATCTTAGCCAGAAGCATGAAGGGGAAAATACCTTCCAGCAGGTGAGACAGAGCATCTCATAGGCTGGGGGGCTGATGAGGGCAGGGAGCCTTGCAGGTCCTGGAGGAAGGGAGCTTCCACCTGGTGAGGCAGAGCCTGACTGTGGTCACTCTTCTCACCATATCCTGTGGCTCCTGAACCTCCACTAGACTGCCTTCCCAGCGTCCCCGTGGTCAGTCGTGGTCACCTGATGAGACAGATAGCAAAAGTGAAGTGTGCCACCCCAGGACAGGTGAACAAGGCACAGGCCTGCCTTTATGCCTGTGAGAGGCAGCCTCTGAGATACCCAGCAATCCCCACTTCCTGGCATTCACACCCTGTGGGACCCCTCTCCTTGAGTATGGAGGGGACTACACAGAACATTGCAGAAGTAATGGGATGGGACATAAAAAGACAGTGGCTTCTGTTCTGCTCTCACTGTCTTGTCCCAGCACCCTCCCTCTCTCCCTTCCTCCCTTGCTTTAATGAGGCCAGCTGCCATGCTGTGCACTACACCAGGCAGAGGCCCCCCTGGCAAGGGCCTGAGCACAGACTGGAGCCAATGGTCATCCAGAGACAAAGGCTCTAAGTCCAAGAGTCCATGAGGATCTGAATTCTACCAACAACCGTGAATGAGCTTAGACATGGAACCTTCTCCAGTTGAACCTTCGGATAAAACCCAAGCCCTTGCTGAGGGCTTCACTCCATCCTCATCCAAGAATACAAGATGGAGGCACTCAGTTGAGCTGTGCACGGATTTCCAACCCACAGAAACTGTGAGATCATAACGGTTTGTGGTTTGAAGCCATTCAAACCGGTTTGTGCTTCAGAGTTGTGGGGATGATTTGTTCTGTGTCAATAGATAACTGTCCCATGTTTCCCATCTGCCGGCTGAATGCAGCATCCTCCTGGGAGAGGGCAAAAGTGCAGAAGGAAGGCTTCCACGGACCAGGAGCACCTGCTGTGTGGGACAGTCAGGAGGCAACAAAGTCGACTGTGTCGACAGACTGAAATTTGTTGTTGCTGTTCCTGCGTCTATCGCTCCCCTGAGATGGAGTGGCTGTGGGCTGCATCAAGGCAGAAAAGCCTGCATCATGTGGGAATAAATGAGGCTGCATGTGATCAAATACCCGGAAAACAATGGCGTAAACCAGTAAGTGTGTTTTTCTCACCGGGCAGGTGGTTTGGGGGTCAGTGCTGGTTGGTGTCAGCTCAGCAGCTGCACATCCCAGCAGAGGCTCTGTGGCTCTCCCGGCCTTTCTCTCGCCTTTGCGGGATGTCTGCTGCTCCTCCAGGCTTTGTGTCCAGTCTCAAAGGGCAGTGCCAGCTGTTTGGCCATTTCCATGAGGAAAGGAAAAGCTTTCTCAGATGTCCCTGGCAAACTTCCACTATTTCTCCTTGGTCAGAGCGTGTCACTTGGCAGCTCCTGGCTGTTCCCGTGAGTGGAAGGAGTGCCTCCTCAGCTCACTCCCCCTGCTAACTGCAGCATCTGCAGCTTGCTTCATGCACCTTCTTTCTGCTGAGGTTTTATCCTTCTCCTCCAAGCTGCAAAGAAGGGTCTGGCCTGGAAACCTGAATTCCAGCCACGATTCAGCCCTTAGCTTTGTTTGTGGCTTTGGCCACTTGTCTTTATTCTCTGAGCTGTTATGTTCTTCTATACAAGGGATTCCGTTCCAAGGACTAGCTAAATCATTTGGAAATTTTAAGATTCATGGATAAAAGGAGGCCTGGAAAGAAATGGAAAAGAAGCAGAATTCCATTAGGAATGCCCAGCGGTGAAATTGAGAGTGCAATCCCGCTGGCTGAGGGGCTCCTGGAAAGTGGGGCCTGTCAGGTGACAGAGGTGGAGAGAGGGTGGTGCAACGGGAAGGGCTGCATGGCAGGATGAGAAGGTGGCAGCAATGCCAGCGATCAGACGGGCTCTGCAGATTTTGCCCTTAGAGCAACTAGAATTTCTCTTTGGCTGAAAGATGTTTGTAGTGAGGGAGAATCTGCCCGAGGACACTTCTGCTTGTGTGCGTTTCTTTTAGGCATAACATCAGCTCCCAGGGTGCAGGCAGTGCTTTCTCTCCCTAACATGGAGCAGGTGGCCCTTCCTCTGAGGACGGCCTCAGGCACCATCAGACCCGTCAGAGAATCACAGCCTGGCGCCTGCCAAGCACACCGCCACCTCCTGGAACTTGCAGTTCTTGTCTTACTTACAAATGATACCAAATTCCTGGGCAGCCCCCTGTTCTCCACATTTTCTGGATTTGTGCGGCCTGCTTTGCTTTGTACAATGTTTTTGCACACTGTGTCACTTGCCCTTCATGGCAGCTCCTGTGAAGGGTGAGAGCTTCTTCTGGAGACCCTCTGTGACCTGCCCATCGGGGCCCAGTGAAGGAGCCCCATGGATCCTGGGCACAGAGGGCCTGTTGTCCAGCTCACAAGTCAAGAGGCAAGAAAGGAACTCTGCAGCTCCCTGGCATTCTTCCCAGGTCCCCAGCAAGGTCATCCTAGGTGTGCCAAAGTCAGAGCCCACAGAAGTGACCCCACAGGTAAAGTCTGCAGGTATAGCCACCTGCTCTTTGTGATCTGATTGAGTCCAATGGGGACCTCCTCATACACACACGTCCACTGGAGAACATGGGGCCCTCCTATCCAGAGACAGCTGCAGAAAGGCCTTTAGCAAATAGCATATGAAGTTGAGATGCTTCACCGGTCACTTCTTCCTCCTATGCACTGTACTTCCTTCTTAGATGCCCCAGTTGCTAAAAAAAAAGATCCATCCTGTAGGGTTAGGGAGTACCCAGGTGTGGAAATGAAGGACCCTTGGCCCTTTCCACTGCTGCCTGGGGGCAGAGCAGGCCCTGCCATCAACTCAGGCTGCAGCTGCAGGTGCACACGGAAGAGGCTTGAGGTTCACCGGCCTTTCAAGGGTAGGTGGTAACAGACAAAATCTTAGGCTGTGCGAACGTGAGGGACAAAATACATGGCTGCGTGGAAACTAAGATGATCTCACGATCAGAAAAGGGGTCTCCATGCCATGCAGCGGGGCCCCGAGCATCACATGCCACTCACCCAAGCTGGGAAGAAAGTGCAGTGATTAACCCTTTCCTAGATGAGGAAACTGAGTCTCAGGGATGTGGAGTGGCTCAGGAGAATTCATATGTGAGGTTCAGAGCCAGCAGCCTGGCCTGGGACTTCTGAATTTCAAGGGTTGACCTCTTTGCAGGCTCTAGGCCTGGCCATCCTAAGTGGAGAGTGGGGACGGCTGTTCTTCCTGCCCTCCAGCCTGGTGCTGATTCCCCCGAACTGATCTTTCTCCTCCTGGTGTCCTCTTGCTCACCCCTCCTCACTTCTGCAGGCTCCCCAAGAGTCAGGCAGGGCCACAGGCCCATGGGACTTCACAGCATGCCAGGTAACATTCAGCCTTAGCTCTTGACCTGGCCAAAGGGAGGGAGGCCTCTCGAAAGGGTTCTTCTCTCTAGTGAGAAACAGCTGACCAGCATACCCCACCATCACTGCCATGACGGGAGGACTGCCCAGACATGTCTTCCCAGAGCAACGTGGCCAGCTTCCCCTCTCTCTCCCTTTCTGTCTCTGTCTCTCAGCCCCATTCACCCCAAAAGTGCAGACTGGTGAGCTCAGTGACCGATTGTTGTTATTTCAACCAAGTTCAGGCGTCATGTGTTACACAGCAGTAGATGCTCAGAGCACCTTGTCATCCCCACGTGGCAGATTCAAGTTCCTCTAGCACTTACCGAGTGCCTTCTGCATGCCGATTCAGAGCCTTCACACTCTCTTGCCCAGCAGCCCAGGGCAGTCGGTCTCCTTTGGACACGCAGCCTACCCTCGTGGGCAGGGTCGTTTCACACTGCCGCTCATCTCCTGGGATGTGTTTTCAGAGTGTGTCCTTGCAGGCATCCCCATGGGAAGCAGGTTTGAATGGGGGGTGCACAGGGAGGTACCTGGGGAGACAGGTTGAAGCGTCCGCTCCTAGGGAGCTTTGCTTTATCGTCAAGTGTCCTTGGTTTGGGTGAAGGGACAGGATTTCAAAGCAGCCTTTCCCTCCGTCCTGCTCCCTGCCTCTCAGATGAAGATGGCCTGCCAACTGCTGGCCTCTGTAGGTGACCGTCCCAGGGACAGCCGCACCCCATATGGAGCAGAGAGGCTGGAGGCTGGCGGGCCTGTGAGTACCGTGCCACCGAAACATGTTACTGGTGTCCAGATGTCTCTCTCCCCACACATCCTGGAGCTGTTTGAGGGCAGGGCCGTATCAGAGTTGCCTGTGCACTCTCACACCCAGCGCTGTGCCCTGGGGACCTCGCCAGCACCCAGAACCTTTTGTTGGAGAAGCTGGCGGTCATGGTGATGGGAGGTGGAGAGTGTAGTCTGACTCTGGGCCGTGCTTGAGTCCTCACGTCCATGTGCGCTGTGGCCACCTTAGCACAGAAGCACACCCTGCAATTCTAAGTGGGAAAACTTGCGTGTTCTGAGTCATGCTGAGGGCTGCAGGGTTCGAGGGAGGAGGCTCCTTCCCACAAAGGCAGGGGTGCCCTGCAGTGGCCAACTCCTGGCCTCCAGGTGTCCGGCCACCCTGCCTCCCCCTCCTCCCTGGCTTTCCGTCAGTTTCCCATCTGCTCCCGCAGACTCATCTGCTGGGGACAGCCAGTTCAATCGAAAGAAAAGAAAGGCAGATGCTGTAGGTGACATTTTTTTGGCAGTCTCCAGAGAAAACGGGAATCTGGACTCAGGAGAAACGCTGTGTGCAATGGAAGACGCTGGTGCCCACTCACCTGGGTCAGGACTCAGGGAAGCTTGAGGGCCTCCCACGAGACAGCGTGCACTCAGGGGCATGGTGGGGGCTGCGTTGGGACCAGTCTTTCCCCAGGGGCTCAAGGAGGGCATGTCCATATTTTCATATTAGTTTAACTAACTTCATGCTGGCCATTGGCAAAGATAAACCAAAAAAAAAAAATCGAAGATATTGTCAGTGGGGAAGGGAGCTTTCCAGATGAATCAGAATCCATTAATTTTCCCCCATACCTTTGGTGGCTGAATATTCATGTGACACGTGCTTGATAGTGGGGATGAAAATCTGTCCCCACCACACTCGCGTGCCAAGGTGATGTGGCAGGAGTGGTGTCTTCGTCTCCCAGCACAGCCGGTCTCCCTAAGGAGCCCCCGGACTGACTGCAGATCCCGCCCGTGGCATCAATGCCAACCAGCCCATGAGGGAGAAGTTCAGCCTCTCCAACTTGACTCCCTCCCTCTGCTCCTCTGTGTGAAGGTGCCTGTGCCTGCAGGGCTGGGGGAGGTTGGCTTAGGGACCCCACCTGTTCTGGATGAAGCCTGAAGATCCACAGGCCTCTGGGGAGACCCTGGGCAGGGTCCACACCTGACCGCTTTCCTGCATCTCTGCAGGGAGCTGAGGCACGGAGAGCTGCGCTGAGCATCTCCTACCCACTGGCTGCTGTGTTCAGTTTCACGGTTTCACTCTCGGGGCCTCTGTGTCTGCGAGGGAGCTCGGTTAGCAGCTGTACAGGCCTAGGGCTCCCCGCCTGCCTTGCCGCTCCCACAGCAGTGAGCACTCGGTACTGACGCTGGAATGGCAAGCCCTGACACAGAGCCATGTTTCTGGCGGTTATTTGAACCCCAGGGGTTTATTGTAGCAGATGCATTCCGGAAACCACACCTGGAATGGGATGTGAAGCTTCAACACTGCTCCAGGCCTGACGGGCCCGGGCTATGAGGTTGCACCACGGCCACAAGCGCAGCTTTTGGGTGGTGGAGAAGGTGCACTGAGACCAATGCTGTGCTTTAATGGCTCCGGGCACTACCTGGCATAGGGCACCCTCAGCCTGCCGTCACCTACAGCTCGGGAGGCTGGGCGACAGTTCCAGAACAACCACAGGAGTGGTCGCTGCCTGGTGCTCCTCCCAGGGGCAGGAGACCCCTCTCCTGGGCCAACCTCAGGCACCACATGGCCTTCGCTCCTCCTGGGAGTGACTGGCTGGGAGCGGCTTTGGTGCTAACAAGGCCCAGAGTTGCAGAGCACAAGGTTCTCTAGAAATCCCTCTCCCATGTCATGGACTGGGAAACCGAGGCAGGGAAGAGGGAACAGAGGCAGAGCCCCGTGGCTGACCATTTGCTCTGCAAATTCTGAATGCCCAGCAGTGTGATTTTTAAAGCTTTATTGAGGTATAATTTACATGCCATAAAATTCCCCCACCGTGAGCAAGCATACAATTGCATGTTTTTTGGTAAACTTACAGATTTGTGAAGCCATTGCCACACTCCAGTTTTAGAACCTTTTCATCACCTCAAAATCCTCTCGAGTCTGCTTGCTCTCAGCCCCCAATTCTACCCTCAGCCCCAGGCACGCTGGCGTGCGCTCTGTCTCTCCCAGTGGCACTTTTCGTGGACGAGAGGTGAATATCCAAACCTCATCAGGTACCAGGCAAGCATTATGGGCATTTGACCCGCGAGCGCTGGCACCCATGCTCAGAAGGGCTCCATGCTCGGGGTTCAGAGCTCTGCAGTCCTGCCCCTGCAACCTATGGTCACTTTTTCTTTAGTCTATGTTTTGTAAGCACAATCCAATGAGGCCGAACCACATGTTCCAGGCGTGGAGCCTGGGTCCACACACAGTCCTACCTCCCACCTCTTCCCACTGATGTCCTTGGTCCATGCTCCGGACCCCACCCTCTCCTCCCAGGGCCACTGCCCACCTCTCCCAAAGCAGTGACCGAGTCTTGTTAGCAGGGGGTGGCCTGCCTTCCTGAGTCACTCTCCATCCTGGTGGCAGCCTGGGCCCCCTGTGGTGAGGGTCACGGTCAGGTCTGGCATCACGCAGCATCTTGAGTGGAACCAGGAGACAACTGTCTCCCATCCTGGGCTGGACGGTGGCTCGGCAAAGTCAGTCCCTCACACATCCTCGATCCAGGTCCCGCACGTGCCCCGGCTCTGAGGTTTAGCCTGTTGGCTGATGGGGGGAAAGGTGTATGGGGCCTTTGTCGACAGCACATATGCCGGGCTGTGGAGTGGGGCCCAGGGTGCCTGCGAGTGTCTGCACTCCCCAAGCATCGCGCACCACCAAAGGAGCAAGACATTCAACATCAAATAACCCTGTGGCTACTGGCCACCCCCATCTTCACCCTCCCTTTACCTCCCTTTATCCTGCACATCTCAGAGGACAGCTCACTGCACCAGAGCACTTTCGGGACTATGAGGCCGCTCCCATGGCCTTCCTGGCCTCAAGGTCTCCCTGACATCTCTTGACTCTGGGCTCCATCCACCCAGCCAAGTGTTGTTGTTGCTTGTCCCAAACACAAGGTCATTCATGAGAAGATATGTCTTGTGAGTGCTGAGACCTTCACGTGCCCAGCTAGGAAAAGAGAAGAGCAGGCATGAGGAGAGCCTTGTCTTCAGAGCTGAGACCTTCACGTGCCCAGCCAGGAACAAAGAAGAGCAGGCCTGAGGAGAGCCTCATCTTCTCCTTATCGCACCAGGAAATCTTTGAATTCAGATTTCTAATATCAGATGACAATGAATCCAGGTTCATGTTTAAAACAAATATCTCTTACTATGGGCCGTTTTCATGAACTTGGGGCTTGGAAAGGCTGCAGACACTGTTGGCAGGCAAAGACCATGAAGAAGGTGAGTGGGTGAGGGCCAGGCCGAGGCTCCCAACACAGCCTGTGGGCAGACGGACGTAAAGCTAGGAAGCCTCCAGTTTATGTAGCGGAAAGTACATATCCATCCCTCCCCCAAACACAATAAGCTGACATCCATTTCCTAAGGGCTGCTGAGTTCTGCCAAGCAGCAAATAAATCACCCACAACACCAGCGACGGGACAGGGAAGGAATCTGAAACCGCAGGTGCAGTGGCCTTGGTGCCAGGAGACATCGCTGTCTGCCGCGGGCAGGGGACTCCATGCCATGAACACCCCTGCCAGCTGGGGCTGGGCTCTGCAGAGGTCTTGCCCAGGTAGGGGCCCTTGCATAGCCCCTCGGAGCTGCCCCGCCAGAGTGAGGCACAGAGGCAGGGGCAGAGTGCAGGGTCTCGGTTGACACCTGCCATCATCAGGGTTTGGACAGACAGCATGCCGGGTCATCGCCAGGCCGGCCAGAAGATGCATTTGATTACTGGTCACCGCAACACTGTCCATGTCACTCCAAGAGACCCAGTCAACGGTGGAGGGTGAGCATGGTAAATGGCCTTTTGCAATCACTTGCTCCGGCCATCTCAGACACAAAACCCAGAGTCAGCATCTTCCCATGACACCCTGGCCCTGGCATTCGCAGTGAGGCAGCAGATGTTACAATCCAGTTAGAGATGGCCTTGGTGGTCTCACTCAATTCAGGTCCCGCCCAAAGATAGCCTGGAGCAGAACTGCCCCCTCCAGGAAGGGAGCTGAGCCATCGGCCTCTGAGGGACTGAGAGCAGGGGGCCAGGGCTCCCTGCCACCTGGGCTTCCTGGGTCATATCGCTGGGTCCCTCAGGGTCACAGCAGCAGAGGTAGGATGACAAAAACCCCTCTGCAGCTGCCTTCAGACAGAGGCCAGAGCTCAGAGCTCACCACCCCTGCCCCCACACCCATCCAGGAGTCTCAGGTGGAAGCTGTTCTCTCTCACTTGACAGGTGTTGGGAGGCTCAGATTCCCCTGCAGGTGGAAAAGTGCTTTTTCAGTCTCCAGCCCCACCTGTGAGCACTGACCTCATCAGCATTTCCCGGTGCTATAAATAGACCTGAAACACAATGAAGGGATCCAGTTTAGCGAAAACGGCCGTGGACCTTATGTCACCTGAAAAATGCTTTGGTAGGGCAAATGCTGTTCTGAACTCTGTCCACTTTATAAGTGTGGACGCCGCCATGACCCTCTCCTAGAGCGCACATTTGAAGAGTGGGTCCAGAAAAATAGATCCAGATTGCCTGCTGGATCTAAATTTTAGACACATTTTGACTGGCTGAGCATTATTTTTTAGAGTGTAGATAGTACATATTTAATAATCTAGAAATCCTGGTTTCTCTTGATAAACAAGAAGGTCTGGCCACAAAGGGCTCAGTGTTCCCCAGGACAATAAGCTGGGTTCACACGACTCTTAGGTGCTCTTTGGGTGGGGACTGTGTACTGCTAGTCCCTGCCGACTGGGCCACATCCAGTTGTTGACACCAATTGGCCATACCATTTTCGTCAACATCCCCTGAGAAGTGGTTGTGAGCCTGCAGGACTTAGTTAACTGCAGGTGTAAAATGGGACATGAACTCCTGGAACTACCTTTTTCATAAAAATATATTATTAAGATATAAGTTTTCACAGTTTCTAAAAACAGCTGATCTTTTGTGGCTGTAAAGTAGGACCCACACAACTACATATGACTTCATGTTATTGATTAAATCTATGAGAGATTGATCACAAACATTCAACTGCATTAATCTATATTAGAAATTTGAGAACTACGCCCTCCCCAAGCAGTTTTCAGAACCTGGCTGCCCCCATACCAAAGGGCCCAGATCATAATGTCTGCAGTGAGGGGCTTGGCCAACTGGTGTCAACAATTGGATGTGGCCCAGTCAGCAGGGACTGGCAGTACACAGTCCCCACCCAAAGAGCCGTGTGAACCCAGCTTATTGTCCTGGGGAACATTGAACCTAATGTGGCCAGCTCTTCTGGTTTATCAAGAGAAACCAGGATTTCTAGATTATTGAATGTATTAAATCAATCTGAACTCTAAAAAATAATGCTCAGTCAGTCAAAATGTGTCTAAAATTTAGTTCCAGCAGGCAATCTGCCTGTCTGTGACTCTATAGAAATCATACAACCAAGACCCCTAGGCTTCCTGCTGCATCCTGCACCCTGGTCCCCTGAGGGAGCTTCATGCTGACTGTCCCCTCCTCTCTTACTCTGTGGCTTATTCCCCTGTACACTTTCCAGAACCCCATGAACCTGCACGGATCAGACAATCTCCAGATTGTCTTCTCCAGATGGTCAGGAGGGACAGAAGGATCAAACCATCCCTGACTGCTGGGGAATTCACAGGCTGCCTCCAGAAACAACGATACCTGGGTCTTCTAGAAGTAGTCAAGAGAATGTCATTTCACAAATGCAGGGTAAACCAAAAATACTGCTTTGTTAGTGTAATTGGTAGGAGTGAGAGAGCAACATTTTTCCTATTGAATAATGTCATTTGCAGGGCTCAAGGAAATCACAGTCAGAGTGTGAGCCCTGCAGTTGGACTGTCTGAGTTTAAAGCTCCTCCATGAAGCTTACTAGTTATATGAACAAATCTGTGTCTCAAGTTTATTTACCAGTAAAATGGAGACAATATTAATATTTATCATATCATTGTTAGGAGGACAAATTGGCACATGTCAAGTTTTTAGAACACTGTCAATGAAACCCTCAATCAAGTTTGTTTACCATAATCATTATTGTTATTTCTAGACACCACTCCTCCTTTGCAAGTCCCCAGGAGTACCCAGGGACAACAGCAAAGGAACATTTCATTTGCTGGGTTCTGGTTTCATCTGCCCAGCTGCAGGGCATACTGGTGAAAGGACTTGTGCCAACCTAGCATCCTGGCTCATACCACATCTCAAACTGGGTCATGACATCTTACCCCATCTCACAGGGAAAGTGAGGGGCAGGTAATCAAAGGGAGACGAGTGTCCCAGAGCCCACCAAAAGAAAGCCTGGAGAGGTAGCCCTGAGTATCCCCCTCCCACTGCAGAAAACAGTGACCCCATGGTCCCACTGCACAGACCCAGGAATGGGTCTTTTTCCCCCAAAATGTCCTCTGCACAGTTCCATGCTACTGTCCTGGTCCAGACTGACAATGCAGGGAGGGGACAGGAGACAGTTGGCAGCTAAGGAGGGAGCACCACCAGCCTCAGGTGCACGGAGCTGAAAACCTGCCCACCAGAACCACCCAGTCAGTCACCAAGCCCCTCAAGCCACATTTTCCAGCCCTGAGCATTGGAGTGGTCATGTGACTCATTCTAGCCATTGGAGTATGAGCAGAGGTCATGACCACCATACCAAGCCTGGCCCATAGTCACCTCTCTCTCCACCAAAGCATCTCTTCTCCATCCTCCCTCCTCCTTTCCTCCCTCCTCCTCTCCTCCTTCCACTGCTGGCTGGATGTCCATGCTCAGGGAGACCTCGGAAGCCAGGGGTTCAAGACGGCAGCATCTACATCTGTGCCTGGAGCTCGGCCACCACTGACTGGACTTCATGGGAGCAAGAATCACATCTCATTGCGTTGAGCGGTTGAGGTTTCTAGGTTTATCTATCACAGCAGCTTGCATCCCACTGTCTGGTAGAGCAGGGCTGCCTCTGTCCTGCAGGTACATCCCCAACTGCCCCAACCTTGTGTGGAGTTGGCTTAATATCCCAGTGCTGAGCCCAGTGGTGAAGGGTGTGGACTTCAGGGTTGGACTGGCTGCATCCAACCCCACTCTGCCACTGCTACTCTGTGCCTTAGTTTTCCTGTCTGTAAAATGAGGATCAGAGTATTTCCTCCTTGCATAACAGTCATTGGAAGGATGAAATGAGTTAAACCCTGCAATGTGTTTACGGCTGTGTGGGGCCAGTAGTAAGTGCTAGGCAGGGCCTTCCTGACAGCATATTTCATTTGTAGAGACGAGAAGCCTCCGCACCAGCCATAGCTGTCACCATGACACAGTCTCGGTTCTTTATGTTTCCCATTAGTAATTTCCCTCACTCAAAGCCCATTTGCTCAACTTAACAGGAAGTGTCCACTGAGCTGGGAGGTCATTGCTGGCCCAGCCCTGCCAGGCTACAGCGTGGGCTCCACCCCTGCCAAGACTCCTACCTTTAAGTTCAGATATTGATCAAAGATGTAGCCTCTGCATTGAGGCAGCTGCCAGCTCCAGCCCGAGCCACAGGCTCATCAGACAAGAGGATCCCTACCCTACTGGTGAGGTCCTTTAGGGCCCTTAGACACCTTTTCTATCAAGACATCAAGCCAGAGTTATCACAGGCGATCAGAGAAGATGAAAAACTATTAAACATGGAGCAAAGGAGGCTGGAGTCTCAACTTGCCTCCCAGGGCTATAGGGACAGTGGTTTCTAGCAGGCATCAGAGCTTCCCTTTGTAACAGGTGTTTCCTCGCCCTAAGCGTGAATGGCTGACAGGAGCCATCCACGCTTTCAGGTTAAAGTCAAGGACACATCTCCCGATGGATGCTCCATACAGCCCTGACCCGGGAGTCTGGCAGACTGTGTTTGCATTAATGCCTCTTCCAGGACCCCCGGGACAGGAAGAGGCGCTGGCATGGAAGGAGGGCATGACTGTCACAGAGTCTCCAACGGGGAAGTCCTTGCAGGAATTTAAAATGAGGGCCTTGCCTGGAGAAGGGGCCAGGCTGAAAGCAAGACTTGGAGTCCTCAAAGGAACAATGATGCCTGAAGCTCCAAGTGTAGGCTTGTTTGCTGTGGGCATCCGAAGGCTCCTGCAGCAGAGCTGGGCTGTGACCCCAGGGCTGAGCCAGGATGCTGTCACAGGTGGGATGGTGTCGAGGGGGGACAGGGCTAAGACTCTGTCCCTAAGGCTTGCACATGAATGGCCCGATGGTGTTGAAGGTTGGCTAGCCGATGCAGACCTTGGCTTTCTTGTCCAGCCTAAGTAATCAGTGTTAGTTTCCTGGGGCCAGTATAGATAAGTACCACAAACCAGGGAGTCTTTAAAACAGTAGAAATGGATTTATTTACAGTTCTGGGGGACACAAGGCAGAAATGAAGGTATCTCCAACGTTAGTTCTTCCAGAAGCTCTGGGGGACCTGTGCCATGCCTCTCTCTCTGGCTCCTGGTGGCTGCTGATATTCCCTGGTTTGTGGACACATTGCCCCGGTCTCTGCCCCCATGTCACATCTGTGTCTGTGTCCCTCTTGTCCTTATGAGGACACTGGTTATTAGATTCAGGACCCACCTGAAATCTAGGAGGACTCGATCTCAAGATCCTTAACTAATTACATCTGCAAAGACCCTGTTTCCAAATAAGGTCACATTCTGAGGTGCTAGGAGGACATGATTTTGGGATCTAGGAGGTGAACAGAGTACTGTTCACCTCGCTAGTGACTTGGGGTCCTCAGGAGAGATTCTAGGCTGCTGCAGAAGTTTGGCACAATGAAGGTGCTGGCTTTGGAAGATTAGTTCTGTCGTAGTGGGGAGCCAAGGTTGGGATGGATGGGTCACCCGTGGAACTGGAAGCAGGGAGAGAAGAGGAGGCTGGGTGTGAGGTGCCAGAGACTGACCCAACATAGAAGCAGAGGGAAGGGGGAGGAGGAAACCTCCCAGAGGGCAGGAGGCTGTGCCTGGGACCCTTGGAACACCAGAGCCAAGACCAGTGAGTCTTGGGTTTTGGGTGTGCCACGCACAGAACCGGATGGGAAAACGGGGAAAGTTGGAAGCCAGCGTGAGCTCTGATGTGGGTGAGAAAAGAAGGGAAAGGTGACAGAACAAGGAACAGAGGGTGAGACCTGCGTTCTGGGTCCAGAGCTGATATTCCTACTATTTCAGTTTTCTCAGCTGTTCATGAAGGGAGTCGTCCCCGTTCCTTCTACCTCCATCTCCCAAGAAGCACCTGAATGCTGTCATCCAGCTGCCCTGAAAAGAGAGGACCCCTCTTCGGAAGCTCCCAGCCCAAGAAAAGAGACTGGGTTTCCTGCATGAGCAGAAGGGAAAACCTGCTTTTGGAAGAGCTGTTGGACCCGTCAGCCACATGACTCTGAAGCCGTGTTGCCCTTTGGAGGCAGCGGGAAGGACGTGACACGGAGGCTCCCTGGAACGTGTGTAGGTGCAGAGCCACACCAGCTTCTCTGACAGCACGCTAAAACTGTGCAGAACAGACTCATCTGTCTCATTTCTTGACCCAAAACCACAAAGCCCATCTTGAAATAGACACTGTGTGAATAAAGCCAGAAAGTCGAATTCCCAGGAGAGTGTGCATTTCCTTGAGCCGCCGTCACGGGGCAGCACGGAAAACCCGTTGCTGCTCCATAAACAGCACGTGGCTCCCATTACCCTTTGATTCCTACACAAAAAGATTATGAGAAAGCGCTGGTATGTGGGAAATGGCAGCTTTCTAGATCTCGAACATTAGCCTTGTTAATTTTTCAGAAATGCACGGGGGGCTGTGACAATGGGGAAGCGACCGCAGATATGCTTTACTGCAGCTCAGCTCTTCCCCAGTTTTAAATGCCACCAGAGCCTCAGCCTTCATGTTTATCGCAGACCACGGCTCTTTCATCATAGGAGGGCATTTTTCTTTATTGCACTGTGGTTGACACGTTTGCGTGCAGCTTGATTTAAATGTCCTAGTAAAATCCTAAAAGATGAGACAAAAAATCAGGGCAGGCAGCCGAGGTGAGGCCCCTGGTATCAGCTGGGTTATAGTTCCATGGTTTTAAGGGGGCCCTGGATCCATTTCCCTTCAGTCCAGCCTTCCCTGAGCTGGAATGCTCAGCGACATGAATTGGCCACAGTAGCAGAGGTGGCAGGGGTGCCTGCTGACTTCCCCAGGAGCCGGCAGACAGCCCAGAGGCCCCACGCCTGCCGCTGCCCCATCCCATCATGACCTTCCTGTTATTCTTATGCCTTCAGAGTTTGGAAAGAATAAAATTGCTGTGAGATTCACTTACATAAGAGACAATACCCTGTCAGTCCTTGGTTCTAGCAGGGAGAACGAGACACCCAGGGCACAAAGGAAAGACGGTGAATCACAGAGCCACCACCCGAGGCCAGTGGGACCAGGCGCCCACCCAGGGAGGGATCCCGCGGGGTCAGGACCGCCAGCGAGCAGTGGGCTGCAGCCCAGAGTCCGGCTCAAGCCTTCCTTGCTGAGTGACGTGGGGTCTCATTTCTTCTCAAGAGAATTCAGTTCCTCTCCTCTGTTACCACGTTTTCCATTTCATTGTCTTTCCATCTGACTTTCTGGAAGATTTCGTCAACTTTCTCCACCAAGACTTCTACCGCAGCTGGCTGTTGTTCTGTCTCAGTCTTGGCAAGCGCATCTTTCCAGGGGCTGTTCTTGCTCTCACCTGCGTCCTCGCACGGCACCCTGTTCTGGGTCCGGGAAGGCTCCACCCTCCTGTTCCACAGAGGATGGGAATTCTGGCTTTTTAAGGGTTTTCTTCCTGCTCCGTGTGTTGTGTTCATTTCCTGCAGGGTCAGCTATGTATTTTTCTGCCTCTCTTTCCTTTCTGTAGTGGATTTTCTCAAATACAGGCATGGACAACCCGGGATCACCGGGTATTTTGAAGAATGAAGCAAAGGAAATGCCAGTTGGGGCACAGAGGGGACTGGTGAATGCCAGAAAGAGGACCTCGGGGACACCTTTGCTCGGGGACATCAACAGCCATACATACGGGCTGCTTGGGGGTCTCCCTGTTCATTCCATAAATATCAATCTGCAGGCACAGCATCCTCAACGACGCATTTAATTTCTTTATGGAATAGCTGCCCCCTTCTTGTCTGGCTGGGGGAGATCAAAGTCTGACTGGTGGGAGTTCTGTGTCCCTGGGCAAGGGCAGGTTGGGGATGGAGACAAGTCTATGAGGAGCCGGGCTCAGCCCCCTCCCCAGCCCACGCTGCCCTGCCTGAGGCCACGCCTGCTTGCTGGGGGCTCCACATTGATTCCCTTTTGCTGTCTTGATGCCATGCGAGGTGAGGAGAGAAGCCTGGTGCCCCTAGCCCGGCTGCCTTCGTCAGCTTCCTCCTGGTCTCAGCTGTGCATCCAGAAGTCCTAGGGAGCGTTTTTGGTTCTCATTCAGGCCAGAGGAACTTCCGCCTGCACTCGGGAGAGGTGGGAGCAAACGGGAAGCATGCACTGGGTGGAAGAAGGTGGGTACGCCCGCCCACCCCGGCCCACCCTGGCCTGAGTCTCCTCTTGGGAGCTGAGACCCCCCCGCCCCATCCAGGGTCTGTGCCACCCCAGTGGGTGGGTGCTCTTCAAGCATTGCTAGGACTGAGGTTCAAATCCAAGCTAGGGTCCTGAGAGCATGGAACCCGGGGAATGCCAAGGCATCTCTGGGCCTCAGTTTCCTGAGTTTAAGTTGAGGTTGAGGACAGCAGTGAGAGGATGATGTGCTTGGAGGCCTTTCTGGGGTGTCCAGCTCTGAGCGAATACTTACTGAACAAATGAATGAGGGAGTAGCTCCTGTCGTGCTGCTGAGCTGGCCCAGGGTGAGCTTGGAGCAGTCCAGGTGCTTCTGTAGGTGGTTTCCATGCACTTCTGTGGATGGGTTTACACGGATTAAGTTCAAAACCTTCAAGGCAGCTAACAGATGCCCTAGATCTGCTGGGAGCCTGGGAAAGAGGAGGCTGCCTGGGCGACAAACATGAGCTTGACAGGCTTCGTGAGCCTTGAGGGGTGCCACGCTGGAACTGGGGCTGGCCCCAGAGAGCCACCATCGGCAGGGCTCAAGCTGCCCTGGGAGGGAAGCTATGACCTCGCCACTCCCAGGAGCGGAGCCCGGGCCCAGAGGAGAGCAGGAATTGCTCCTAAGGTCCTGGTGCCATGGAGGGAAGACCTGGATTTGGACTCAAGCCCCCTGGCCCCAGGGCCCAAGCTCCTACTGACTAGACTGGACAAGCAGCCCCACTTCCGCTCCAAACCCGGTGATCTGGGGCAAGCCATGCCCCTCCCGGGCCTCAGATTCCTGGTGCAGGAACAGGCAGGTGTGGGGCTGCTCCATCCTCATGGGACTGACAGCGGGATTCAGTGATCCTGGGGTTTGGTGCAGCACTCGGCACAAAGCAGGCTGTGATGGGTCACGCCTGCTGCCTAGGGGGTGACCTGAGAAGGCCTGGACCCTGCCTGGGCCCAGGAGTGGAGGTGAAACCCAGGCAGCTCCCCAGCCTCCCGCCAGCATCCCCTCGGGGCCTGGGAACAGCACTGCGAGCCGGCCGCACCTGTGCTGGAAATCGCCCTCAGGCTGCCGAGTAATTAGTTCCACGGTTGGATGCAGGCCCGTGCTGTGACTTGAAGTCAGTCGGCGTGGAACACATTTCCCATGTCGAGGCTGGGCCTGACCACCCTTCTCACGGTAAAGGAGGAAGAAAATTGCTTCTTTGATGGCATTTGTGATAGGCTGGAAAGCGCACAGTGGAGTGAGCCAGGAGGCGCTGGCTGGGTTCCCACACTGGCCGCCGTCAGCACCCATCTTGGGAGGGAAAAAGGAGGGACCACCTCGTGTCCCCACGTCCCTGTGCTCCAACCCCAGCCCTCCAACCCCTGTGGCATGGTGCTAGAAGGTCAGGGTGGTGGGGTCTTGATGTCCCAGGGGCAAGTTATCAAACCCGGCCTTTATGGCAGGCACTGAGGTGACAGGACAGGTGGAACCCTCACAGCGGACAGATGCAGGAGGGGGTGTCTCTGTGTGCCCGAGGGCCTGCATCCCTGTGCCCAAGGGACTCATCCACAGCACATGGTGTTGGGCTGAGTCTGTGCCATCTGCCTGGGGCTGTGCAGTGGGAGGTAGCAAAGGCGGGTTCCAACCAGGTCTACCCAACCCGCCCATCCCTTCTGGGGCCCAGCCACCAGGCCCTGCCCTGGCCACACACAGCATCCATGTCAGCTGGGATCTTGGGGTGAAGACCCCCAGGAGGCAGCACCCCTGCCCCAGGCTTGCTTTCCTGGAACGGCTGAAGCTGACTCCTGTGGATGATCTCAGCAACACCCCCAGACCTCACACCAAGCAGCCTGTGTGCTGCACCCACCCTTTCTTGGAGCCCTTCTCTGAGTTCATGCCGTCTTTAGGCCAAGTGCAGACAAGAGAAAAAGCTCATCGGCCTCGCACTGGCCAGTTCTGCTCGCGGCCTTGCCTCCTGGGTCCTTCTCTCTGACCTCTTCCTGGTGGTCTGGAGGCAGCAGCTAACTCCTTGTGCCCCTCACACAACCCCTCAGACACTGCTTCTGTGGCCCCCAGATCAGCTCCACCACAGGGTCGCCCACACCCCACCCCTGTCGATGCTGGAACAACAGATGCCCTGGACCACGTGTGGCCCTGTGTACCACAGGCGGGGGGTCTGGCCAGCAGAACGTGGGCGCCCATGGACAGAATCCTCCCCTCCGCTCTGTGGCACTTCTCAGGGGACAGTCTCTCCCAGGAGGCTGAGCAACCCTTGTACTCACCGGGGCCCAGCTCCATCACCTGCCTGACTGTGGCTCCCTCCCTCCCTGCATCCCAGGCCTGCCCTCCTCTCTCAGAGTTAGCACCAAAGCCTGACGCTCAGGTTCAGCTTTCTGGAGGGCTCAGGCTTTCCCCCTTGACAGAGAGTCCAAATGCCAAGTAGCCCAGCAGAGGGGCTCTCTGGAATTAACACCAAGGCTTACAGCTTCTCCCATAGGGAAGGGAGTCCACTCTCAGCTAATTCCAACCAAGTGGTAAGGAGGAGACGCCAGTGCCTGCAAAGACCCCTGAAAGGTGGTGGGTTCTGAGGCCACACTGGTGATGGGGAAGGGGGATCACCCGGAATAGTGAGCATGCTCACGTTTGCCTTTTCTCTCCCCACAGGAGCAGGGGCTGGGGCTCAGCTGTGGCCGGACACCCACCACGTGCCCATGGGATGCTTCCAGGTCCCCTTCTAGACCAGCAGAAGCCCAGGACACCTGACCGCCACTGGACAAGCACATGGGGTGGGTGCCATGAGGCCAAGTGGGGGCCCAAGATCAGGGGGGTCCCTTGTCAAAAGCCAGGTGGACACCTTTCCAGACGTGTGTGTATGACAGGGTCGGGTCGGAGGCAATGACCATGGTAGGATCACAAGGCAGGCATGGGGGTGATAGCCACTCACCCGAGAGTGTTGTCAGAAATAATCACGGCTATTAGGACGATGTGTTAATTCAACACACAGCTTTGAGTGTCTGCTATGTGCGGGAAACCGACTGTTCTACGTGCTGGGGATAGAGCAGGGAAAAGACCTTTGTGAAGCGGCTGGAACTGTGCTGAGAGTTTCACATGCACGAATTCTCCCAGTGCCCAGATGAAGTGAGGCAGCGCTGGGTGCTGTCTTAGAGTGGACACACCAAGGCCTGGCAGGGTCCCTGTGACTGTGACGTGGCAGGACTCGGACCCCTGCCCAGATCTGCCTGTGTCCAAATCCCCTCTTCATCTCTTGGTTCTGCTGGAGATGCCTGTGGCCATCTTAGTTCTTTGGGCTGAAATGACAAAATACCAAAAACTGGGTGTGTTATTAACAACAAATATTTACTTCTCATGGTTCTGGAGGCTGGGAAGTCCAAGATCAAGCTGCCAACAGGCTGTATGTCTGCTGAGAGCTGCTTCTTGGTTCTTAGATGATGCCTTCTCCCTGTGTCCTCAAATGGTCAAGGGGCAAGGGAGATCTCTGTGGCTTCTTTTATAAGGGCACTGATCCCATTCGGGATGGATCTGCCCCCATGACTTTATCACCTTCCCAAGGCCCCACATCCTAACAGAATCACATTGGGGATTAGGCTTGAACACACGAATTTGGGGGACACAAACATTCAGGCCATTGCAGTTGCTTTTCCTAAGCCTCCAAAACATCCCTCCTCGCACTTTCTGGATGCCTGTCCTGGGTCAGGCTGGCAGAGGCTGTCGCTGGGCATCCCAAGGAGAAAAGCAAAGGGGCTGGTCATGGGGAGGGGGGTGTCCTGGGGTCAGAACAGCAGGAGGCACACATGCACAGAACAGGTGGTCTGATCTGGAAGAATACCTCAAACACTTGCCTCTCTATTCCACACCTTTCAGACAATGATCACTAACATGCCCCCTTCAGGGATAGCACCAGCTCTTACATCTAAAGGAGGTACAGTGCTCAGGTGCGAGCAGGAAGGACCTCAGTCCTCCAGTGCGGATGCTGCTGCCCCTGCTGGGCACTGGCCGAGCCAAACAGTTGGGCCATGACCCAAAGCCTCGTGGTCTGTGAGATGCCCAGTGGCAGGATGCTGCCATGCAGGGGAAACATAGGAAATAATAAGGAAAGTATATGTGCGTTGAATTGTGTCCCCCCAACAAAATAATTTCAAATCCTTATCCCTAGTACCTGTGAATGTGACCTTATTTGGAAACAGGTTCTCTAAAGATGTTATCAAGTTGAGATAAGGTCATCCTGGAGTAGGGTGGGCCATAAATCCAATAGCATGGATATTTGCATATAGAGACAAGGAGAAAACACACACAGGAAAGAAATCCATGTAAAGATAAAGGCAGAAGTTAGAGGGGTCCATCTACAAGCCAAGGAACACCAAGGGCTGCTGCCATGGTAGGAGCCATAGAGGGGAGAAAGGAATGCACCCTCACAGCCTCCAGAAGAATCCAGCCCTGCTGACACCTCAGTCTCAGACTTCTGGCCTCATGAACTGTGAGAGATACAATTTCTGTTGTTTTACGTGCTCCAATTTGTGATAAGCTGTTAGGGCAGCTCTAGAAACAAATACACATTTGCAGGGAAGTGCAAGCCGAGTGGGCCCCACTGCAGAGCATCATGGGTCAGAGACTTCTGCTTTGGTGGCTTTGCCGGCTTTGCCATTGTTGAATACAGGTAATCAATTTATCATTTGATAAAACTTTTTAACTTTGCAGTGAATCCTTTCAGTACAATAAGCTTTAAAAAGTACAAAATTAAAAATGTTGCTGTTTTTAACACAAAATTCTATGCCATTTATTTCTCAGTGATGATGAATATGTGTAAGCTGCATGAAATGTTTATTGACATGGACCATTCACTGTGGAGCCATGGTGATAATCCTGAACTTATAAAAAGTAGAAGACACAAATTTGCTGAAAATGTACCAGCATCTACTTTAAAAAGTTAGTTGTTATTCATAAAAAACTGTGACCAAAAATCATAATGTAACACATGCAGATACAGAAGGCACATTTACATATATTCTATGAAGCATGACTTTTTATTTAGATCAATTCATTCTTGTTCTAAATTAATTTTGCTCACTTCAAATTCTAAGCATCCGTGTGCACACATGAAGAATGAGGCCCTAGCTGCTCACGTGTGGGTTCCAGTAACAGAAGAAGGGCTTCACAGACCTTCTGAGAGGCCAGCTCTTCAATTACTCAACCAGCACCATGAGATGCTGTGAACAGCAAACCCACTACGTTAATTCCAATAAAGGATTCCAATTTTCAAAATTTAATTTATGGAATCAAAGCAGGGCCTTGAGAAATTTATCCTCTTGGAAGTGAAACATCGGATATTATTGTAGATGCAGTTCAGTCAAACAATTCAACATTGAGATAAAGTTAGTTGTTTTGCAGTGATAATACAAATACAAAGTTTGGTGGAGTACAGCACTATGGTAAGTTTCTTGCTAAACTAAGAAGCCTCAGGACATGTCTTAGTCCATTTTGTGCTGCTATTACAGAACATGTGGACTGGGTAATTTTTAGAGAACAGGGATTTATTTCTTATAGTTCTAGAGGCTGGGAGATCCAAGGGACCGGCATCTGTTGAGGGCCTTCTTGCTACATCATCCCTTAGTGGAAACTGAAGAGCAAAAGAGCGTATGAGAGAGAGAGAGAAGGGGAGAGGGTCAAACTCATCCTTTCATCAGGTGCCCACTCTCTTAATAAGAGCATTAATTCATTCATGAGGGCAATGCCCTTGTGATGTAACCTAGCACATGAACTTTGGGGAACACATTCAAACCACAGCAGGATGGAAACCAGGAGTTGGTTGTGGTGCAAATAGAATCCACAATTTTGTCAAACAAGGTATGATAGTCTACCAACTGAAATAGATGTCACAGCCATCAAGTTTTTGAATTATGTATATTTATATATATCATTTTATGCATGTGTAAATTTGTGTGTGTGTGTGTGTGTGTGGAGAGAGAGAGAGACAGAGAGCGAGTCAGTCCTCCATATCTTCATATCTTCGAATGTGGAACCTGCAGATATAGAGGTCTGACTATAAAGGACTTGAGTACCCTTGAATTTTGGTATCTACCAGAGACAGAGGGGCTAGAACCAATCCCCTGTGGACACTGAGGAATGTCCATATATGTATGTATGTATGCATGTATGCATTTATTTAAGGCTCTCCAAAGAAACAGAAGCAACAGTAGATAGATAGATAGATAGATAGATAGACAGACAGATAGATAGATAGGGGTGTGTGTGTGTGTGTGTATGTGTGTGTGTGTGTGTATGTGTGTGTGTGTGTGTGTAGAGAGAGAGATTTATTATGGAATTGGCTCAAGTGATTATGGAGGCTGAGAAGCATTACAATCTGTGTCTGCAAGCTGCAGACACAGGAAAGTTGTGGATTTAATTTATTTTGAGAAAGAAGTCCTGAGAACTAGGGTACTGATGTTAACATCTCCAGGGGCAGAAGAAGATTAAATGAGTTTTCCCAGATCAAGCATTGAGGCAGGAAGATAGGGGCAAATTTCTCCTTCCTCCACCTTTTGTTCTATTCAGGCTCTCGACAGATTGGATAATGCCCACCCACACTGGGGAGGGAAATCTACTTTACTGAATTCACCAACTCAAATGCTAATCCAATCTGGACACACCCTCAGACACACCCAGAAACAATGGTTAATCCGGACACCCTGTGGCCCATTCAAACTGACACTATAGACACACACACACACACACACACACACACACACACACGGAATGATTGAACTATAAATGTTTTATGGTTACACTGATGTTGTATAAATATACATATCATGGAAATAAATCTCTCCCCTTATTACCTATCATAAATTTAATTTTAGGAATATGTGAGTTCTGTAAATCAACCTAAATATCCTGCAATGCTATCAATGATATATTATAAAAAACATTTTGAAATCTTTGCTTAAAATGTTAACTAATTGGAGTGTCAAAGGACTTAAGCAAGTACAATTATTGAAAACAAAGCCATAATTGGAAGGCATTGAAACTTAACTAACTAAAAGAAAGAAAAAGACTTTAGTTTCAATCATGATGAAGTAGCTTCTATTTCTCTGATTCTCCTGCCAGTAACAATCATAAAAGCTAAAAAAATTGTTTTTCTAATTAACTAATTTAAGATACTGAGAAGAAACTGGAAGGGATATAATTATTGAAATATGGGAGAGTAAAGTGGAAATGTCAAACTCTTCGGAGGAAAAGCATGCCTTCCTCTATAATTTTTTACCCACAGACAAGAAAATCAGACTCACTGGTGATTCAGATATCAGAGTTAGCAGATAAGGTTTTAAAAATAACTATGATTAATATGTTAAGTGCCAGGGAGAGATATACAAAATGGAAGACAGAGAATTTCAACAGGGATTAAAATCTATAAAAGAAGTCAAACAGACATTCTAGAGCAGAAAAAAACACAATATCCAAAATCAGAAAGCCATTCAATGGATTTAAAAATAGCCTGGACACTGCTGAAAACAGAGTTGGTAGACTTGAAGATAAGTTAATAGAAAATATCCGAGATAAAACAGAGAAATAAAAGAAAAAAGGTAAAGAGCCAAACAGAACATGAAAGATGTGGAATAATAGTAGATGGTCTAGTGGAAGCCAGATAATAATGCAATGATATTTTTAAATAAAGGGGTGGAGGGGGGATCCTGCCAACCTAGAAATCTATATTCAGAAAAAAAATTCAAAAATGAAGGTAAAAATAACAACACTTTCAGACAAACAAAGGCAAAGAGAATGAATTGCCATCAGACCATACGTCAAGAAACAGTAAAGGAAATTCTTCAGATTGCAGGAACACAATTCTAACTGGAAATTGGAATTGCAAAAGGAACACAGAGCTGGAGAAAGATAAAATATGTGTACAAATATGAGAGATGTTAATTGTGCAAAGCAACAATAGCAACTATGTTTGCCAAGCTTGTAAAACACATGATATGGTTTGGCTGTGTCCCTACCCAAATCTCATCTTGAATTGTGGCTCCCATAATCCCCACATGCCATGGGAGGGACCCGGTGGGAGGTAATTGAATCATGGGGGCGGGTTTTCCCATGCTGTTCTCCTGACAGTGAGTAAGTCTCATGAGATCTGATGGTTTTATAAAAGGCAATTCCCCTGCACATGCTCTCTAGCCTGCCACCATGTAAGACATGCCCTTGCTCCTCCTTCACCTTCCACCATGATTGTAAGGCCTCCCCAGCCATGTGGAACTGTAAGTTCATTAAACCTCTTTTTCTTTATAAATTACCCAGTCTCGGGTATTTCTTCATAGCAGTATGAAAATGGGCTAATACAATACATAGTAGCAAAAGGACAGAAGGGAATGAATGGAATTACATTCCTGTAAGATTCTTCTTTTGTCAGATCTGGTACCAAGAAGCAGATGTTTTTTTAAAAACTGAGACTTGCAGAGATGTATTGGGGATACACCTGTGAAAGACACAGGGGAGGACAAGGGGGTTGGGTGCGTAGAATCTTCAGACCATCATGCTGGTCTGACACCTGTGAAAGAAGAGAGGAGAGGAGGAAGGACTGGACAGGAAGAGCCTCAGACTGTGGTCTCAGCCAGTTTGCAAGGGAGCCCCAGCAAAGATTGTCTGTCAAAGGAACCCTGTTGGCAGGAACAAGCTAGCATTGCACTCCTACCATGCTCCATGATTGACTGAGAACAGCCCGGGGAGGGGAACAAAGCCTTGGCATGACACTATGGTGTGTCTGCAGGTGCACAGCTAGAACCTATCCACCAGCTACTTTCCTGACAGTGGGTTCTCTGAGCACCCTGAGAACCCTCAGAGCACCACGGCCATCACACTTGTGTTACTCTGAGTGTAATAAAAGCAGTACTTCCAGGTAGATCTAGTAAATCAAGGATGCTTACTGCAATCTCTAGGCAACATCTAAAAGAAAAATACAAAAATGCACATTTAAATGTCCAACAAAATTCAATAACTACAATAGCACTTTATTAATTAAAAAAAGGAAGAGAACAAAACAGATGGGACAAATGGAAAGCAAATAGTTAGACTTTATTGGTAATTGTGTTAAATGTAAATGGAATAAAATTAAAGAAGAAATCGAACACATTAACTTGGTGAAAGCTCTAGCCATGTATGAGCTTTAATTTTCAAATTGTATGGCTTTGCTTTAGTATATCTCAATTTGTGGGAAAAATCTTTCGAGGGAGCACCTATTTTTAATTGGATAAATTTATACTCTGTACCAGAATGGAATTAAATTGAGAAGTCTTACAGTTTTGCATGATCTAAATATGGTGAGAGATTCAAAAGAACCATAAATAGACACAATTTATTTGACAAGTTTTATCCTATCTTTGCCAAAAAAAATGTACTCTGAATGGAGGCATAAAGATAGTATCTATGGAAACATTTGGCCTGAAATATTTACACACTTATATATGAGAAATAGAATTAAGATTATCCTCCACTTAGCAGAAATTCTGCTGCACTTACTTGATACCTCAGCACGGTTAGAGAGAATGTTTTCTCTAACATACGATGGGCAGCAGAGAAGAGTCCATTGAAGGTGTCTATCATTTTAAATTTATTAATGATAAAGCAAAAATTTAAAGAAGATTGTAATTTTATGAAGAGATTAAAAAGATGAGAGATAAACTATGAATTTCATGAAAAGAGAAATGGCTAAGTAGCAGATTCAAATATAGTATATGAATATATATCAAGAATAATCTGTTTGGCTATTTTTTCAGTGTTCAGATATCCAATATAAAGATTATTTTGCTTTGATGAACATGAAAATACATTATTTTTAATAGGAATGTTATTTTTGAAATTTATTTATTCACGGAGCTATTTTATGGATTCAGTAATGTAATGTAATCAATTTGCTGGTTAATAAATACATATTTCAAACATTACATATTTTTATCATTTCTACTGTCCTCTTTACGCTGAGGACTGTCCTGTTTGAACAGTGGTTACTGTGCCTTATGTCCCTGGAGACCCAGCAACCAAAGCTCCATGGGCCACTGGAATGGCAGAGGCAGATGTAGATGAGCTGACCTCATCTACATCTACACGGGCAGTGTCACCATGGCGAGGCTGCCCATCTCAGCCACAGCACCACGTCATTAGAAAAAGCAATTAGAAATGAAGTCAGGGTGACTGAGGCAGGTCTGCCCCATGCACATCGGCAGGCTGGAATAAGATCCCTTCTTGGAAAGCTCTGGTCATGATGCAGGATTGCACCCACTCCAGCCCCCAAGAGTGTTTCTGCAATTGGAAAGGCCAGTGTGGCCAGGCAGGATGACAGGGTGTCATGAAGGTTGCTGCGGTTGCAGCCAGAAAGCACCACAGTGACATATGGGATCTTGCCTGTAAGCTCTACAAGATTTACTAGATCTTGTTTCTTTATTATCAAAACCCAGCACCTCAAGGTATTTATAAAGAAGGCAAGTCAAAGGTAAAGAGATGCATTACCAAGAATCTGTGATTCCAGAGGTCAAAGTTCATCTTATCACTCACAAGTTCCTCTATTATTTGAAAAGGTTACTCACCCTACTTGGAATATCAAGCAGCAGTTGATTGGGTTTACAGCATTTTCTACCTTTACCCTTTGCAAACTGTCTGGATGCAAATGTCAAGATTGAAATGCCCAATAACTTGGATCTCTGGATCCAACAAACAAGAACGTAGTGCGATATTTTTAAATTCTGACTTGAATTAAAGTGATGGATGGGTCCTCTTAGCATGAACATGTGGTTATCCTTTCTCCCTTCACTTTCCCTTTCTAATAAATATCTCCAGCGTTGGGGAAGAGGAAAAACACCTTGATATTACCTACTGCTCCCATGAGTAGTCATTGGCTATGCTAGCTTGTATTTATTCTATATCAACAGAGCCACTGTTGTTAAAAATAGCCTGAGGAAATCAGTTAAGATCTAAGCATTCACGTGACTGAAAAGCCAAGGATCAGGCCATCGAGCTACTTTAATTTAGTTGCTGTGCTTGAATTTTCATGTTGTAAAAGTGTTATTGGTAGGTTGGTTCAGGTTCTTGAGTTTGTCACAAAAAGAATTTGAGAGCAAGTTCAAAGTAAGAGTAGGCAAAGAAGTTTATTGCAAAGCAAAGGTACACTCTGAGAGGCAGGGTGGACCTCTCAAAGGGAGAGACAGCAGCCAGTGCCTTAAGAGGAATTCCCCTTATGGGAGCTGTGTATGAATATTCATAAAACACTGGTGAGGTCAGGTGTGCAAAGGCGGACCTGCGGCTAGCGCATGTGCTCAGAATCTACATGATCTAACACGTATTCCATGCATAATTAGCATATGAAATCTCCACCTGTGGATGTGTTTGGACTACTAAAATGAAGAAAAGGTCACTATAAGCTAAACCTTGAGCCTAGCACATGAGGGACCCTGGAGAAGTCCCTGGCCACCCCCCACAAGGCAAGAATTTATAGCTAATAGCTTCTTGGGCTTTTGGTGGTGATTGGCTGGAGATTGAGGAAGCTACATCAGGAAAAAGGGGTTTTGTTCTCTTTCCTGGGCCAGGGATCAGGAACAGGTAACCATCTGGCAGGCGGCTGGTATCCTGCAAGAGCGCTTACCTTGCAAAAGAGTCAGGTGCTGATGCATGAAGGTGCAGGGAAGAGTCTTCCAGGCTTCCCACAGGGAGACCCGTCAGTATGGCCTCCTACCCTTACTCCTGCCTCATTAGTCGTGTTGGGAATTTAACCCCACAGGGTTCCTGCTGAAACCACTTGAGGCTAGATCTCTGTGTCCTCAGTGCCTAGGGACACGGACGTTGGAGGGAATACTTGATGTCCAGCACGAGGATGGCCTCAGGAGAGCAGGATTACCTCCTGGGGGTGTGCCACAGCCAGCCTCTGTGTGGTCTTTGTCCCATGGCACCAGGCCACATTTCTCTAGGGCTTCCAAGTCTTGGACAGGTCGATTTTTTTCTAAAAGAGAAAGTCATTGTTGTATTTTTGGAATTTCAACAGTTGTAGACATTAAGGACAGTGGAGTATGTAAAATTGCACCTGCAGGCCCCTGGCCCTGGAGCACAGTGTGAAAGGCAGGTCTGAGATTCAGAGACTGGGCCCCTCACCAGGCTCAATTCTCAGAGCAGCGCTTTCTCACCCCGCCCCAGATCCTGGGGGCAGCGCCACAAGGCCCAGACTGAAATTCACTTTATCTGTGAGCAGCAGGAAGCTGTGAGCCTCCGTTTCCTGGCCTGGAAAGTGAAGGAGTGGAACAGGGTGACCTCTGAAGTCCTTCCCAGGAGGCAGCGTCGTGGGAAGTCCAGGAGGTGGGGGACAGGTTCACTCAGCAGTGCCCACCCCCACTTTCTCACTTTGGGAGGCAGAACCAAGGAATCAGGGGGTCTGGCCAGGCCTCAAGTGCGCCGGATGCAGGAGAGAACAATGATAAAAGAAAAGAACATCCTGGAGAAGGGGAGAAAGAGAACGCAGAGCAAGCATCTAACAACGTGTCTCTCAAACACAGGCTCCAAAGAGCAGACCAGTGCCCTCCAGGCTGATGGCAAGACCTGAGGGTGGGATTGTGCCCCACCATCTTTGCTGCTTCTTGGCACCCAGCACCCTGCCAGCATCTTATTTTATAAACATCCCCTTACATTCTTAAGGGAGACTATTAAAACCTGAAGTTCACGGAAGTTGGACCAGGGCAGTCACAGGCTCAGGGACTGCTGGACATGAAGGGGACAGGGAAGCACCGAGCACTCTTCCTCCCGGGCATGGAGCCCTCCAGGCCCCGCTGACTCCTGCTGAAGCTCCACCAACCACCCGCAGACGGGGACTCCGAAGCTATTACCCACGACCAGCACTTGGCACACATTGTCACTGAGATGACTGACACACGGCTCAGGCAGCTCGTAGGTTCTGTTGAATGCCCACTCCCCAGGGGAGAAGGGCAGCGTTTCAGGTCATCCCCAGGCTGGCCTGCAGAGCGTGTGAGCTATGAGGCAGAATTCGAACAGACTGTGGGCCAGCAAGTGTTCACTGTTAATTCTGTGGTTTCTCTTCGGTAAGAATTCTCTACCATATAATCCCACCTAGTATCATTCTGTTTCCTCATGCATAGTAGGGGAGGATACAGTGTGGATGTTTTTTTAAAAAGCACGAGGCCCCAGGAGGCAGCCTGGACACCCACTCACACTCGCCGACTGCTCCCTTCATGGATGAAGAGGAAGCTGAGAGCCGCAGATGGAAGCTTCCTCCTCCCGTGTGCAGCGTTCTGCATACTGGAGGCAGAGGACCTGGACTGACAGCTATGAGGACCTGGACTGACAGCTATGAGGACCTGGACTGAGCAGCTATGAGCACCTGGACTGACAGCTGTGAGGACCTGGACTAAACGGCTATGAGGACCTGGACTAAACGGCTATGAGGACCTGGACTGAACAGCTATGAGCACCTGACTGAGCAGCTATGAGGACCTGGACTGAGCAGCTATGAGGACCTGGACTGAGCAGCTATGAGGACCTGGAATGAGCAGCTATGAGCACCTGGACTGAGCAGCTATGAGGACCTGGACTGAGCAGCTATGAACCTTGAGCAGGGAATGTCTCTGTGCCTCAGTTTCCTTACTTGTAAAACAAGGAAGTGGAACCAGAGCCCCCCCCATTCTTGCTCATGCACTCCCACGGTCCTGGACAATACTGAGCAATCTACAGATATCAACGTAGCATAATTTGAGCCTCCTTGTTTTTCTAAAATGGGAAGATTTTAACTGAGAAGCAGCCTTTTCAAGAATACCATAGTTACTCTATTGCATACTGGAACTCCAGCTGCATTCTATTACATCAGTATTATATAATACCTCTTTCTCTCTTAAAAAAAAATAAAAAAAGTCCTGTAAAGAGCAGAACTAAAGTATTACAGAGAACAACAAGAGGCATTTTTCACGATTAGCCACTTAATTCGAAGGATTAGGACTCAAGCATAATACCGCACAGGAAGGGAGCATTGCATAATTAAAAACTCTTTTATAAACTGCAGCATTAAAACTGCCATGGCCAGTGAGCTTGGGAGTGTTTCCATGGTGGAGTGCTATTATCGGCCTAAGATGCTTCTCAGAAATGCAATTCCAAGTTCATAAACCCAGCGAGGACCCGCACTCCCAATTCCAGGCAGTTTTTGAAGCACTGTGGAAAATCCGGTGACGTAGGATGTGCCCGTTCCCCCAGCAGGGGTGGCTGCCATGCTGTTGACAGGGATGGGTGTGGACGCAGAGAGAGCCCAGGCAGACGAGGTGGGGAGCACGGGTGAGCAATGGGGCTGCCATGGAATTAAAGCATGCGGCTCTAGGGGCCCCAGGAAGCCAGGAGGACAGAAGCCCAACCACCCGAAACAGAGGAGGAGGAGTGAGGCCATCAGGTGCTAAGGGGGTCACTGGAGCCCCTAGGACATGGCCTCTGACTGCACGCCCAGACCTTTCAGCATGCCCACATGCTCCTGCAGCCAGGGCCTCGGCAGCTTGCCTTCCCATCCCCTGCAGCAGCAGGTCCAGTCCTGCCTCGTCTCCCTCGCAAGAGGGCTCAGGGCTGCTGCGTGGAAGGAAACGAATTGTCCCTGCAACAGTCTCTCACCCAGGAAAACCCCACACAGCACACAGCTCGGGAGTTGGTCCTTGGATGTTGGGGATGAGCTTCCCTCCCAGCCCCTTCTGCCTTCCCAGGAAGCAAGCCCAGGGGCGGCATCTGGACTCCTCTCTGTCCCCCATGCTCCTGCCTGGTGCACGTGCCTTGTCTGAAAGGAGAGTCTGAGAGCAGGGACCTTGTGCTTGGCTCCACTCAGTGCCTCCTGCTTTCCCACAGGACGGGGCCTTGCTGCCTGCAGGTGCCCTCATCCACGTCGTCCACATCATCCACATTGTCCGTGTCTGGCCTGGGCTGTCTCCCAGTGCCCGAGCTGACCCTCGTGGGCTCGTATGGACTACAGGGTTAGTGACTTTAAAAAAAAAAAAAATCAAGTTAGCCTAACTCACAAGTCCAAGCAAACAAATAAGGAAACAAGGCCCCTTGCCAGGGGTCCTAATGCGGCCGGAGTCTATCCCAGCAGGTCAAGCCCCTGCACTGCTGGCATCCCATGGTGAGTGGCAGGGCCCTCAGGGACAGGGAGGGGCCAGTGCTGTTCACATCTGCCCCCACCACAGCACGCTGCGCATGCCTGGCCAGGTCTTCGTGAGAGCAGTGGGAGTCTGCAGCTGCTCCTCGGCCCACCCAGGCCCTGCAGGGTCACCGCCAACATACGCATCCTCCCATCCCTCTGCTGCCCGCTCCAGGCTGGGCTCCACTTTATCCTGACATTGCTGCCTTATACCCGCACAGTGCTGGGACAGAATGACATCATCTCTTCTCTAGACCATGCTTTTAATAAGGAGTTTCCTAGAATATCTGCACTTACATAACCATAACCCCAAAAATGGGCCTGGCCTCTTTTATTTTTCTAAATAAACTCTTTTATTGAAGTTTAACTTCCCTACAGAAAAGTGCCAAATCACCAGGGTACAGCATGCTGGATTTTCACAGCACCTGTCTCACCGCCTCCAGACAAACAGGCAGGGTGTTACTGGTACTCCTGGGCCTCCTGGGGCTGGAGCCCTCCCCAGCCTCCACCTGGCCCCTTCTCCCCACGGTACGCATCCCACTGATTTGAAGTTTGTATGAATTTGAACATTCGAAGTTTGTATGAATGTGAACATTCGAAGTTTGTATAAAGTTTGCATGAATTTGAAGATATGAAGTTTGTATGAATTTGAAGATTGGAGGTTTGTATGAACTTGAAGATTTGAAGTTTGTATGGAGATTTGAAGTTTGTATGAAGTTGGTATGAATCTGAAGATTTAAAGTTTGCATGAAGTTTGTATGAATGTGAAGATTTGAAGTTTGTATGAACTTGAAGATTTAAAGTTTGCATGAAGTTTGTATGAATGTGAAGATTTGAAGTTTGCATGAATGGAAAGATGTGGCATATATTCTCCTGGCCTGACATCTTTTACTCACCATTGCACCTGTAAGAGTCATGCCTGGGAGTGCATGCATGCTGTGAGTGCACTCATTGCTATTGCTGATTGGGACTGAATTGGATGCCACAATGCATTCATCCTGCTATTCAGGGATGTCTCATCCTTGTGCCCAGGTTTGGGTATGTGTGCATGGCTTCTGGCTTCTGGCTGGGATGGGGATCCATTGGTGGGATGGGGAGCGTGCACGCTAGGGTATAGCAATGCCCTGACTGGCCTCCAACATAGCTGTGCCACCATAGGCTCCCCCAGCAGGCAAGGGTCCGCTGCCCCACAACTGGCCAGCCCTGGCCAGCGCAGGCTGCTGTCTTTGAGCCTTTCCACCATGCTGTGGCCTTCATGTGTGTTTCTCTGACATCTGGCCAGGCTGAGCACCTCGATGTCCACTGGCCAGCTGTGTGGCCTCTTTCATCCACAGCCTGTTAGGTCTCTTGCTTATCTCCCATTCGGCTTTCTGACGTTTCCTCATTGATGTCCAGGAGTCCTTCCATACTCTGGGATGAGTCATGGGTTATGTGGATGGCAAGGACACTCTGTCCTTTAAAATTACTGTTTTATTGTTTTTCCATTTTTCCTCAATGTCGTTTGTATCTTTTTCTCTCCTTCAGCTTATACAGTATTAATTTTCTTTTGTGAATTTTTTCCTTCCTATAAACTCCTTAATCGTACATTTCTTCACTCTTCTTTTAGAGGTTATCTTAGGCTTAGAGATTTTCAAAATGTATCCTTCACTTATAAAATATGTATATTCATATAGTATATATTTACATACAAATTTATAAGATCTAGTTTTATTATGTACATTTTACATAACATACAGTAAAATTTTATGAGTTTATATAATAAAAATAAAACTCCAAAATAATTTTAATACACTGCAAGGGCCTAAGAATATTTAGATTCCATTTACTTCTATGCTACTGTTGCTACTATGCTACCGTATTTTAGTTCTACATTTATTTTAAATCTCACAGAACATGATTTTTGTTGTCCTAAACACTAAATATTCACTTAGATTGGCCCATGTAGGTTTACCTTTTTTCTCGTTATTCCTTCATTTCAAAGATTCCACCTAGGATCGTTTTCCCTCTACAAGAAGAATCCCCTTGTACTGGCCGGGCACAGTGGCTCACGCCTGTAATCCCTGCACTTTGGGAGGCCGAGGTGGGTGGATCACTTGAAGTCAGGAGTTTGAGATCAGCCTGGCCAACACTGGGAAACCCCGTCTCTAGTAAAAATACAAAAATTAGCCAGGTGTGGTGGGGCACACCTGTAATCCCAGCTACTCGAGAGGCTGAGACAGGAGAATCTCTTGTACCCAGGAGGCAGAGGTTGCAGTGAGCCGAGATCATGCCACTGCACTCCAGCCTGGGTAACAGAGTGAGACTCAGTCTCAAAAAAATAATAATTAATTAATTATAAATAAATAAATGAATAAATAAATAATCCCCTTTAGGTCTGTGTTTTAGTTGCAAATTTTCTCAGACTTTATATGAAAACATCTATTTTACCTTTAGGTTTAGAAGATATTTTCACTGGGCATAGAATTCTGAGTTGGCAATTATTTTCTTTTAGCACTTGAAATACATCATTCAATTGTCTCCTGACTTCTACTTTTTTCTGTTGAGGAAGTAGCTGTCGGGTTTATTTCTTTGTAAATAATGTATCTATCTTTCCCAGATCCAACCCCAGTTTCTTTTTTTCTCTCAATTTTTATTGTGGTAAGATACACATAACATAAAATTTTCCACAATAATCATTTTTAAGTGTACAATTCCATGGTATTAAATATATTCCGAATGTGTACAACCATCATCACCATCGTCTCCAGAAACTTTCCATTTTCCCAAACTGAAACTCTGTCCCCATTAAACACTCCCTCCCCATCCCTCTTCCCCTAGCCCCTGGCAAACCCCATTCCACTTTCTTTAATACTTTTTTCAAGTACTTTGAATACCTTTTTCAAATACTTTCATGCAGCCTTTGTCTTTTTGTGATGGGTTCGTTTCACTTAGCACAGTGTCCTCAAGATTCATCCATGTTGTAGCATGTGTTAGAATTTCCTTCCTCTTGGAGGTGGGGGGTCAGCCCCCTGCCCGGCCAGCCGCCCCGTCCGGGAGGGAGGTCGGGGGTCAGCCCCCCGCCCAGCCAGCCGCCCCATCCAGGAGGGAGGTGGGGGGTCAGCCCCCCACCTGGCCAGCCCCCCTCATCCGGGAGGGAGGTTGGGGGTCAGCCCCCACCCGGCCAGCCACCCCGTCCGGGAGGGAGGTGGGGGGGTCAGCCCCCGCCCGGCCAGCTGCCCCTTCCGGGAGGTGGGGGGCGCCTCTTCCCGGCCACCCCTACTGGGAAGTGAGAAGCCCCTCTGCCCAGCCACCACCCCATCTGGGAGGTGTACCCAACAGCTCATTGAGAATGGGCCATGATGACAATGGCGGTTTTGTGGAATAGAAAAGGGGGAAAGGTGGGGAAAAGATTGAGAAATCGGATGGTTGCTGTGTCTGTGTAGAGAGAAGTAGATATGGGAGACTTTTCGTTTCATTCTGTACTAAGAAAAATTCTTCTGCCTTGGGATCCTGTTGATCTATGACCTTACCCCCAACCCCGTGCTCTCTGAAACATGTGCTGTGTCCACTCAGGGTTAAATGGATTAAGGGCGGTGCAAGATGTGCTTTGTTAAACAGATGCTTGAAGGCAGCATGCTCGTTAATAGTCATCACCACTCCCTAATCTCAAGTACCCAGGGACACAAACACTGCGGAAGGCCGCAAGGTCGTCTGCCTAGGAAAACCAGAGACCTTTGTTCACTTGTTTATCTGCTGACCTTCCCTCTACTATTGTCCTATGACCCTGCCAAATCCCCCTCTGCGAGAAACACCCAAGAATGATCAATAAAAAAAAAAAAAAAAAAAAAAAAAAAAGAATTTCCTTCCTCTTTAAGGCTAAATAACATTGCATTTATATGTATACTACATTTTGCCTATCCACTCATCTATTGATGAATACCTGAGTTCATTCCACATTTTAGCAATTGTGAATAATATTGCTATGAAAATCAATCTTCAAATATCTTTTTGAGACTCTGCTTTCAGTTCTTTTGGGAGTATACCCATAAATAGAATTTCTGGATCATATGGTAAAAGTATTTTTAATGCTTTGAGGAATCACGGTATTGTTTTGGGTAGTGGCTGCACCATTTGACATTCCCACCGACAGTACACAAGGGTTCCAATTTCTCCACCTCTTTCAGCAAACTTATTTTCTTTTTTTTTTTTTGTAGTTGCTATCGTAATGGGTATGAGATGACCCAACTTTCCTTTAATATTTTCTTTTTGTCCTTGGTTTTCAGTAGTTTTCCTACAATATGCCTAGCTGTGGCTTTCTTTTTATTCATTCTACTTGGAGTTTGTAACTTTGCTGGTTCTGTGGCTTGATGCACGTAGTGTTTTAGAAAATGCCCAGCCAGCATATCCTCAACATTTCTATATGCTCTGTCCTATTCTCTCTTTTCCTCTCTCTCTCTCTCTCTCTGACTCCAACCGCGTATACATTAGGCTTTTATTTTTCCCATCTCCCACGTGCTTTTTATGTTCTTATACTGTACATATCATCCTTTTGCCTCTTGGTCCCTCATTTTGGCTGTTTTCTATTGACTCACCTTCTAGCTCATTAATATGCTCTTTTGTCATGTCTGATTTGCTTTTAAATCCATTTGATGACTTCTTAATTTAATTCTATTTTCCATTTGAATTTTTCAAAATTTTCAGCTCTTTATTGAAATTTTTTGTGTTGCCAGCTATTTTTAAGCATATTCATGAGCTATTCTAAAGTCCATAGTAACTTCTGTATCTGTATCTTCTTTGGATCTCTTTCTATCCTCTGTTTTTCCCCACTGGTGTTTGGTCATTTGCTGTTGTCTCTAGCATGTCTGGTAATCTTGATTGAACAGTTGATAATGTGTATAAATATTTGAGGCAAATCAAAGTTTGAGGTTTTTACTTATCTTCCTCCAAAGAGGATTTATTTTTGCTTCTGGTAACTAGTTAAGGGGAAGGGGAAGCTCACTTAGCCCCACCTGGAAGTGAGGTGTTTGGTCATTGAGAAGGCTGACTATTGACTTCAGGTGAAGACTGGAATTTCTGCTAGGCCATACTCTCTGATGGGAGTTTCATTCCATTTGCTGTCCTCCAAGCCCCATGATGTGGCTGACACTTCTCAGGCTCTCAGCTGGGGCAATTTGCTCAACTTACCAGTTGTTTGGGCCAAAGATTATGAATGTCTCCACGTAGGAAGAAGAGATAAATGTTGGACTCATTTCTCTTTGTTTTTCTTCTCTCCAGGATCCTGACCCCTGGACTATTCTTTGCCTTGGTAGTCCTCTGGTGCCTTTAAACCAATTTTTAAGATACATTTAATCTAGATTTTTAGGATTTGTTAGTGACAATGGTTAACATAGTTCACCATTATAAAAAATGGATGCCTTCCCTTAGACATTTTAATACAGGTGAGTGAGAGAAATGAACTTCATTTTTTCTTCCTTTCCTCTCAAATTAGTGGAGTCCTAGACCATGAATGGCATCTGTTGGCCACTCATAAAAAGCCCACTCTATGCAAGGTACTAGAGGTGAAGTACATGATTCATTCCTGGCCTGTTCCCTGTGGGGCGTTGGGATGATCAGGAAGAGGGGTAAATGCTTTCCAACAATTTAAAGACAGTTTTAGATGGCATCATTTTGTCCTGTTAAAAAGGAAACAATAAATCAAATTATAGTCAACAGCAAAAAAATCCAAATGGTAATCTAAGCGCTGAGCCTGGTTCCTGCCACACAGCGGGCACTCAGTTACTTATTATTGTTTTTGGCTTCTTGAAGCACCTTCCTGGTCCTCTGAAGAGGTTCATATTTTTGTCTTTGTATTTTTATCTTTGGAAGTTCTCTGAAAGGTTCTCCGAAAGGTTGGGACTTGCATTTATTTCAACCCATTCTACAGACAGCCACAGAGAGCTGAAATGTGAGCTTTAACCCAGAACAAAGACAGCGCAGAGTGCACATGTCCCAAATCCTCCTTTGCACTCCCCACTTGGAAAAGAGCCATAAGAAACCGATTTATCCAGAACCCTGAGAGTTCCACTGGACCCAGGCCTTCTTTCTTTGCTCTCCCTCTCATCTTGAAATCTAGCAATGACTACACAAAATGAAATATGCAGGAATGTTCCTTTCGCAGATATATTTCAAAGAATAATTATAGAAAAGGGAAATCTACAGATTGAAAGAGACTTTAAAAACATCCATCAATCACACTGTGTCAACCTTATTTGGATTCTGACTCAAACAAACAAAATGTAAGAAAGACAAATTGACATTTATGAGGCCATTGAAAACTTGAACACTGATGATATTTGATATTAAATGTTTTTGAAATAGTAAGGACATAACCATTATCTTGCCTAAAAACACGAGCCTTTACCTTTTAGAAATACATGCAGAAACATGTACAAAAGATATTTTATAATGCCTTGGGTTTATTTCTTAAAAAATATGAGGAAAGGGGAAGTGTGAGGGAATTTATGTATTTATTTATTTATTTTTTGAGAGAGGTTCTCTCTCTGTTGCCCAGGCTGGAGTGTAATGGCACAATCTTGGCTCACTGCACCCTCCACCTCTCGGGTTCAAATGATTCTTTTGCCTCAGCCTCCTGAGTAGCTGGGATTACAGGCACCCGCCACCTCACCCAGCTAGTTTTTGTATTTTTAATAGAGACAGGGTTTCACCATATTGGCCAGGCTGAGAGAATTTAGATGTAAAAATATGTATATTGATTTAGGACAGTACTTGAAGCTGGGTGTTAGGTACATGAAAATACACTGTAGCATTCTACATGTTCTTTATATGTTTAAAATTCTCCATAAGAAGAAGTTGAAAATATGCCGAGAATAAATAAGCATGTTGAAGACTTCTTTGAATTGACTCCTGCTTGGCCTCATTTTCTCTTTTTTCATTCCTGAAATTTCCTAAGTAAACGGTTAACTTCTGTACTAACTCTCCATGGTGAGCCGTGCATTTGCTGGTGCTGCCTCAGATCATCAAAGTCCTCATTTAATTCGTCTCTTTTCTCATTAGGAAAATGAGCCCCCCTTCTCCACGGGTTCCCCAACACCTCAGAAGTCCAGGAAGACACAGTGATGATTCATACATTTTGCCAAAGAGGGATGATTTCATGAAATCTCCAAATGATCACGATAACATCCCAGCCATTAGGGATACTAAGCCAGCCACCGAAATTGGCAGAGAAGCCCTCATCTTTGAGAGGAGTAGGAAGCAACACATATACTCTATGTCCAGAATTAGAATCCATACTGGCATGCTGTTCCTATACATCAACCCGAACCCCAGCCCCCAACCCCACTCACTGGAGGCAGAATGGTGTGGGTTCAGCCTCAGCTCAGATGCTCACTAGCCAGAAGACCAGAAAGCACCTACCTCCCTAAGCACCAACCTCTTCATCTAGAACATGAAAGTCACATCCTTCTCCTGCCTCTGTCCCCAAAGTGAGCTAAGCTCAGAAGAGCCAAGCCCAGGAAAGTATTTAGAAAATGGATCCATTGAACAGCTCTTCCATTGCAGGTCAGATTCTTCAATGAATTCTTTAATTGAACCATTTGTTAACTAATATCATGTGTTGGCTTTTGGTTTTACTATGTTTTAGTACAAATATCCAGGGACAAACTCTTCAGCTGACTACATCTGATGACTAAATTGTTCAATTGCTTCTGTAATTTTCTCTATCCTGGTGATGACATCTTGAGAGGTGAAGCCAGCTGTGCTTCTGGGTCAGGTGGGGACTTGGAGAACTTTTCTTTCTAGCTAAAGGATTGTAAATGCACCAATCAGCACTCTGTGTGTAGCTAAAGGATTGTAAATGCACCAATCAGCATTCTGTAAAAATGGACCAATCAGCATTCTGTAAAATGGACCAATCAGCACTCTGTAAAATGGACCAATCAGTGCTCTGTAAAATGGACCAATCAACAGGACATGGGCGGGGACAAATAAGGGAATAAAAGCTGGCCACTGCCAGCTTGCTGCGGGAACATGCTCAGGTCTGTTCTTTTGTCTTGATTATAAATCTTGCTGCTGCTTGCTCTTTCGGTCCGCACCACCGTTAAGAGCTGTGACACTCCCCGCGAGGGTCTGTGGTTGCGTTCTTGAAGTCAGCAGGACCAGAAACCCACGGGAAGGAACCAGTTCCGGACAAAATCTCAGGCCCAGTCAACTGTCACCTGATCCCAACTCTAGCCAGACTCAGTTTTAAGTCCCGTCGACTGCCACCTGAACCCAACTCAAGCCAGACTCATTTAAGAGGAGAGTGAGCAAAGCCACACCCCCTCCCTGTTGCCAGTCTCTTCGTGCGTGGGCAACTGGTTCTGCAACCAGTTCATATGTCAATGGGCCATTAATCGTGCTGTAAAACGGGCCGTAAAATACCCCAAATCATTTATTCCACTCCCTCTTGCCCTGTGAAAATGAGCTGGTGAGAAGAAGCGTGAAGGGGGAGGTGCTTCTATTTTGCTGGACCCTCGCTCTGCCAACCACCCGTCACCACCTCCCCACTGAAATACCCGTGGAGGAGCCTTGGGAGCCAGGACTATGGGTCAGTGCTCCGCCGCAGGGATTTCTGTCTCCCACGGTGTGGTCAGTGAGCTGGAGTGCGACCAGGTCCCCACTGGCACCTCTCTCTCTTTGGGTTGGATTCTTGGAACTGAGACCCCCTAGCCGCAGCCCCCCTCTGCTGTGCGTCTGCCACTTTCCGGGCCATGAATACATGTTCATGTCTACACCACGCTGGAACCATTTTCTGTCCCACCTCGGGACTGGGTGGCACGTGAGAGCGGCCAGGGAGAGACCGCATCTGGGAAGGCACAGCTGGCTGCAGGGAACGGCCGCCCTGGAAGAGCCCGTGGGCCCAGCAACCCAGGGTTCTAGTACCTGGTGACTGACCCTTTCTGGTAAGAGAATAGTGATGAACTTTGAAGTTATCTGGAGGTGAGTTCCGTTCTTCCTTGTGAGATGACTGAGGGGTGGGGGCTGAAATTCTGCATGGAGCTGGGGTGGTCCTTTTGGTGGAGGCCAGACACTGGCCTTTGGGCTCCGCAGGTGAGCTGCAGCGAAGGTCCTCAGTCAGCCAGATGGATGGTGCGAGGAGCCAGGGAGCCCACCTGCTATGCCTGGGAAAATGGTTTGTCTTCCAGGACAAGTCATTCTACAACCTGCACAGAGCTCCGGAGCTGCAGAGAGGGAGCTCGTTGTATCCATTCGTCTGTGTCTTTATATATTCATGAATGTGAATGGTATAGAGTCACTGCTCACCGTGGGATAAAAGGCAATTTTTAGAAAGCATCTGTTCTGTGTTCTCAACAAGACTCAGGAAACTCTGTGAAAAGAGATGGAGAGCGAGATAACTAAGTGACAGACTGGGATGAAAATGGAATTGGCTGAGGAGTAGCAGGAAGGAACACGCAGGCTGGGCGAGGCGCTGGGGACAGCAGGGAAGGGAAGTTCCACCTGAGCAAAGCTGTGAACTCAGCTTCAAGACCCCACGCTGCTGCAGAAACCTGCTGGGGATGGAGAGGACAAACCCCAGACACCGTCGTGGGATGTAGAGGGGAAGGACAAAGAACAAAATGAAAACCCCCCACGATGGCAAAGACGACGGGCAAGAACGATTGGGCGTGGCGCGCAGGAGTGGTCCCCGCGAAGACAGCGTCAGAGGGAAGGGAACACATCCCAGCCACAGCCAGGCAGGAGGGAGAAGCCTCGGAGCTGAAGCAAGCCCCGAGTCTGTTATCAGCAAAGGTCAGGCCAAGGCCCGGGGAAACCGTGAAATGTTGTGTACACACGTTGCACACTCTCAAGAAGCTTAAAAATACTGAGTATCATAATAGCGAGCAGCTATGAGGAAAAGCCACTATGAGCCTACTGCTGGCTCAGGTTCCAGTCTTCGTTTTAAACGCATGAGTGTTAAAGTTAACTTCTCTGGCCGGGTGCGGTGGCTCATGCCTGTAATCCCAGCGCTTTGGGAGGCCGAGGTGGGCGGATCACCTGAGGTCAGGAGTTTGAAACCAGCCTGGCCAACATGGTGAAACCCCGTCACTAATAAAAATACAAAAAAAAAAAAAAAATTAGCTGGGCATGGTGGCAGGCGCCTATAATAATCCCAGCTACTTGGGAGGCTGAGGCATGAGAATTGTTTGAACTTGGGAAGTGGAGTTTGCAGTGAGCTGAGATCGTGCCACTGCACTCCAGCCTGGGCAACAGAGCAAAACTCTTGTCTCAAAAAAAAAAATTAAATAAAAAATAAAGATAACGTCTCTTTAACCGTCATCCCGAGCCCCTGCCCCTTCCATCCTTCCCCGCCTGAAATGCTCTTAGTGTTGGAAACAAATAATAGATTCCATAGATTTAAAGTTGTGCTCCAGGTCCTGCTGATCAAATAGAAGATCCCTGGATATAAACCCCACACCCTTGCTGCCCCGTCCCTGCTGTACCCTACACGCCTGTGTCATTGTCACACTTGCCGAGGCCTTGGGGACACCATGTGTGAGGAACAGGCTGGATCTTCTCTCATCTTCCCTTCTTTACCCGCGATGTCCCTCTGCCTCCATTGCTGCTGCCTGGTGAGCTCCTCCTTATCCTCACAGGCCCCTGCAAGGACACCTCCTCCATGAAGCCCTGCTTGATCTCTGACTTATGCTCACTTCTGAGTCTGACTCCCAGGAGGCCCCACATACAGAAGCGTAGCTCTCACTAGCCTCCCTAGGGCCTCGCACTTGCTGTTCTCGCTTGAGTACTCAGTGTCTTCACTGAATTTGACAGGGTTTTAAGTTCCGATGTAGCGTCATTATCCTGGCGATGTAGCATCGTTATCCTGGCGCCGTAGCGTCCTTATCCTGGCGCCGTAGCATCACAGCACACCTTTCCCCGGTTCACCACCTCTGTTGCCAGCGGCCACCAGGGAGGACCCTTCAGTGCTCCAGCAGCAGCCAAAACATGTTACCGCAAATTCTTAACAAGATTCAGGAGGAACCAATGTGGTTGTCTCGCAGGCTTGACGAGCCAGTGCCTTGTTTTCCGAGTCTCCATTTCCTTATTATTCCCCTGGAATAACGCCTTCGCCGCAATCCGCAGGGAGCCACTGCTGTGCGGGAGATGGCAGCCAGTGCTTCTGAAAGGACAAAGGGAACACAGGGCTCGCTGCATGCAGCAGGGAGTGGGGACAAGGACGGCCTTGTCGTATAAAGGGAAAAGAAGTTGAAGATGCTAAAGATAGAAAAAAAAAATTAAGCTGGAGTCATGCTTCCCAAGAGAGGGACAAATTCACTGCTGGTTAGCGCTGGCTGGCCGAGGAGGCCACGCACCTGTGTGGAAGCTGCAAAGAACAATCACATAGCTCTGGTGTGGGCTTTGAAAATATCCCAGGTGTGTGAAGTCCCTCGGGTGCTGGGGGTGGCTGAGGCACGGACCGGTGTGTCTAAGCGAACACGCCCCTTCCTCACTGCCACTGCATGTGATGGCCCCAGCTGGGCCCCGCTGCCCCCAGCATGTACCACATGGGTGCTGCCCTCTGAGAGCCAGCCCTAGGGAGGCTCCCAGGGACATGCCTGGTGCAGCTCCAGCTGACCCACAGAGGCCCAGCTCTGTGCCAGCAACTCCAATGTCCCTGTAGCTCATCCACTCACTCCAGGGAGGCCAGAGACCTCTGCGTGCGACACCGAGGTGCAGTGGTGAGAATCATTGTCCAAGCACATGTGGCCAGCAAGTCACAGTAGCCTCAGCCTCAGGCTCGTTGGACACAGCTGTGCTGACGGGCAGAGGATGGGGAGGGCAGGGTCTCTGGAGATGGTCAGACCATGGTGGACACCACCCACCTGTGAATGGTCAGTTCTGACAACGGGCCATATGTGTGGCCAGGCATCTTTGAGCCCAGTATTTGGAGACACTTTTCAGGCCCCCTGGTAGCTTTCTGAGGCTCTCTGAGTGAGGGGCTACGGCCCTAGGCATCCTCACTGTCTCAGAGGGAGCTGAGGGCCCTCCGAGGGCAGCAGCATGGAGCAAAAGATCCTGGGCCAGGAGCCAGACCTGTGGCTGCCGGAGTCCCCAGTTCCAGGCACGCCTCCTCCACAGTCTGATTCTGTCTCCCTCCCTGTAAAACAAAAGGGCTGAGTTTTCAGAGTCTCCAAGACATGATGCTCCTTTCAGCTCCATCCCGGTTTTAAAATGAAAGAATCAGGTCTCACCCAGCCTTGTAGGCAGGTCACGGCAGGATTTTATGGAAGCGGCGGTCCCCCGTCATTTGCCCAAAGCTCCCCAGAGCCTGGGCCTTGAACCAGCGAGGAGTAGCGGGGCAAGCAGGCACCACCTGTCCGGTCTGTGAGGCCCAGGCCTCCGGAGATCCCCCAGCCCAGTGCACCTGAGGCTGATGCGCAGTGGGACGCCCAGGCCACCAGCTCCTACAGGGTGATGCTCAGCGAGGAAGAAGAGGTCTCCGAGGATCTCCTCCTGGACCTCACTCTTACATTCACACGGATAATCCCCTTTCAGAATAAATGGGTAGCTTCAACTGCTCGTATGCTGTCATTGACTGTGTAAACCATAAAGTGTCTGAGGCAGGTCTCAGTCTACTCAGAGGTTTATTTTGCCCGGGTTAAGGATGAGACTGTGAAAAAAGGAACACAAAACTACAGGAAGAGTCTGTGATCTGTGCTTTTTCCAAAGAGGCTTTCGAGGGTTTCCATATTTTAAGAGGAAAAGGGGGCAGCGAGGGAAATTGGAGGGCATGGTCACGTGACTGAACCCTCGTGTCATACGTGAAGAGGAGCAGGTAGAGGAATGGGTGGTGCATTTCTCTGGCGTTCGGTAAATCAGCAGTTTCCGTGAGACACAGGAAGCACAGCAGAGCCACTGTGCAGATCCCGGGCCTCCTCTCCGAGCTCTCTGCTTAAGAACAAGAGGAGGCCGAGTACGGTGGCTTACGCCTGTAATCCTAGCACTTTGGGAGGTCAAGGTGGGTGGATCACAACATCAGGAGTTCAAGACCAGCCTGGCCAAGATGGTGAAACCCCGTCTCTACTAAAAATACAAAAAAATTAGCCAGGTGCGGTGGCGGGCACCTGTAATCCCAGCTACTCAGGAGGCTGAGGCAGAGAATTGCTTGAACCCGGGAGGCAGAGGTTGCAGTGAGCCGCTGCACTTCAGCCTGGTGACAGAGCAAGACTCCGTCTCAAAAAAAAAAAAAGAAAAAAAAGGGAAGGCAGTTTCTCACATGACAACATGACAGAGCTTCCATCCAGCTTTATTTTTCCTTTTGGCACGGTGAACTTGGGTCCTGAGATATGCCGTGACATACATTAAAAAGCTAAACGCATCATGACACACCTGAGCCTTCTGGATCAGCCAGAGCGGGTGTTATCTATTGTGCGGCTCCACCAGCTGCAGCACCACCCTCACGGCGCATGGTGTTCACCTTGCCGTGAGCTTCGTGGTTGCCTTTTTGCCTTTTAAGCCAACTGCCCCCTGCTCAGAGCTCCCCGAGAGCACTCGGCAGTCCTTTATTTTATTACCACCCTGCTCTTCTGCCTAATGAGGGAAGGGGAGCCTGGCTGATAAGAAGCTGACGGTCCTACCCAGCTCCCTCAAGCCCCGGCCCAGGGGACCTGCTTCTGGTCTCTGAGCCCTCACTGGTCCCACCTACTCAGTGAGCAGCAGGCAAGGAAGAGGGGCCCAGTGAGTTGGGGTTTGAACCAATCCTGCAGAGCGGGCAGTTAGGAAGTCTTCTCTCTCATCTGCTCTCTGGGGAACTTCTGAGAAGTCGCCGTGGTGGTTCTCATCTTTGGTTTCTTTGCTGGATCCAGAGAGATGCTGAGTCCAAACTACCTACAGAGAGTTACCAGGGATCATCAGACCTCACTCCCTCAGAGGGGAGGGTGAAAATGGGCAAATGTGGAGACAAAGGCCTTTGAGGATGCAGAGAGCCAGACACAAAGGGCTTCTAAGAGACCGCACTTCACGGCCAACTTTTGCTACAACTCCTCCATGTACCACTTGCACAACATCAAAGCAAAGTCAGACAGCATGGGGCACGTGGACAGAGCGGGGGCACATGGGGCAGAGTGGGGCATGTGTGGCAGTGAGGCCACTGCCCGGCCCAAGCCACAGGCTGTGTCCCAGAGGGAGGTAGACTCAGTGTTCAGCCCTGGCTGATGCCCATCCTCCCACCAGTCCTGAGTAGGGACATGCCCCCCCACGGGTGCTGCAAGGGGCAGGTGTGGGTTCAGCTACCTTTGCATCCCATTGGCCCATCCTTGATCCTTGTCTAAGCGGCAGGGACAGGATGAGAGGGCCAACAGAATAAAGCCAGGGTGAACCGCTCCCACTGCTGCAGGATGGAAGGTGCTCTTGGAAGAGACTCAGAAAGGCGTCCTCCCCTCACGCTGCCTCCAGGCTGGGTTGTCCCTGAGACCAGGGCCCCCAGGCCAGCACCCAGGCCCGGTACCCACGCCTCCCGGAGGCACTGCTGGACTTTCCGAGGAATGCCCAGAGAGGCCCCTGTATCCATTCACTTCCCTTCAGGCGCCTCTGAAACTCCCCCAGACGATCATGGACGAGAGCGGCTTTGAAAGCCAGAGCACAAGACGCAAATGGAAGGATCACCAGGACCCCAGGGCTGGTAGCTCACAGCAGCTAGGCACTCTTCTCAAATCCTGCCGTGCTTTGATAAATGCCCTGGACTTCTTCAAACACACTGCCAGGTGCAGGAATGTTCAGCCCTCCACACACCACTCTGTGCCTATCTTTGAAAAGTTATTCTTTGTTTTTGAAGTTACACATGGGGGAAAAATTACACAATCCGTAAAACAGAAAGTAGAAATCCACTAAAGCTCAACCACCTAGAAATGGCTGCGGCTGCCCTGGCTCGGGGTTCCTCCATCTATCAGATTGGAGCTGGGAGAGCAAAGTGCTTCCCACCAATTCCCACCAATGCTGGACCCACAGCAAGGTAGGGCAGGGGGCAGGCAGGTCTGGGTGCAGCGCTCACGTCAACAAACTGGGCAAGAATACTCGAGCACCCCTCTTTCTTTCCCAAGCACGTTCCTGGGCGATGGCACTTCCGGGAGAGAGGAAAGGGTTGCTTGTCCACCTAAATGCAAGTTTATCCTGTACGCATGTACACTTTACTCTGAAATCAGCTTTCTTCTGTCAACAATATGATATAGAAATAGTTCACAACAAGCAGACATGTACGTCATTGCTTTTAATTAGCATGTGATCTTTCAGTAGATTTATCAGAGCTTATATAGCCAATCTCCATTAATGAGCATTTAGAGATGTCATGTTTTTCTTTTTCCCTTTGTTTAATAAATCATTTCCTATGAACATCTTCGTGCATCCCTCGTTTAACCTTGTGCAGTTATCACCTTTACAACAAATAACGACTCAGGCAGAAGCTGGAGCCATCACACATTATGGTGCTGGTTTCGGAACTGTGTTTTTGATGGTTCTAACGTGAGCCGCTACTAAGCACACAAGAAGACTCGCCAGCACAGATTTCTTTGATCTTTAATATTTCTCAATCCAATAGCTAATGTTTAACACTCTTATTGTTATTTTGCATTTCTTTTCTGTAATTATTGGTTGTTTTTCTTTTCTTTTTGTATGCCTGTGCATAGCCTCTTGCCATTTCTTTCTATTGGGATTTTTTCCTAATTTATTTGTAAATATCCTTTGCATAATAGACCTTGTCAATCATGCGTGTGAAAAACACCTTCCCAGTTTTTAAATTTGATTTTCATCCTGGCTGTAGGCGTTTTTTTTTTCAGCTATTTTACATTTTTATGTAGTCATACTTATCAATATTTTTCAGTATGATTTCTGGAGTTGGGAACATGCTTAAAAAAAGGCCTCCTTCAGTAACTCCAAGCCTTTTCAGCATCATTGGATTCTAGAACATTTACATTTTAGTTTTTAATATTTAATTCTTTGATGGATCTGAATTTACTGAGTTTTAAAGACATGAGATTCAAACTGTGTTCTTTCTCCGTGTGCCAAGCCATTTGGCTCAAAATGTTTTTCTGAAAGATAGACTCAATCCTTGTCATGTGTCTGAAGAACCCCTTCCCCTGATGCCAGTCTGTCTGTCCGTCCAGCCTGCCCCATGAGTGCTGCGTGCAATGGCAGGAGCTTTAAGGACATTTAACTCCTGACCATGTTACTTCCTTGACTTGACGTGGCTCCTTTTTACAATTTTTCTGTTTGAAGTTTATGATTTTCATTTTTCCATTTTAAGGGAAAAGGAATCTTTGAATTTTTATAATAAGCATCATCTTATCTTGTCATTAGAATAATAGATAAGTACAGAAGTAAATAATTCAGGATACGAAGTACCCTATAACCCTCTTGCTACCCCAGGGAACCAGCCGAGGCACCATCACAGACTCCTAGGAATCCTGCAGCCCATGGACCCTGGACATTCTCTAAGGGCCCTTCCTGTTCTGCACCCATTCATGGTAGCATCTTCCTTCCTTTAAAGCCAACTCTGCTCCCCCACCCAAGACCCTCCCTGTGTCCTGGAGCCCAGGGTCTTGCGTTCCAGCCTCGTGTCTGTGTTTCTGTCTCGGGTCTGTGTTTCTGTCTTGGGTCTGTGTTTCTGTCTTGGGTCTGTGTAGAGTCTCAGAAGGTGTCCACCACCTCCCTCCTCCCTCCTCCCTGTGTGGGCGCTGCTCCCTCCCCAGAGACTGGGCCAGCCTTGGAGACTGACTCGGTCGATGGCGAGTGGTGGGAGTGGCTGGGCAGTGACTAGGCTCCGGCCCTTTCTTCCCCTGAGACAGTCGCCCCTGCCATCTCTCGCTGCTGCCTGGCGTGCCCTACTGTCCTGTGGATGGTTTCCTTTGGGGCAGGGGCACTCGACTTGTCAGTGTCTTGTGTTTGGCCCTGGCCCAGTGATCCTGCAGGAAACCAACAAAAGCCATTTCCGTCCGGGAGACTTTTCCCTCAATGCACATCAGATCACCTGGAGTCAGCATCCCCTGTGACTATATGAAACAGGGGGATAGAGCAAACATGTTTTCACTTAAGGGTTTTAATGAGATCCCAGCTCATTAGGTGTTAATCAGGGCTGTTTGAGAAGGCACCAAGCCACAGTGTGAGAAAGCCTCCTTCACAATCTGCCCTTCACACATTTTTTTTTTTCGAGACAAAATCTCACTCTGTTTTCCAGGCTAGAGTTTAATGGTGCAATCACAACTCACTGCAGCCTTGACCTCCCAGGCACAAGTGATCCTCCTGCCTCAGCCTCCAGAGTAGCTCAGACTACAGGCAGACTCCACTATGCTTGGCTAATTATTTTTAAATTTTTTTGTAGAGAGAGGGTCTCGCTACATTGCCCAGGCTGGTCTTGAACTCCTGGGCTCAAGGGATCCTCCTGCCCTCGGCCTCCCAAAGTGCTGGGATTACAGGTGTGAGCCACCACACCTGGCCCCTTAACTCTTCCATGTCATCTAGAACAGAGCTTGTGGGGCTGCAACATGCTCACATGCCCCAGGGACTGTGCTGAAATGAGAATTCTGACCCAGGAGCCATGGGGTGGGGCCTGAGGGCCTACATTTCTAACAGCCTCCCAAGTGATGCTGATGCTGCTGGTTCCTGGACCACACATGAGCAAGCTGGGATCTAGATGTGCCTTTGCCCTCACGGGCAGCAGGGGTGTGAGCCGTGCGCACTTCCCGGAGAGGGGCCTGTGGAGTCACGTTCTGGCAGCACCGTCCTAGTCTTGATGAGACTGCCACTCTCCTGCCTCCTGTCTCCCATGCTTCTCACCCCTTCGAGTCGGCTCCCTTTCTTCTCTCTTCTCTCCATCCCATTAGAACCCTTGGCTCCATTGAGAGGTGCTCTCACTAAAGGACTCCTGCTGTTGACTTGAGGGTGGCCCTGGGGCCAGGCTGACCCCTCCATCCCATGGGGCAGGGAGTCATCAGAACGTCGGTCCTGGTCCCAGCTCTAGCTCCAAGTGGGAGCAGATTCCTGCTGGGCCGCCTGCTCCACGGTCTCCCAGCCTGTGCTTGTAGGGCTCCCAGGTGGGACCCTCTTACTGATCTCTCAGGGAGCTGCAACCATCCAGGGAACCACACGCCTAGAAAGACCCCATAAAGCCTCGTGCAAATGCATAACGAATTTCAAAGTCCGGCAATTAGTGGGTTCACGACAGAAGCTCCCTTCAGGTGCTAAAAGGGTAACTGTAGGCTCAGTCTGTGTCCCAGGAAGACACCCTCAGCTCAATGCCATTTAGGAGAAGAACTCTAGCCAGTCCCCTCATGACCCACCTCTTGTCAACAAAGACAGGAGCTTCTCAGCAGAGGGTGGGTCTGCACTTCCTCAGCTCCCCAAGTCCCAGGAGCTGAGCTGGGCTCAGAAGGAATGAAAGCACAGTTCCAGCTTGGCCAGGACAGGGGCTACATCTCTCAGCTCCCCTCTAAGCCCGAGAGGCCCCCTTGGAGCTCTTCTGAGGGCCTCTGAGCAGACAGCAGGGCTCATCTCTGTGGAGGTCCATGTAGGAACCTCGAGTGGAAATGGCCGTGAGGTTGTAAATAGGGCCAGAGGAGTCTGCTCAGAGCCTTCAGCTAAGCGGAGTTGGCATCCATCGCCACTTTGAACAGGAATCAAGGAATTTCTGACGTTAGGAAAAAGTGAAATGGCTTTAGAATTTGGAAACGCAGAGGCTTTTCTCAGATCTGCTGGCAGTGATACAATAATCTGGTCAGAAGTGAACTATTAACGGACATTCTCGTTAAGCAGAGAGGAATTTCCATGTCACAGTAGAGGCACCTTCTCCCTGCCCCGTGCTGCCTTGGGTTCCAAGCGTTCAATCCCTTCTGTTCCAATGGTCTAATCTTGGCTTTCATCCCTACACCACCCTGCAACTAGAACACACCCGGCTTAGGGAGGGGGTTCATAGGCACTGCCTGCAAGGAGGAACAATCGTCCTCCTGCCCCACCTGGGACAGTCCACGTGCTCCTCAGCCTCGTTTTTCCACAGAGAGAAATACTGAGCTAGACAGAGCTGTGTATGGCTCTGCTGACCAATGAGCAATGTACTTTGGTCTGCACTGAGCCTGGCCTTTCTATAAAATTAAGGGGCCAGAGTGGATGAGGTCAGGAGAGCAGAGTGAGTGCGAACGCTTCGCCTTTTGTGTTATGCCTTTGTACCTCCTTTCACGAGGACACCAACAGCAAGTTCCTGTATGACACACCTTCTCGGATGATGGCTGCAGGTCTGTCCCGTCACGGCACACACGCGGGAATCTGTAGCTGCCCCAATCCTAAAGTGTCCCGTGTTCGAGGACAGTCAGGGGCCCTTGTTATTTTCCATGTTTTGTTTCCTTGCACTCTTTTTTTTTTTTTAATCCTAGCAGCAACTTCCAAATGTGCTGCCATGAAAAGCCCTGCTCCTGCCTTTGAGCTGTGTCTAATCTACTGTGCTTCAGGAGAGCAGGTGAGCAGATGTGTGTACTTTGTGTGTGGAGCAGAAGGAGTGGGCTTCCAGGGAGGGTCTTCAGGGCTGGCCTTCCCAGTCACATGCGGAAGTGTAGTGCGTGGGGAACCCTTTGCTTTTGCATCTTGGTTCTCGGCGGTGCTCATAGGAAAAGGTACTCCAGCGTGGCCACCTGTTTCTGTCCTGTTGTTATCAGCGCCCTTGTCTAGAGTAATGACAGACATCCACGAATGTCACTTCTGGAAATGACCCTGAAAACCAGGCCAAACTCCGTCCCAAACACACAGACGCAGTCACACACACACCACTCAAAATTCCAAAATCAATGACACACCAAAATATATGTTACAATGGTTCTTTTGAGTGCATCGCCATGTTCTAGCCCCTTTTGCACTCCCAAGAAACCCCGAAAATAAGGCCCACAGGCCACCAGGGACAATTCTTTTTTTTTATTTGAGACGGAGTCTCGCTCTGTCATCCAGGCTGGAGTGCAGTGGCGTGATCTCGGCTCACTGCAAACTCCTTCTTCCGGGTTCACACCATTCTCCTGCCTCAGCCTCCTGAGCAGCTGGGACTACGGGCGCCTGCCACCACGCCTGGCTAATTTTTTGTAGTTTTAGTAGAGACGGGGTTTCACCATGTTAGCCAGGATGGTCTCGATCTCCTGACCTTGTGATCTGACCCCGTCGGCCTCCCAAAGTGCTGGGATTACAGGCGGGAGCCACCCTGCCCAGCTCACTGGGGAAACGTCTACTGGAGGAACGTCAACCTTAGCTTTGGACATCTTGGTCACGTTTGCGCCCCACGCCCTGGCTACCCATTCTCCTGCCATGTCCATCCTTGACTGTCCAAACACGAGCTCCCCATTTTCCAGCTAAGGAGATGGAGGCAGAGAAATGTTAAGAGAAAATTGCAAACAATTGTCAACAACTTTCTGAATGAATGTGAAGGACTCTGAATTGTTAAAACTGCCTGGGCCTGGCCTTGCTACATTGTCTCCAGGCCGTCCAGGGCCCGGGGCCACCGTCACTGCTGCATGCTCAGGCATATCTCAAGGGAAGGCCGGGCTGCCCAGAGCCCCTGCTGAGGCCAACACATCATCCCCACAGGCCCGGGTGACGGGTGCCTTCAGCTGCTGGAGGAGCCCTGCCATTCCCAGGAGGAGGGCGTCAGATCTGCCGCCGGCACACGCAGAGCACCCTTCCCAGGCACTGATGGCACCTGCTTTCCGAGTGCCTCTCTGAACCTGTGCCCCTGAGGGAGCCCTTTAAACACAGCCTCTCCCACACTCCCCACCCCTGTCCACGGTCCTGCACGCGCCACTCAGACTTGGCCTGAAGTCCCTTTCTCATAGGCTTTCCCTGGCCAACTTTTTTTTTTTTTTTTTTTTGAGACTGAGTCTCACTCTGTGGCCAGGCTGGAGTGCAGTGATGCAATCTCAGCTCACTGTAAGCTCCGCCTCCTGGGTTCAAGAGATTCTCCTGTCTCAGGCTCCCAAGTAGCTGGGATTACAGGTGCCTGCCACCACGCCTGGCTAATTTTTGTGTTTTTAGTAGAGATGGGGTTTCACCATATCGGCCAGGCTGGTCTCGAACTCCTGACCTTGTGATCCGTCCGCCTCAGCGTCCCAAAGGGCTGGGATTACAGGCGTGAGCCACCAGGACTGGCCCTTGGCCAATTTTTTAAACAGTCATCTCTCCCCTGCTGCCCCTTCCCAGGTTGGCTTCCTTCCTGGCACAGCCGTTCCTGGAATTCAGTATTAATCGTTCACTTGTTTCCACATTCCCACATACTTCCTCCATTTTTAAAGCGGGCATGCTGAGGCCCAGAGCATTTTAAACAGCCCGGCACGAATGCAGAGGCCTCTGATTCACCCCCATTTCCCATCCTTTTCCCCACGCTGCCTCGCTGTGAGGCAGTGCTCTGTTTGGAGACTCCTAGGCTAAACCTGGAGCACAGGCCTTCTCGTCTGACCTCACTGTTATCTCCCTCTCTCAGGCAAGAGGCTGCCCGCCCGGCCTGGACCCCCGCCACCCTGCCCCCGTGTCTCAGCAGTTCTTCTGTCTTTCTGGCCCTGCCTGAGCAGTTGATGGTGACAGGGGAAGGCCCAGTCAGGTTTGCTCCCCACTGGGACCAGTGCCCCGTCCACGAGAGCCCTTGTCTGGCCACCGGGGAGAGATGGCTGCCTTCCCTGCTGGCCATCACAACCCAGCTCCTGTGTGGAAACGTGTTCCACAAAGGCTGAGAGAGTCTTGCTGCTTATTTTCCCCTGTAGTGCCTCTGAAGTGTCATTACTCTTACACTTGTTTACACAAGGCACCTCTCTCAGACGTGCCAGTCAGGGTTGTTGAGGGGGCTCTGGCCATTTTCAGACCATGAAGGGCCCTGAAATCCAAGCTGATCCTCACCAATGAGAACTGTAAAGGCCTAAGATCGCAGCAGAAAGAGAACATTTGGCAAGCCAGTGTTAAAATTCTCAAAACAAACTTACGTATTAGTTAATGCAGCCTGTCACCATAACGACTAAACAGCACAAAAACAAACCATGAGCACACAGATTTATTACTGTGCAAGGTTTAGCTGATATCATTCCAGAGGTATATTTTCCACTTTCAGTTATAATAAAACAATCTTTTTAAACTAATTTAAAATTCAGCACGAGAGCACGATCAGGCGCACATCTCCACACACACAAGCTGAGGCCACAAGTGCATGAAGCCCGCATGTCTGCCTGCGGCTCCGTGACGTGGACCCAATGCCGTCATCCATGCACACACAGGCTCGCGGGAGGCAGAATCACAGGCACGGGCTGCGGCTCAGCCTGGCAGGCAGAAGGCTTTCAAGGAGCCCTGTCAGGGGTCAGCTCAGGTGCGTGGTGGGCTCAGGTGTGTCCGCTACACAAGCGTGTCCGCTGCACAGTCGTGTCCACTGCAGCTGGCCTCCCTCCTGGCATGGGAGGTGCTGGTTGTGGCCAACAGTCTTGGCTTTAAATCAAGTCTTAGACTGGAAGCTACCATGAGCAAACACCACCACCTTTCTGAATCTCAGCTTTGTCATCTATAAAATCAGGAAGACAATAGAATCCACATACATCTGGAGTGCCTCATGGCCCTCCAGAAAATAACAGCTCTGGAATGGTGTGAGGCAAACCTTGCACTGTAATACAGTCGTGTGCTAATGGTTGGTTTTGTGCTGTCTGAACACTGCCTTTCCTTACAACACAGACAGACAACCCCCACCATGGCAACATCCAAAGAGCTGAGTATTTACTACTCCCCAGAGGGGTGCCAATTGGGGGCTGCGCTCCCAAATCAAAACAACTTCTTCCTTTCCATTATCTGGATCAGGGGAGACATTTATTTTCTGTGAAGAGGCAGACAGGAAACACTTTAGGCTTTCTGGGCAACACAGCGTCGGTGGGACAACTCACCTCACTGATTCCAGGGCAGTGGGAAAGCAGTCACAGACAACATACAAATGGTGGGAGGACTGTGTGCCAATAAAACTTTATTTTAAAAAGTCAGCCAGATTCAGCCCCAGGTGATCCTCTGCCAACCCCTGATCTGGATCACACAATAACAACCAGAGAGGGCGCAGGGAGCACACAGAGGGAGGACTGGACGCGTGCATGTTTACATTCTCGAGGGGGGACTGGGACATGTGCATGTTTGCATTCTCGAGGGGGGACTGGGACATGCATGTTTACATTCTCGAGGGGGAACTGGGATGCGTGCATGTTTACATTCTCGAGAGGGAACTGGGACGTGTGCATGTTTACATTCTCGAGGGGGGACTGGGACATGCATGTTTACATTCTCGAGAGGGAACTGGGACGTGTGCATGTTTACATTCTCGAGGGAGGAACTGGGATGCGTGCATGTTTGCATTCTCGAGGGGGAACTGGGACACGTGCATGTTTACATTCTCGAGGGGGGACTGGGATGCATTTATGTTTGCATTCTTGAGAGAGAACTGGGACGCATGCATGTTTACATTCTCGAGGGAGGAACTGGGACATGTGCATGTTTGCATTTTTGAGGGAGGAACTGGGACGCATGCATGTTTGCATTCTCGAGGGAGGAACTGGGACGCGTGCATGTTTGCATTCTCGAGGGAGGAACTGGGACGCGTGCATGTTTGCATTCTCGAGGGAGGAACTGGGACGCGTGCATGTTTGCATTCTCGAGGGAGGAACTGGGACGCGTGCATGTTTGCATTCTCGAGGGAGGAACTGGGACGCGTGCATGTTTGCATTCTCGAGGGAGGAACTGGGACGCGTGCATGTTTGCATTCTCGAGGGAGGACTGGGATGCATTTATGTTTGCATTCTTGAGAGAGAACTGGGACGTGTGCATGTTTACATTCTTGTGGGGGGACTGAGACATGTGCATGTTTGCATTCTCGAGGCACCTAGTGCATGAGACTTGTCTTGCCTGAGGCCTGGGAGGACTACCGAGACCACCTCTGAGGAAGTGCTTCATGATGAAATGGAGATGCACACATGTCATGCACCATTAATATTAGCAGCAAAACTCGGGCTACCCCCACAGAGAGAGATTGCATATCCTAGCAGCAATGTGACAGATGATAAGCAGACAGAGATGCTGCACCCAACATCCCTTAGAGGTGATAAGGCCTCCATTTGCCACATTAAACAACTTGTCACATTGAACTGAAGACACCAAGAGGGCCGGCTTCAGGGACATGAGAACGGGCACGATCAGAACCTTCCGCAGGAGTCCAGGCAACTTTCCCAGGGCCTGCCTCTGTGCCCACTGATGCCAGGACCACACACGGGCTCTCTGCACTCCCATGGCTTCTCCCCGGTTTCTGAAGGTCCCTTGGTGACCAGCACCACTGACCAACGAGGATATCTAATCTACTAAAGCCGTGTGTTCAGGAGCCCTGCCGTCCCACTAATGTGGATATGATGCGATTGGTGACTGGCTTAAGCTTTTATGCTAGGTAAAGAGGTGGGTGAGGCCAGACATTGAGAAGGGTCAGCCCTGTCCTGGGGAGTGGAGAGGCCCAAGGGGGCCTTGGATCTCCAGAGCTGTCTCACAGCAAGCCCCAGATCTGGCTGGTGAGAAGTGGAGTCAGTGCACTCAGGGGTGTCTGCCATCCACATCGCCAGCATGGGGTCCAGGCCATGTGGGACTCGTCATCCCAGGGACATCTAAGCCCCCGTGGCTGGTCACCACCAGCTGGTGCCCGAGGTGGCTGAGCTGATGGACTCAGGATCAGAGAGCTTCATAGGCTTGTCCTGGTCTTTTTCTTCCCCTTTGTGGTATTTTTCTCATCACTAGGTAGGTACTATGCTGCATTTCCTGTTCTAAACCCTTGAGTGGGGTGTTTCCTCATCCTGACCACTGTACTAGATGCCAACCAGCCCAGGTCCCTCTTAAGGGAAACTCCAAGCTTCTGCCCACGGTTCTGTCCCTGCCCTCCTGGGATCCCAGCCCTGGCTATTAGCCTGGACCTCATCTGATCATTCACCGGCATGCTGACCTGAGCCCCATCTGATCACTGTCTGGCATGCTGACCTGGGCCCCATCTGATCACTGTCCGGCATGCTGACCTGAGCCCCATCTGATCACTGTCCGGCATGCTGACCTGGGCCCCATCTGATCACTGTCCGGCATGCTGACCTGGGCCCCATCTGATCACTGTCCGGCATGCTGACCTGAGCCCCATCTGATCACTGTCTGGCATGCTGACCTGAGCCCCATCTGATCACTGTCCGGCATGCTGACCTGGGCCCCATCTGATCACTGTCCGGCATGCTGACCTGAGCCCCATCTGATCACTGTCCGGCATGCTGACCTGAGCCCCATCTGATCACTGTCCGGCATGCTGACCTGAGCCCCATCTGATCACTGTCTGGCATGCTGATCTGGGCCCCATCTGATGACTGTCTGGCATGCTGACCTGAGCCCCATCTGATCATTGGCCAGCACGCTAACCTGGGCCCCATCTGATCATTGACTGGCACGCTGACCTGGACCTCATCTATCATTCACCAGCACACTGACCTGAACCCTAAATCCCTCGGGCCCTTGACCTCTCATCACATCCCTCCTGCCAGGACCCAGCCCAGAGAGCATCTGGCCATCTGATTTCTCTTTTACTCCTGGTTGGCTAAATGAAGCTAATGAAAAAGTCACATAAATGGCACCAAAGCAAAAGCATGATGTCCAGCCTTGCTGGCCCCTCCTAGCCCGAGGCCCCAGCCCTGTCCGCTCAGGGGTGCTCTGGCCTGCTGCAGCGAACATGAAAACATGGAACCTGCCTAAGGGGTGAAAGCTCCTTCTCTTCCCTTCCCGTCCTGTCCCGCCTCAGACCAAGCACCGGCCTCTGCCTCCTGTATCCAGGGCCTTTCTCTACCCACCCGGCATCTGCTGCCCACTGTTGGGTCTTGGCCTCCCTCCTACAGCTTCCCCCAGCCCTCAGGCACCTTCACAACCATCCAGGGCAGCTGGGCTCCTCGCAGGATGCCCACACTGCCCATCCAGGGCAGGCAAGCTGGGCCCCCCATGGGAAGAGCAGGGAGCTCCTGGCTTTGCCCTGGATCCTGGGAAGTGTTGCTACGATCATGGCCCACACAAAGCTCCATTGTTCCCCCAAACAGTAGCAATCAGAGTTCAGGCCAAGTTGGACGTGTAACAGAGGGCACCCATGCTGCAGAGATCTCCATAGATCCTTTCTCCGTTCCCCACCAAGCCACACTCTCGCTGTCCCTCCAACCCCACCAGTTCCTCCTCCCCATCCTTGATTCCCTTCAGGACTAACCCTGGGGGTTCTGCCCGGCTGGGCTCCTCCCCTGTGGCAGGAACCCCAGGCTCAGTCTAGGGGAGCTGCCCCTTCTCAGAGGTGGAGGCTTTTCTGGCACGTCACTCAGCGGATGCATCTGTGGGAAGGGCCAGTCCTTTGCCTCCGCCACCTTGAGACGTGGCCCTGGCTCCTCTGGAGATGACGATTCAATCAGAAAAAGTACTTCAGCTCCAGTAAGGTGCTGGGATCGGCTCAGGGGGCCCCATGGGTCCTCAAATCCCAGCGAGGGCATGCTCTGCAAGCTGATGACACACCCTGCACTGACCACAGTATCCGGCACATGGTATAAGTCATGAACCCTGGCCAAGGAGGCATCAAACAGCACAGAACACGGTGAGCAGTCAGTGCTTCCTTCCAGCACCTCCAGGAAGGACAGCCCAGGCCTCCAGAAACGTGTGTGCGGCCTTGAGATGGGAGAGCACTGAGGGGACCTCGGGGGAGGCCCGGCAGAGGACACAGCTGCCTGCAGGAAGGCCTTAAAGCTCAGAAGGTCACCCGAGAGGGGCTGTGACTTTCCCATAAGGGAACAAGTGTCCAGCGGGGTGGGTGATGCTGTCACCTCCCAGTCACAGCTCTCCAGGACATTCCAGAATTGACAACCAGTGCACCCTACAGTCTGTATCCAGCAGACATCAGCCCACCCCTGCCCAGGGCCATCGGCTGCCATAAATGGGGCCTCTGTCTTGAATATGTGGGTTCCTGGGTCACCCAGCATTGTGTAAGGAAGGTGTCTCTCAAGATGAGGAGTGGAGGGGGCACAGCTGCTTCTGTGGCTGGACTCTGGTCTTGCACACCAAGGCTCTGTTTCTTCATCTGCAAACAAGGACAATTTGCCCTGAGCCCCTTCCATGTTGGCTGGTGAAGCCACCGCCCAGGTCTGGTGGGAGTCCCCAGGGAGGGAGTGGTCCTTCAGCAGTGCCAGGCAGGGGTGCCCAGGGTCTGCAGGGGCAAAGGGGTGGAATTCAGAGTCCAAGAGACAGATGTGCTTGGAGGAGAGGGGGCCGTCTTCCAGGAACCTGGAGGGAAAGGAGGAGAGGCTCTGTCTGGGGACAGTGGCCGAGTGTCAGAGCCTCTTTTTGAACCTCAGAAACAGGTTGTTTAAAGAACTTCTCCCTCGAGTTCCACTCCAGAAAGTAGCAGCAGGAACACGATCCAATCAGCAGCAGCATCAAACCGCCTGTGTGAAGTCATCCATGCAGCCGCCCACACACGTCCTCTGCCTTATCTGGTATCTGATGATTTTTCTGGAGAGGAGCCATGTCAAAGCTGGGATGCCTGGCGCTCCTGGCCCAAGGATCGGGACAGTGCCCTCTCCCTTCCTCTCATCCCCACGCAGGTGCCCGTCCAGCTCGCACTGATCTGTGCGTATCCGTGCTGCAAGTGCTTGGGCCTTTGCTGGCACCTCCGTTCCTGTGGCCTCAGCCCCTTCTCCCCGTGCTTCGATTTGGGCACTTTGCCCTTCCTCTCAATTTAGCGGGGGTATCACCTCTCCTGGGAAGCCCCCCATGGCATTTCCAGTCCAGTTTCATGACTGCACCTTTGGAAATCTCTGTCCCCTGTGTTGAAATGACCCACATCCTTGTTTTCTAGATCATTTATGCCTTGAGAGTAGGAACTCAGGGGCTTCAGCTCTCTGCCACCAGCACTGAGCACACAGTGGGCATTTGATCCTGGCCATGACAGAAGAGGGAAAATCAGACCCACCTCCCAGGGAATCAGGAGCAGGTGGCCAAAATCAGAGAGATGGATGCTGGGAGGTCATCCAGACAAACAGCCTCAGTGTCAGGCAGGGCTTCCAAGGACAGATGGGTGGATTCTGCTGTGATCCCAAGAAAGAGGAGAGGGGGAGGAAGCAGAGGTCTGATGGCGTCACCTTAGAAAGGCCACGTGGGGGCAAGGGCGGGGCGGAGAGTTCCCAGGCAGAGATTGGAGGGAAGGCAAGACAGGGGTCATCCCAGCCAAGGCCAGGACACCGCTGGGGCCAGAGCTGCTTCGGATGAGGGCAAGGGAAGCCAAGGACAGTTGTGACACTTTGTGACCACCATCATTAACTTCAGGCGGTGACTCTGACAGCACAGACAGGCACAATAGCATGCTGTGCTCAGGAGGAAGAAAACACGCAGGGACCCAGGAAAAATAAGTGATTCCACTGTAACGCACTGGGAGGGAGCCTGCCAGCTTCTATGTGAAACAGTCCTCAGCACCACATCACCCAGCTGTCACAGGGCCAGGCTGTTATCACCCCGTGCAGAAGGGAAGGACATGGCGCCTGCTCTCAGAGCTGGTGAGCTGCAGGGCTGCTGTGTGGATCTGTGCCTTTGACACTGAAGCCCAAGTGCTTCTCCAGAGGAGTGGACACTGGGCCCAAGGAGGCAGCACGGATCTGCCCAGCCCCGGCTTTCTGCCATCCACCAGCACAGGAGTGTCTGTGGAGTAGTCCTGGAGCTCTGGCCATCTGACGCCTCCACGTCTAGAATATACCAGGTCATATTCAAACAGCAGGCTTCCCAGCCAGCTGGAGCAGATGGACCCACCGCTTTCTGCCTCCCCAACTTTCCCAAGGTCAAGAAACATCCCACACTGCTCCATTTCACCCCTCATGAACCTGCAGCCTAATGGGAGCATCAGCCCCAGGCAGGAGCAGGTAAGACCGAGGCTAAGACCACGGGACTCCAGGACAAAGAGAAGATACTGGAATTGGGCTCCTTCCTGGGCAAGGAAGGGCCCTACCTCAGGAGAACAGCTGGGGTCTAAGCTGGCAATGGGAAAGGGGGGCTCTGGCTGGAAGGCAGAGGGCTGAGAGCAGAGGCAGAAAAGCCACCATGCTGGTAGGGAAGGGGTGGCTCAGGAAGACAAGGATCCCTGCAGGTGGCAGGCCCAGGAGAGTGCAAGAGGACAGCAGTCACACGGCACAGGGAGGAGGCAGGACAACAGATCTCAGGGCTTTGGAGAGAGAGCCTGAGATGTCCCCGGATAACAGGACTCAAGGGTGCCTTAGGGGTGCCGTGCCCCTTGCACAGAGAAGACTGAAGACAACAAAGAGGGAGAGATCATCACTGGGGAACGGTTCTTAATAAACCATACGTAGGGCGTTGGGGCACCAGGGGAGAAGATAAAGCGTGGATGCAAGTTCGGCTGTCGGGGGTTGCAGGAAGGCAAGAAGGGATTTGAGGGACGGTCCCTGTCTGCTCAGAGAAGCAGGGAGCCAGGGCATCAGCTGAGAGTGAGGGGCAGGTGGGGTGCACAGAGAGGGAAACTGAGTCACTGTAGAGCATCCAGAGGCGCAGACAGGGTGTCCTGTGCAGCCAAGGGCTGCAGCCAGGATTGCGTTCCCTGTTCCCTGGGGGCCCAGCCAGTTGCGTTTGCATTTTCTCTGGCAGTGGGCGGCAGTCTGAAGCATGAGTCAAAAAGGGAAGCATGGGGTACTAGCAGAGAAGGAGCGTTGGGTATGGTTGGTGATATGGTTTCGATCTGTGTGTCTGCCCAAACCTCATGTAGAATTGTAATCCCCAGTGTTGGAGGTGGGGCCTGGTGGGAGGTGATTGGATCATGGGGGTGGAGTTCCCCCTGGGTGCTGTTCTCATGACAGTGAGTGAGTCCTCACAAGATCTGGCTGTTTAAAAGTGTGTGGTACCTCCCCGTCTCTCCCTTCCTCCCTCTCCGGCCATGTGAAGTGCAGGCTTCCCCTTCACCTTCCACCATGATTGAAGCTGAGAACATGCCGCCATGCTTCCTGTGCAGCCTGCAGAACCCTGAGCCAATTAAACCTCTTTCCTTATAAATTACCCAGTCTCAAGTATTCCTTAATAGCAGTGGGAGAATGGACTAATACAGGTGAGAGGGAGTGCTAGGTATGGGAGGGAAGAAGAGCATTGGATTTGGGAGGGGAGGTGGGTGTTGGGTACTAGTAGAGAAGGGAGTGTTGGGCTGGTCCTCCATTGGTAATTTCCCAAGCCCCTGCATAAGTACCCTGGGGAGGGGGCTAACTGAGGTTCATATCCCAAAGTGAGACATGGGATACGGAGGTGTGCTATGGGCAACAGGCAGGATAAAGACTGGGGGAAGGAGAGATCTTAAGAAGTGGATAGGCAAGACCTTGCAAAGCCTTCTTAGGTCCAAGCATGATTTTCCTTCGCCCTTGTTGTAGGAGCAGTACCCAGCTTCTCCTAGGGAATGGCCACTACCCTATCTGCTGGACGTGGCTCTGGATGAATCAAAGAAGTTCCTTTGACCTTGCCACATTTACCCGGAGGTGTTTTGACTCCATGGCAGATACTTTGCCCATTTGCCACAGAGCAGATGGTTACTGAGAGTTCGTAGAGCTGTTAGAAACTTATGAAAGAGCCTGATGAGCCATAAAGTGGACCAGCTGTGGACAAGAGCAATTATCAAGAGTAATGGCTCAGGATTACCTAAGAAATACAAACACATTTTTTTCAATTCAAAATTAATATTACAGCAGACATAACACAAAATAAAGCCAACAATAACTGAAGCAAAAGTTATTATAGATTTAAAAAGCTATAAAACTGAAGCATACAGCAAAAGTTGTTTTAGATTAAAAATTGAACAATCAGTCATTGTTAACATTGAAAACTATAAAAATTGAACTGGGGAAATTAGAAATTATCAGTGGAAAATGCAACTGACAGTATGTAAAAATACAGATGTTAAATTTAAAATTTGTATTGACAGAAGAAGAAGAATTTTTTTTAAATTTAGAGCTGTGCAAATTATTCGAGAAATTTGGCTTTGTAGAAGTAATGGCCACAAAAAGAAGACTCATTAGAGCAGAAGATTCACTTTTTGAAATTAGACTCGAGTAAGGAAAAAAAAACAAAAAGCCCACAAAAAGAAAGGATGAGTCAAGTTATCACCGAAAAATAAAAATGGAAACAATTTGGTTAACTGCTGTTAGAAAATTGACCCAAAAACTAAACTGGGTTCATGGAATTTGCTTCAGAAAACGCTTCCTTGACAAATGTCAACAGTTGTTTTAATTCTGATTAACGTGATGGGTCATGAACTTGGAGTCAAGAGCTCTCAGGGTGAAAATGCCCACTGAGTCAAAATGGCAGAGTCCGAACAGCCTCACTGCGGAGGGCCCTGCAGTCGTGGGGTTCAGCCCCCCGCCGGCTCAGGTGGGCTGCTCATGCCACACCATCCCCTATGGGGAATCCAATGTGTGTCTGTCGAGCACAGCCCACCACAGTCCTTCAACAAGATTTAATATTTGGACTCTGCAAGGAGGACTTTCTTCCTTCTAGACCACAAGCCACAAGAATCTGGACATGAAACAGTCCAGTACTCACCATGACAGCCAGGTGGAGACACCTGTTTAAGAACAAAGCTGATGTGGTTTGGATGTTTTTTCTCTGCAAATCTCACATTGAAATGTGATCCCCAGTGTGGGAGGTGGAGCCTGGAGGGAGGTGACTGGATCATGGGCGTGGATCTCTCATGAATGGTTTAGCGCCGTCCTCTTGGTGATGAGTGAGCTCTCCCTCAGTTTTTTCCTGCAAGATCTGGTTGTTTAAGAGTGTGGTGCCTCCCCCTTCCTTCTGGCTCTGGCTCTTGCCACATGATGTACCTGCTCCCTTCCACCTTCTGCCATGATTGGAAGCTTCCTGGGCCCTCACCAGAGGCAGATACCCATACCATGCTTCCTGTACAGTCTGCAGAATTGTGAGCCAATTAAACCTCTTTTCTTCATAAATTATCCAGTCTCAGGGATTTCTTTATACGATGCAAAAATGGACTGACACGAAAGCCAATCCAAATTGAGATGGAGAGAAGGGAGGAAGACAGAGAGAAAAAGAAAGAGGGAAACGACTGACAGCGTCTCTCGAGCCCTTGGCTGCAGCGGTTCCTGGATCTGCCAGTTGGGGGAGCCAGTCAGAGTCTGGGGCATGCGGAAGTTGACCTCTTAATCAAATGATGGAGCCGCTGTCAGAGGGGAGGGTTGGGAAGGTGCGGAGCAGACAGTGGGGATGAAGATTCGAGAGATGAAAAGTCCTGGGGAATGCCAAGATCTGGCCACGGCCATGAGGATGTTTGCTTGGGTAACGATGAGTCCACATTTGAAGAAAGCTAAGGGGCCTGGGGCTAGGATGATGCATGTGCCACCCTCTTGGGCTTCAAAGTCATCTGCAGTGGTGTCTGGACTTGGGTGGAAAATTTAGTGAGCCAGGCTCCAAAGTTCCTGGGGCCTGTGGGGAGGGGACCTGGGGGAGGTGGTCAGGAACTCCACAGATGGCAACAGGTGGAGGAAAGGCTGGCACGCTCAGACATGGGGAGCCTCAAAACCAAGAAAGGCCACTCATAGCCCCGGCTGTCAGCGTTCCATCAAGGTCAAATCCACCTACCCAGTGCTGAGAGTCGAGTTGTGTCCCACCAAAACTCATGTGTTGGAGTCCTAACCTTCTGCCCCTCAGAACATGATCTGATTTGGAAATGGGGTCATTGCCAGTGTTACTAGTTAAGATAAGGTCATGCTGGAGCATGGCGGGCTGGAGTCCTCCTAAAAGGGGGACATTTGGACACAAGCAAATGGGGAGAAGGGCACGTGAAGGTGAAGGCGCAGATCAAGGTGGTGCTTCTGCTAGCCCATGAACACCAAGGCTGCCGGCAAACCCCAGAGGCTGGAGAGAGGCCTGGAGCTGCGGCTGCCTCCCAGCCTCAGAAGGCACAGCCCTACCGATACTGTGACTGTGGCTTCAGGCCTCCAGCACCATGACCCAGCACACTGCTGTAGCTTAAAGCACCCAGTGGGTGGGACTTGGTTATGGCAGCCCCAGGGCACTCACACAGCTGTGAACCAACTTCTCCACTCCAAGGCATTTTTCCCGTGAGAAATGAGCACATACATCCATGCAAGGACACGTCCATGAATGCTCACAACAGCCTTGTTCATAGGAACCCCAAATTGGAAGCAATCCAAATGTCCTTATAACACTGTTTATCCAAATGAACAATTAAACTGCAATGTATTTACACAAGGAATTCTACTCGGCAACAAAAAAGAACAGATTAGGCCAGGTGCGGTGGCTCACGCCTGTAATCCCAGCACTTTGGGAGGCCAAGGCGGGCGGATCACCTGAGGTCAGGAGTTCAAGACCAGCCTGGCCAATGTGGTGAAACCCCATCTCTACTAAAAATACAAAAATTAGCTGGGTGTGGTGGCGGGCACCTGTAATCCCAGCTACTCAGGAGGATGAGGCAGGAGAATCGCTTGAACCCGGGAGGTGGAGGTTGCAGTGAGCCAAGATCGCACCACTGCTCTCCAGCTTGGGCGACAAAAGTGAGACTCCATCTCCAAAAAAACAAAACAGAACAAAGAACAGATTACGGATTACCGATACACACAATGTAGATGAATCTCAGAAAACATGTTGAGCAAGAGGCCGGACACCAGATGACAAGCCGTAGAATCTCAAGACTGCGAAGTCCTAGAGCCTCCAAAACTCACCGCAAGGGGTGAACTGACCAGCAGTGGGCTGCGGATGAAGCGGCAGAACGGCAAGTCTGGAGGCTGAGAACATTCTAGTCTTCCATGGAATGGTGACGTACTCGTGGAATCTTCCACCAAAGCCATGTCGAACCTACTGGATGTACTCAGACCTCAAGAACACTGCTTTAGGTTTTTAAAATAGAAATAAAAGCAGAAGAGGTTGCTGGAGGCAGTGACCTGGGGTCCGGGGTGTGATCGACCCTGTTTTCTGTCCCATAACAAGGGTGGGGCTCCCCGGGAAAGCCTGATAGTCAGAGATCAAGAATAAGCAGGAGTTGTTCCTGGGGAGAGGCAAGCTTCAGAGCCCGTCCTTCCTCTCTCCGTGCACTCAGTGGTTACCTACTGAGCACCGACTACAGCCGGGCAATGTGCCAGGCACAAAAGTGCGCGAGTGAACAAAACCCCATCCTGCATTCCATGCAGGGAGGGAGGAGACAGCAGCGAGGAAAACCTGGAACTCATCCTCCAACAGTGATGCAGGTTAGGAAGGAATGTAAAACTGGGGGTGGCAAGAGGCAATCAGAGGGGTGCCACATTAGCTAGGTCCTTCAGGAAAGGCTCCGGGATGATGTGAAGGTCGAATCCTGAAGACAAAGGGAACTGAGATGCACCAAGAGCTCCCGGGCCCACTTGGCGTCTCTGCCTCCCCCTGCCCCAGTCCTTGGCCTGTAAGGACCCACCCACTTGAGACCTGCTGAGTTTCCTGAGGAACCTCAAGGAGGTTCTTCCCCATGTGGGGTAGAGGAGACCGGGATTAGGCCATGGGCTCTGTCTCCTCTGTCATCGGGCAGAGCGGAGGCACCACCCCCAGCAGCTCCCTGCCACAGGCTGCACGGCCTTGGACAACCGTCCCCGGATTGCATGTCTGAGACAGCTTTATCTTCGTGAAGGGAGATATGGGGACCCCTGAGAGGGGCTTTCTAAGTGCCTCCTGGAACCCAGGACTCCTGGGGAAACCGTCTTTTCCTTTTCCCATTGCACGGTTCCTATTCTTCATGCCTGTGCTGGTCTCCCCCACCCCACTTTGGGCCTGTGTCTCCCTGTGCGTCCCTGGGCTTGTGGCGCGGCGGAGGTTTGCTCCTGAGGGTGACTAAGCGACAGGATTTGGGCAAGGGCTGGGCCAGGCCTGGGAAAGTTGAAATGGGTTCGGCTCCCAGCTTTCCACAAGGAATCAAAAATCCCAGTGAGGCTCCCACCACCCTGGGGCCCCGGGCCACCCTCCATGCCCTCCCTGTCTCCAGGAGGTGTTTTCCTGCTCCCGTGGGAAAACCGGACCAGGTAGAAAGAGGACGCGCTCGTGAGAATCCCTGTGCAAGGACGTCCGCGTAGTTTATTTTACTTAACAACCTGAGCATGCTTCATTTCTGGCAGGACTGCCCAGATAATTCATCACTTGGAACAATTCTCATTTTCATTTAATGGAAAATAAAAGACGGCCCGAACCACTGGCCATAAAATTGGACAAATGTCATATGAGGTGAAGGGAGAGGGACGGAGGTTTATTATTTTGCTTTCTTGCAATTGGCAGTCTCCTGGCTACCTTCTCCTTCAGGGAAAAACTCTTCCTTTTCATGCCGGATAAAACCCAGCCATCAGAAGTGTAATCCTCTAGGGAAAGAGGTGTATCCCAGAGCCAGAGCTCACTGCTTCTCCCGAGAGCCCGTGCCCTGCACTGCTGACTGGCCCTGAGCTCCCCCAGAGCCACCAGCCACATGGGTTCCCGCACCGATCTCCAGCTCGTTTTGAAAAATAATTTGAATCTCTCCATGGGCACATGGCAATGTGTTCTAATCTAACACAAGCTGTGGCTGCAGGGCCCGGAGCACAGGAAGAGGCCACAGCTGGGGAGTCTCCAGGTCCTGGTGGTCCTGCTCATCAGATGAATCTGGGAGAGAGAAACTTGAGGTCTTCGAGTTGATTCTGCAAGAGCCAACACTGCTATGAGGACACCGAACTGTGAATGGCACCGCAGGGTGTGTTTCCTGGGGATAATGAGAGGCCAGACAACCCCTGGGCTTCCAGCAGGGATGGAGGTCTTGGCGGGTGGCACAGAAGCACTCGCCTCTGCTGCTCCAGGCCACTTCACTGTGTTATTCGGAGCACACGTGTCTGCAGGGGGCGTGAGGTGCTGTGACAACAGATAGAGCCAAGCATGGAAGGGCCACAGGACGGAGGGTCATCCCCACCCCTCAAGCATGGAAGGGCCACAGGACGGAGGGTCATTCCCCACCCCTCACCACGAGGGCGGGCCAGACCTGGGCAGGGAAGGGGTCAGCTGCATGTGGTCACTCAGGACCTGCCATCAAGGGTGGCCATCTGGAACTCAGAGCTTCCAAAAGCACCCTGGGCCACCATCCTAATCGCCGGAAGAGCAGACATCCCAGAGAAGGAACCTGGGAGGGCCTTCCGGGGCCGGGTGCGGAGGAATCCTGAGTCGCTCCCTCACACTCTCTGGGCCAGAACTCAGCCACCCAGGTCCCTGGCAGCAGAGCGTGCTGGAAGTGCGGCCCAGCACAGCCGAGAGTTCTGGGGCCAGCGGTGGCTGCCACCATCCCTTTCCCAGAGGGGGCCCTGGGCACAGCCAAGAGTTCCGGGGCCAGCGGTGGCTGCCACCATCCCTTTCCCAGAGGGGGCCCTGGGCACAGCCAAGAGTTCCGGGGCCAGCGGTGGCTGCCACCATCCCTTTCCCAGAGGGGACCCTGGGAAGGGAAATGGAGGGGTGCGGAAGCTCTGCTGTAGGCGGGCCAGACGGGAGAACTGAGGACACCCATGCTGGGAAAGAGACTCGAGCTTTGAGCATCTTCAAATATTTGAAAATCGTTAGTGCTTTGACTGCCGTGAGTCCAAAGGGAAGTGGAGAAAACGGGCAACGATCACCAAGAGCTATTTTGGGTTTCCACGAGAAGTAACAGCAAGCCAAGATCTCCCGGACTGGAGCAGCTTTGCGAGGCAGGGATCTTTGTCCTGAGACGGCTGTCAAGCCTCCGGGGGTGCGGTGGGGACGGAACCCACGGGCCACAAAAAGGTTTCAACCTTCCAGGGTGAAAATTTTGCAAAGCAGAAGCTCTCCCCCATCCAAACTTCATTTTAAAAATATATTTCCACACTTTCCTCTTTCCTTTTCTAAATCCATTCTCTTCTGTCCTTTTCTAAGATCTGGGACTCCATCATCCTTCACTTCTAGGAAAAAAGAGCCTGCAGGCCTGGGTCCAGCCTGCAGAAGGCTCAAACTCTGTCTCGGCATAGCCACACACGGAGCTCCTTTAATTCCAAGCTTCTTCAGCAGAACAAAACATTAATGGGGAGAAGGGGAGTCTGTTGAAAGCCACCTACCTACTTTTAGAATGGACAAGAGAGATTACAAACCCATGACTGCAAGCCGCTGTAAACTTTAACAAAGTACCATTTTTTATTATTACTGAGAAATATTTTCCCACGCTGTTCACGTCTGCGAATTGGGGGAGGGAGGTGGAGAGTGCGAGGGCAGGTGTACCTGAGACCACTAGGTAGACAGCGTGGGCTAAGAGCAGCTGAGGGCTGTGCCTGCTGCAGCAGCCTTCAAGAAGGAAGGAGCCCCAGACGTGCCAGCAGAGACTGCCTCCCAGACATGGACTGTCCACCCATCTCCAGCAGGGCCAGGGAGTGTGCTTCCAAGTGGGGGCGTGGCACTCAGCCTGCAGCTCTCAGACTGGATGAGATGCCCCTCAAGCCCATTGGCCTGGCATTGACCACTGGCACTCACCCCATGGCAGAGGCGGCTCAATGACAGAAAGAGCCCTGGGAAGCAAGGCCCCCATTCTTATGGGAGCTCAGCCTGCAGCTCTGGTCCCTGTGGCCCCAGCAGCACCGTCCGCTCCCTGGGCCTACACCCGCATCTTCATCTGAGAAGTGAAATGGTTGCAATGCTTGTCCTCACTACTTAGGGTTGACCTATGGTCAAATGCAAGAGTGTGTGCAGAGCTTAGCCTCTGATGTGTGGTTAAGACTTAGTCATGCAAGCTATTATTAGGAGTATTAAACATCAATCACTTGAGGTCACCTTCAGCTCCAGCTGTGCAGGCCATGCCTCAGTCTCACTGCCAAACACCTCAGGGCTAATTTCAAGGTATTGTATTCCTTGAGTAAGTGTATCTTTAAAACCAACTATAAAATCTCCTTGTCCTATAGAAAATCACAGACTCCTGAGCCGGCTGCCTGCAGATGGGTCAAGAAAGAGGCAGACCACAACGTGAACTCCCTTCTGGCAGCCAGCCACCGTCCTCCCCAGGCACCAGACCCCAAGCCCACCTGGCAGGGACCTGGGCTCCCAGCACTGGCCCAGTACATGCAGAGCTCATGGGGAGCATTGCACCTGTTAGGTGACTGGGCCAGGTTGTGCTGTTGAGGCCAATGGCAGGTCCCCTGCCTTCACAAGCAGGGCCAAGCAGCTGCAGGGTACCCTGTGCTGGGCCCTGGCCAGCCCTTCTTGCGTCCCTCAGCAGCGTTTGCTAGAACAGAGCTGCTGGCCTAATGAGTTTCAGGATGTTTATCTCTCACACCACGGAGCATATATTCCTGAGTGTGTGTTTAAATCCACACATTCCAAAGGGCAACCAGGGATGTTTATCCAAGGCTCACTCTCCTCAAACCATTGTTTTATGCCTCCCTGTTTTCCAAGCCATTTCCTATTTTCCTGCTGATATCATGAAAACATAAAATTTTTCCGCACACGCTAAGTGCCTAGAATGGCAGCCAGCTGGTCTAAAGCTGGAAAGGGCCATGAGAGGATCAATGGCCCACAGGAAATGGGCGAGGAGGGCTCCTCGATGGCTGCTGCGGCTGACAATAGGCTCTGCACATGCTCTGTGACACATGCCCCCTGGGGGCCCTAAGAAACCAGCTGCTGACCCTTCCGGGCTGGGAGGAATGTGGGGAAAGTGTAAACCGGGGGATGAGAGATAATGGCCTGGCCCCATGAGCCCAGCCCTCCTGGCCAGCTTTGCAGAACAGCCCGGAGGGCTCACATGCTGACTGCAGGCCTCCCTGCTCCCTCAAGGGAACTTTCCCTCCGAGACGGAGCCTCTGGGCTGGGGGTGGTGCACGCCTCCCTGCAGGTATTAGCGGATGCAGATACTGACTGGTGGCCTCGGTGGGAGGCGCTGCTGTTCTGCAAACTCCCAGTGAGGGTGACGTGGCTGGTCTTGGGGGGGTCACGGGCTGCTCGGTTATCCTTAGTGAAAACAGTCACTCCAGGCACAAAGCTCTGTCACATATAAACTATCATCCCATGAGGGAAGCAGAGAATTCTCCATATTGCAATTTGAGAAAATGAATAGGGAAGTAAGTAACTGTGGAAATTCACAAACCAGGTCATTTATTCACTCAACAAATATCTCTTGAGCCCTGCTGATATGGTTTGGCTGTGTTCCCACTCAAATCTCATCTTGAATTCCCACATGTTGTGGGAGGGACCCAGTAGAAGGTAATTGAGTCATGGGGATGGGTCTTTCCCATGCTGTCCTCATGACAGTGAATAAGTCTCATGAGATCTGATAGTTTTAAAAAGGGGAGTGAATAAGTCTCATGAGATCTGATCATTTTGAAAAGGGGAGCACAAGCTCTTTCTGTTTGCCTGCTGCCATCCATGTGAGACATGATTTGCTCCTCCTTGCCTTTCACCGTGATTGTGAGGCCTCCCCAGCCATGTGGAAGAGTAAGTCCATTAAACCTTTTTCCTGTACAGCCAGGCCCGGTGGCTCATGCCTGTAATCTCGGCATCTTGGGAGGCTGACGCAGGTGGATCACTTGAGGTCAGGAGTTCAGAGTGTGTGCAATAACATATCAGAAGCAAGTCAAAGGAAATCAGGTCTCTGACAAGCAAGCATAAAAATTAAAAAAAAAAAAAAAAGACAGAGAAAGGAAAACCAGGAGGCCAGACTAGCACCCCACGGTTCAGTGAGATGCACTGGGAAGGGAAGGTCTTCGCTTTCCATTGTTTTCATCACAGAAGCGTAACGCTTGGTGCACACTTGGTAAATAACTAGCATATGGTATCACCAAGTCTGACATGTGTGTGCAAAGCCAGGGAGCCTCAGATGGGAAGCACCCCTGTGATTCCGGGACAGGATCGTCAAAGGAAAGGGAAGGAAGGGGCCTCGTGTTACCCTGGGGCAGGGGCAGGGGCATCCTGAGACGCCCAGGGCAGGGAGGCCGGCAGGACCCAGGAGAGCCTGCAGGAGTGAGTGGGGAACCCCACACATTTGCTGCTGCTCTCCCTGCCTCTGCTGTAAGTCAAGGTCGTCTGCAAACCAGCCACTCAGTGCCCAGGAGCCTGGCAGTCCCTTGCTAGTGCTCTCCTCCGGGGAGACAGCCTCAGGCTAGTACAGGACAGATTCCCTGTGTCCTGTGGTTGGCCTGGGATGGGAGGATCCCAGAGTTACTGGGTGGCTTTCTCTGCCTTTAGCTACAACAGGAGGAACATCAGAGCATTGACCTTGGTGTTAAACTGGGGAGGAGAGAATAAGATGGAGCAGCCCGGGCAGTTGGCCCCTCTGAAAGGCACCAGCCTCATCGAAGTTCTTCCAGTTCCGAGGAAAGCGGGAGTACGGAGGGTCACCAGCTCCACCCAGGTCCACGGCGAGTTAGTACAGCCACGGAGGAGAGAGTGGGGAATCCACAGCAGATCATGGGCTCCAGGGCTGAGGGACACCCAGGTAAGCACACCCAGAAGAGGGCACAGATTGGGAGCAGGCACACGGGGAGGATCCAGCTGGTGGCAGCCCCTGGAGAGGAGGCTCCCGGAGGAACATGGCTGAGAGCTTTGTCAGGAAGAGAGGAAGGTGAGGGGCCTCACGGGGGACATGGAGAATGGGGCCAGGGACAATGGCAGCAGAGGAGCAAACGAGAAAGGCCATCCCCATCGAGCAGAGCCGGGAGGGTTGGCAACACGAAAGTCCAGGGAGAGATGGCCCTGGGCGAAGAGAGTAAATGAGCAGAGGTGGAGGCAGTGGACAGACCCCAGCCCTTCCGGGAAGCTGGAGATGAAGATGCTGTGGGTATCATAGTGTCTGCCCCACCCATGGCTGTCCCTGGCCGGCAGAGGGGCAGCAATGAGCAGGCCATGCTCCCAGGTGGCTTGGGGCAGCTAAGATCTGTGGTCATGCGTGTGGGTGCCTGTGAAGAAGGGGAAGAGGGGGAGGAGGTGGGTTGGGGAAGGGAAGGGCAGAGACACCATACGCCTAGGCTGGTTGCTCGGAAATCGAGTTCTCCTCCACCCTGGGAGGGACATGGTGCCAGGACCATCAACCCCACCAAGGAGATGGCAGGACCAGTCCTTCTCTCCCTCCTTCCCTCCCTACCGCAGAGGAAGTGACAGTGCTGGTCATGGCAGGCCAGTGGGCCCCCCGTAGAGCCCGAGTCAGACTCCGATGGCCGCTGTCCACTATGTGGGCACTCAGGACATCAGAAAACAGGTGGCCATCTGCAGAGTATTTCAGAGCGTCTCCTCTGAGCTAGTCGAATCTGTGAGAACTGCCTCTCATGGACCAAAATTCATCAGGAGTTGCATCTGGATAATGGTCTTCTAGGAAAAAAAATAGGAGGAGTCACCAAATAGAAGCCTCTGAAGCAAGGTGGTCTGGAACCAGAGCAGGGAGGAGAAAACAACGGCACCAAAAGCATCCTCTTTTCACCAACACGTCAACTCCTGATGATGACCTTACCCACATTCCCTGGCCAGGGGTCTTCAGCATCCCCGTGAGCCATCCTGGTGGCCAGAGCCTGCTCACAGGGCGAGGGGAGCGTGCAGGCAGCCTGCAGAAAGGCTGAGCCCTCCGCCTGGGTGCTGAACCCCACATGGGATAGCAACTGCCAAGACTAGGGCTACGTGCAAAGGATTCCCAGAGCTTGACCCGTGAGTACCAATTCCAGAGCAAGATCCTTCCCTGTCTCTAAAGAGGCAGGGAACACGGTGGCAGCAGAGAGAAGCAAATCATGGCTGGGGGTGGTGGCTCACGCCCAGCACTTTGGGAGGCCGACGCGGGCGGATCACGAGGTCAGGAGATCGAGACCATCCTGGCTAACACAGTGAAACCCCATCTTTACTAAAAATACAAAAAATTAGCCGGGCGTGGTGGCCGGAGCCTGTAGTCCGGAGGCTGAGGCAGGAGAATGGCGTGAACCCGGGAGGCGGAGCTTGCAGTGAGCCGAGATCGCGCCACTGCACTCCAGCCTGGGAGATAGAGTGGGACTCCGTCTCAGAAAAAAAAAAAAAAACATGCGGTAGCCGCTATCTTGCATGTCTGCTGCGCCATTTAATTTTAACATCCGCACACTGGTGAAAGGTGAGCGCTGAAAGAGCGATTTCTTGGGAAACTCAAGTTGCATTCTTTGGAAAGCCTTACTAAAGGCAGTTGAATTGTGTACTGGAAAGGTGTGTAAAAGACAGGCCAGCAGAACAATTGTAAGGATGAAGAACTACACTCAGGTTATTCTGCAAGTGTCTCTAAGCTTTCATTCTAATGTTTTTTTTTTTGTTGTTGTTGTTTTTGTTTTTTTTTAATGGCAGTGAGAAGCAGAGATGATGCACTAGGGGGGTGGCTCAATAAAGATGGCCTGGAACGCAGCCGCTGCCCCAATCCAAGAAACAGTGGTGGCCCACACCCAACGGCTGGCCAGGGGACGGCTTCCACAGCTCAGGTTCAAGTGAAAGGGTAGGGTGCACGTGGACTTTTGTTGTGATCCCCCACATGGTCTTTCTAAATGTGTTCAGTAACTCCTATCCTGATCTTGCTGCACATCATCTCCTCCTCTTCATCTAACTTTAAAAAGGTAAAACTTCCAGGCAGGTGGATTACTTGAGGTTAGGAATTTGAGACCAGCCTGATTGGTGAAACCACAAACTACTAAAAATATAAAAAATTAGCTGAGCGTGGTGGCACGTGCCTGTAATCCTAGCTACACGGGAGGCTGAGGCAAGAGAATCAGTTGAAACTGGGAGGCAGAGGTTGCAGTGAGCTGAGATCATGCCATTGCTTTCCAGGCTGGGCAAGAGAATGAGACTGTCTCCAGGAAAAAAAAAAAAAAAAAAGGTGAAATTTAACTGGTCTCTCAAGAGCCCCTCTTAACAAGGCCCCTCCCATGCAAACTCTGTCCCCACTCCCAACACTATTCAACCTTATGAATTCATTATTCATTATATCATCTCAGGCCTCTTAAAGCATGTTTGCATCTTAGGAAACATATAGAATTATTTTGTGTGCATATGTGCTGCATAAATGATGCCAGGTTATATGGGTTATTCTACAATTTGCTTCTTTCCTCAATTAAAAACTAACTTGAGGGTTCAGCCATGTTCATGAATCTAGTTTGTTCATATGTGTTTCAATGTATAACTTGCCATATTTTAAAATAGTTTGGGATGAAATGCACCTATATGGATGATGGTGTGGATGGCAACAGTGAGCCATCTGGAGTGGCCGCTGTCATCACACCAGCTGCAGCAGAGAGACACGAGCGGTGGTGGCAGGAGTGGCTGCAGGAGTAGCAGTGGTGGTGGTGAGGGCAGGACCCACTCCCAGGCCCAGAGCCTCAGCCACAACCTCAACCGTGCTCCCCGAGGTGGAGCTGGGCCCAGGGTGGTGCCATGCTCCATAGAGCCAGTGGGAGCCAGGAACAGGAAGGAGCTTCACCCTCCCAGGTATGGCTGCAGATACCCAAGTTGTGGCTGTGGACCCAGGCATCTCTGCACTCTCAGGGACCCTGAGAAGGCCCCCTTTTGCCCCCACAGGCTCAGAGGTGTCTGGTTCCACTACCTGGCCTCTTCCCGCTGTCAACACCTGCTCCAATCATGGAGCAAAGTTGAGACTGAGCCTAGGCACCGTCACAACCCAGCTAGGTGTGTGCATGCTTGGGGCAGCACTGACACACCAGCCCCCTGCCACCTTGGCCCCCTCTGGACTTTGGGCACCAATGAGCATGGGAGGGAGACTGACAGTGTGCTGAGGGCAGCTCAGCACTGACCTACATGCACCCCTTGGCACAAACAGCCTGGGCACCATGAATGGTGGCAGAAAGCAGACAGGATCCTGGGCAGAAGGGGGTAGGTCCCTGGTGAAGCCCCACCCTCAAGTTGATGGGGACCTAAAACCTGGGGGCCAGGTTGCCAGTCCAATGAACTGGAATGAGAACTTGTGGTGTCTTTTCTGGCCCACCATTGGCCACCCACGAACCAATCAGCACTCACTTCCTCCCCTCTGAGGCTCTTAAAAGCCCCAGACTCAGCCAGAGTCCAGATGACAGGATGACCAGCTGCGGAGAGAAGCCGCCCACCCCAGCATCTCCTCTCTGCTGAGAACTGGACATTCATCAGGATGACCTGCCTAGTAGAAGGGGGCTACCCTCTCTGCTGAGAGCTGAAGAGGTGATGGATGACCAGCTGCAGAGAGGAGCTGCTCTGTCTGCTGAGAGCTGGACACTCCTCAGGACACTCTGGCTATAGAGAGGAGCTGCCCACTGCAGGTCTCCTCTGAGCTGTTCTATTGCTCAATAAAGCTCCTCTTCATCCTGCTCATCCCCCGATTTTCTGCATACCTCATTCTTCCTGGAAGCAGGACAGGAGGGCTAAAAGAGACATAACACAGCTTTGTTCTTTTGGCTTAGAATTGACTTGGCAATGTGGGCTCTTTTTTGGTTCCATATGAACTTTAAAGTAGTTTTTTCCAATTCTGTGAAGAAAGTCATTGGTAGCTTGATGGGGATAGCATTGAATCTATAAATTACCTTGGGCAGTATGGCCATTTTCACGATATTGATTCTTCCTATCCATGAGCATGGAATGTTCTTCCATTTGTTTGTGTCCTCTTTTATTTCGTTGAGCAGTGGTTTGTAGTTCTCCTTGAAGAGGTCCTTCACATCCCTTGTAAGTTGGATTCCTAGGTATTTTATTCTCTTTGAAGCAATTGTGAAAGGGAGTTCACTCATGATTTGACTCTCTGTTTGTCTGTTATTGGTGTATAAGAATGCTTGTGATTTTTGCACATTGATTTTGTATCCTGAGACTGCTGAAGTTGCTTATCAGCTTAAGGAGATTTTAGTCCTAAGCCAAAAGAATAAAGCTGGAGGCATCATGCTACCTGACTTCAAATTATAGTACAAGGCTACAGTAACCAAAACAGCATGGTACTGGTACCAAAACAGAGATATAGACCAATGGAACAGAATAGAGCCCTCAGAAATAATACCACACATCTACAACTATCTGATCTTTGACAAACCTGACAAAAACAAGAAATGGGGAAAGGATTCCCTATTTAACAAATGGTGCTGGGAAAACTGGCTAGCCATACGTAGAAAGCTGAAACTGGATCACTTCCTTACACCTTATAGAAAAGTTAATTCAAGATGGATTAAAGACTTAAATGTTAGACCTAAAACCATAAAAACCCTAGAAGAAAACCTAGGCAATACCATTCAGGACATAGGTATGGGCAAGGACTTCATGTCTAAAACACCAAAAGCAATGGCAACAAAAGCCAAAATTGACAAATGGGATCTAATTAAACTAAAGAGCTTCTGCACAGCAAAAGAAACTACCATCAGAGTGAACAGGCAACCTACAGAATGGGAGAAAATTTTTGCAATCTACCCATCTGACAAAGGGCTAATATCCAGAATCTACAAAGAACTCAAACAAATTTACAAGAAAAAAACAAACGACCCCATCAAAAAGTGGGCAAAGGATATGAACAGACACTTCTCAAAAGAAGACATTTATGCAGCCAACAGACACAAGAAAAAATGCTCATCATCACTGGCCATCAGAGAAATGCAAATCAAAACCACAATGAGATATCATCTCACACCAGTTAGAATGGCGATCATTAAAAAGTCAGGAAACAACAGGTGCTGGAGAGGATGTGGAGAAATAGAAACACTTTTACACTGTTGGTGGGACCGTAAACTAGTTCAACCATTGGGGAAGACAGTGTGGTGATTCCTCAGGGATCTAGAACTAGAAATACCATTTGACCCAGCCATCCCATTACTGGGTATATACCCAAAAAAATATAAATCATGCTGCTATAAAGACACATGCACACGTATGTTTATTGTGGCACTACTTGGAACCAACCCAAATGTCCAACAATGATAGACTGGATTAAGAAAATGTGGCACATATACACCATGGAATACTATGCAGCCACAAAAAAGGATGAGTTCATGTCCTTTGTAGGGACATGGATGAAGCTGGAAACCATCATTCTCAGCAAACTATCGCAAGGACAAAAAACCAAACACTGCATGTTCTCACTCATAGGTGGGAATTGAACAATGAGAACACTTGGACACAAGAAGGGGAACATCACACACCAGGGCCTGTTGTGGGGTGGGGGGAGGGGGGAGGGGGGAGGGATAGCATTAGGAGATATACCTAAGGTAAATGAGGAGTTAATGGGTGCAGCACACCAACATGGCACATGTGTACATATGTAACAAACCTGCACATTGTGCACATGTACCCTAGAACTTAAAGTATGATAAAAGAATATATATATATAAAAGAAAGATGTAACACAAACAGGGCTAAAACATGCCCTTTGCCCACCACATTGTGGGTGACAAGAGGGAGGGAAGACAGAAGGAGAGAAGAGCTGCAGCCCTTCAGATAGCTCAGACCTAGAAGTGCCCTGAGCCAGGGCTGTGACACCTTTTTTAGGGCTCTGCAGTTCCTGGCATCTCCAAGCTTCTAGGTGCCATAACAGATTCCCTGGTATCAGCCATGGAAGCTGCTTATGGTACACCTGGTCCAACTGTAGCCTTGCAGGGAGCCAGCATGCCTAACCACGCAATGGTGGGACCTCACACTTGCTCACACATCCCTTGCTGCTCCATGCCTGGCTCGCCCTTGGCAGGTGTGAGATCCAGGCTGGTAGTGGGAGCTGAACACAGCCTGCCAGGCTAAGTGGGCAGAACAAACCCAGCGGGCCAGAGCAAAACTCAGGCAAATGCACCAGTGGCCGCAGAGGTTTCTGGCTGGCAAAGTGACACCCCAGGGATCCTTTAACAGTGTGAGGCACAGATGTCACACAGGACATTGAGGTGACACCGGAATCTCCCCAGACCCCTGCCCCAGGCTCACACCCCAGGCTGCTTCCCAAGAGGTAACCACTCCCAGAATGTTGGGGTCTAATCCCTTGCTTTGTTTTTATGGATTTATACCATAAGTCTTGCCTTAAACAATCGATTGTTTAATTTGGGCTGGTCTCAATGGTAACTTATAAAATGATACTGTGCTCTCTGAGGGCTTCTGCATGTTGCCTTCTTTACCTGGCATCATGCTGAATTTCCTGGGGACATTCATGCTATGACACAACTGCTGAGCCCTGATTGCCTCTGTTGTCTGACATTCCGTCATGCACACATCATAGTGTGTTGTATACAATATGCACAGTGTATTGCTCCTCTCTCCTGTGGATGGGCATTTGGGTTTTCTTTGTTTTGTTGTTTTTAATAAACAATGCTATTGGGAACATTTTCATATAGGATCCCTGGAACTCTTATCTGAGAGTTTCTGTAGGCTGGATGGCTGGGAGTTGACTTGGAAGTGTACTGTCCACTTTTAAGATAATGCCATGTAACTTCCCAAAGGGGTTGTCCCACATTTTGTCCGTCCACTCCTCTAACAATGAGTATTTTCCCTACCATCAGCCATGCTGTGATGAATGGCATTGTCCTCCTGGTGGTGTGTGAGAGCTTCCGGCAATATTCCTAGAAATGGAATTGCTGGGTCAGTGTATGTGAGTTCAAAATTTTAATAGGTAGCTCCAGGCAACCTTTGCCCGTTTGCCCCATCGGCGATGTCTAAAAGAATCAGGTATTCTAGTGTCTTCCCATCCTAATATCTTCCCATCTCATATTGTAACAATGTCATTTCTACAATCAGATGAAAAGTGTCGTGTAATCGTTGTTTTACTTTGCAGCTCTCTGATTGCCAATGACAGTGAGCCCCTGTTTGGATGTTTATTGGCCGTTCCTATTTCTTCTTATGCAGTTTGCTACTCAGATCTTTGCCCATTTTCTGCTAGGCTATTTGTCTCTTGGGCGTGTGCAGGATCCCTTTATATGTTTTGGATCACTCATCTTTGCCTGGATAGCAATGACATTTTTTCCAGTTTGTTCTTATTTATTTATTTATTTATTTATTTATTTATTTATTTATTTTGAGACGGAGTCTTGCTCTGTTGCCCAGGCTGGAGTGCAGTGGCGTGATCTCGGCTCACTGCAAGCTCCAACTCCCAGGTTCACTCCATTCTCCTGCCTCAGCCTCCCAAGTAGCTGGGACCACAGGCACCTGCTACCACGCCCGGCTAATTTTTTGTATTTTTAGTAGAGACGGGGTTTCACTGTGTTAGCCAGGATGGTCTCGATCTCCTGACCTCGTGATCCACCTGCCTCGGCCTCCCAAAGTTCTGGGATTACAGGCGTGAGCCATTGCGCCTGGCCATTTGTTCTTATTTTTAGCTTAGTTTTTTATATCTTAATGTCATGCAAAAATCTAAATTTTACATAACCAGTGTTATCAATATGTTTATTATATGAATTTTGCTTTGAAGTCTTTTTTAAACACCGTCTTCTACGTGTAAATATGAAAAATATTGTATCTTACATTTAAATAAGATAATCTTAGAGCTCCATTTTTAAAAATTTCATTTTTCATTACATATATCCGGAATTTATTTATGTCTATGGTGTGAGGTAGAAATAGAATGTTTCCCACATGGGTACCAGTTTTCTCAGCACTTTCTATTGAATGGCCTGTCCTTTCCTTACTGGTCTGGGAGGCTGCTTCTATATGGACCCAGGTCACACATACAAACAGCCTCTTTCTGGAGCTTCTGTTGTTTCACTGATACAGGTGTCTATGTCCACACTATGACTCACTCACTGTTGTAAATACCAACCTTGTTCTTTCATATTTGGTAGAGTAAATTTTTAAAAACAAAACTCTTTGCTTTTCTATTTTAAGTTGCTTGAAATGTATGCTTGCATATGAATTTTAGGATCACTTTGTCAAGTTCTATAAAAAAATCTTTCAAAATTAATGAATTTTAATTGACATAATTGTACATACTTATGGGATAGAATTTGATGTTTTGATACACATCTGTGTTGTATAATGATTCAATCAGGGTATCTAGTATATCCAGCATCTCATGTATTTATCATTCCTTGGTGGTGAGAACATTCAAATGCCTCCCTTCCAGCTGTGTTGTAATATACAATACCTTACTATTAACCACCATCACCTGGCTGTGCACACAAACATCATAATTTATTCCTCCCAACTGCAACTTCGTACCTGTTGATGAACCTCTCCCCGTTTCCCTCTCTTGTCTCCACCCTAGTCTCTGGTAACCATGTTCTACTCCCTACTTCTGTGGTAGCGACCTTTTTGTTTGTTTTCGATTCCACATATGAGTGAGATCATATGGTATCTGTCTTTCTTCGTCTGGCTTATTTCACTTAACATGATGCCCTCCAGGTTCATTTAAGTTGTTGCAAATGATCAGATTTCCTTCTTTTTTTATGGCTGAATAGTATTCCATTGTGTATAAGTCCCACATTTTATTTATCCTTTCATTCACTGTTGAGCACTTAAGTTGATTCCATGTCTTGGCTATTGTAACTACTGCTGCGATCAACATGGGAGTGCAGATATCTCTTTGACATACTGATTTCATTTCCTTTGGATATATACCCAGTAGTGGAATTGTGGGATTATATAGTAGTACTATTTTTAATTTATTGAGGAATCTTCATACTGTTTTCCGTAACAGCTTTACTAGTTTACAATCCCACTAACAATGTGTAAGAGTTTCCTTTTCTTCACATCCTTGCCAACACTTGTTTTCTTTTGTTTTATCAATAGGAGCCATTCTAATTGGAGTGAGTGGTATCTCACAGTGGTTTTGATTTGCATTTCCCTGATGATTACTGATGTTGAATATTTTCCATAAATCTGTTGGCTATTTGTATGTTTTCTTTTGACATTTCTCAAATATGTCTTCTTTTGAGAAATGTCAAAAGAAAACATCTTTTGCCCATTTAAAATTTTTTTTCTGCTGAATTGTGTTAAATTCCTCATACATTCTAGATATTAACCCCTTCCCAGACAAATAGACTGCAAATATTTTCTCTCATTCTGCAGGTTGTCACTTCACTCTTAATAGTTTTCACTCCATGCAAAATCTTTTTAGTTTGATGTAATCCCACTTGTCCATTTTGGTTTTTTTTCTATTCTTTTATGTTCTTATTTTAAAAGTCCTTGCCCAACCCAATGTTGCAAAGTGTTTCCCCTGTTTTTTTTCTAGTAGCCTCATAGCTTCAGATTTTTTAAGTTTTTAATCCATTTTGAGTTGATTTTTTTATATGGTGAGAAGTAGGGATTTAGCCTCATTCTTTTGCATGTTGATATACAATTTTCCCAGCACAGTTTATTAAAAAGATTATCTCTTCCTCAATGTGAGTTCTTGTCACCTTTGTCAAAAATCAATTGGCTGTAGATGTGTGAATTTATTTCTGACCTCTCTATTCTGTTCCACTGGTCTATGTGTCTGTTTTTATGCCAGTACCGTGCTGTTTTAGTTGCTATAGCTTCATAATAAATTTTGAAGTCAGGTAGTGTGATGCCTTCAGCTTTGTTCTTTTTGTTCAGGATTGCTTTGGCTAGTCAGTGTCTTTTGTTGTTCTATATTAATTTTAGGGTTTTTTTTCTATGACTGTGAAGAATGACATTGGTATTTTGATAGGAATTGCATTAAATCTGTAGATTGCTTTAAATAATATAGCCATTTAAAAATATTCTTTCAATTTATGAATGCAGAATATTTTTCTATCTATTTGTGTCCCATTCAATTTCTTTCATCAAAGTATTATAGTTTCCAGTGTAGAGATCTTCACATCCTTGGTTAAGTTTATTCCTAGCTAGCTTATTTTTTGTAGCTATTCTAAATGGAATTATTTTCTTCAGTTCTTTTTCAGATGGTTCACTATTAGCATGTAGAAATACTACAGATTTTTTTATGTTGATTTTATACCCTGCAAATTTACTGAATTTTTAAAATTAGGTCTAACAGGCTTTTGGTGGTTTTTAGGGGTTTCTATACATAAGATTGTATTTTATGCAAATAGGAACAATTTAACTTTCTCCTTTTCAATGTGGATGCCTTTTATTTCTTTTTCTTGCCTAATTGCTCTGGCTAAGCCTTCTACTACTATCTTGAATAGAATTGGTGAAAGTGAGCATCCTTGTCTGGTTCCTGATATTATTTTCATCATTCATTCTGACGTTAGCTGTTGGTTTGTCATAAATGGCCTTTATCATGTTGAGGGACATAACTTCTATACCAAATTTTTTGAGAGAAGAAATGTTAAATTTAGTCAAATGCTTTTTCTGTGTCTATTGAAATTATCGTATGATTTTTGTCTTTCTTTCTGTTAATGTGGTATATCACATTTATTGATTTGTGTGTTAAACCATCTTTGTATCCCTAAGATGAAATGTGCTTTACCATAGTGAATGATCTTCTTAACGTGCTGTTTGATTCAATTTGCTAGTACGTTGTTGATAATTTTTGCATCTATGTTTATCAGAGATATTGGCCTGTAGTTTTCATTGTTATTGTTGTTTTTGCATCCCTGTCTGGTTTTAGAATTAAGGTAATGGTGTCCTCACAAAATGGGTTTGTACATATTCCCTCCTCTTCAGTTTTCTGGAATCGTTTGAGGAGAATTTGTATTATTATTCTTAAAAGCTTGGCAGAATTCAGCAGTGAAGCCATCAGGTCCTGGGCTTCTCTTTAAAGGAAGGCTTGTTATTACTTATTTAATTTCCTCACTCATTATCAGTCTGCTCTGATTTTCTATTTTTTTATAATTTAATCTTGGTAGTTTATATGTGATTAGAAATTTATCTGTTTCTTCTGAGTTATCAAATTTGTTGACCCAGCCTGGGCAATATAGCAAGACCCTATCTCTACAAAAAATAAAAAGTTAGCAGGTTGTGGTGGTGCAATCCTGTAGTCCCAGCTACTTGAGAGACTGAGGGAGGAGGATCATTTGAGCCTAGGAGTTCAAGGTTACAGTGAGCTATGATCCAGCTCACGCCACTGCACTCCAGTCTGGTGACAGAGTGAGACCCTGTCTAAAAAGAAATTGTTGGTGTAGTTATTCATAATCATTTTTTATCATACTTTGTATCTCTGTGGTGCCAGGTATAATGTCTCTTTTTTCATCTCTGGTTTTATTTATTTGAGTCTTCTCTTTTATTTTCTTAATCTAGCAAAAGGCTTGTCAATTTTGTTTATCCTTTCAAATATCTAACTCTTTGTTTTATTGATCTTAACAATTTTTTAAACCTCTTTCATTTATTTCTACTCTGAACTTTATTATTTCCATCCTTCTACAAATTTTGGGTTAGTTTGTTCTTATTTTTCTAGTTTCTTGAAGTGTATCTTTAGATTGTTTATTAGAAATCTTTCTTCTTTTTTAATATAGTCATTTATTGCTATGAACTTTCCTCTTAGAACTGCTTTACTGTGTCCCATAGGTTTTTGGTATGATGTGTTTCCATTCTCATTTGTCTCAAGGAAATTTTTAATTTCTCTTTTAATTTCTTCATTGACCCACTGGTTGCTTAGGAGCATGTTGACAAGTTTCCATGTATTTATAAAGTTTCCAAAGTTTTTCTTATTGTTCATTTCCAGTTTTATACCACTGGGGTCAGAAAAGATACTTGATATAATCTCTGTCTTCTTAAGTTTCTTAACTAGTTTTGTAGCCTAATGTGATCTATCCAGCAGAATGTTCCACGTGCAGTTGAGAAGAATGTGTATTCTGTAGCTTCCAAGTGGAATGTTCTTTCAATATCTGTGAGGTACATTTGATCTATGGTTCAGTTTCAGTCCAGTGTTTCTTTGTTGACTTTTTTGTCTAGATAATATATCTGTTGTTGAAAGTAGGTGCTGACATACCCTACTATTATTGTATTGGAGTCTATCTCTCTCTTTAAGTCTAATAATATTTGCTTTATGTATCTGGGTGCTCTGGTGTTGGGTGCATATATAATTACAATTTTTATATCTTCTTGATGAATTGATCCCTGTGTATCAAATAGGGATCCCTATCATTATCTAATGACCTACTTGTTTCCTTGTACAGTTTTTGACTTAAAATTTATTTTATCTGATATAAGTATGGCTACCCTTACTTGCTTTTGGGTTCTGGTTGCATGAAAAATTTTTTTCCATTCCTTTATTCTCAGTCTGTCTTTAACAATGAGGTGAGTCTCTTGTAGGCAACATATAGTTGGGTCTTTTTTGTTGTTAATTTTGGTTACTCTATATATTTTAATCAGATAATTTAATCCATTTACATTCAAAGGTATTATTGATAGACAAGAACTTATTCCTGCCATTCTGTTAACATTTCTCTGGTTGTTTTGTTGATCCTTTGTTCCTTTCTTCCTCTCTTGTTGTTTACCTTTGTGGTTTGATGGTTTTCTAAGGTGCTAAGCTGTGTTTCCTTTCTCTTTCTCATTTGTGTATCTGCTGTAATTTCTTTCTTTGTGGTTATCATGGGGCTGACATAAAGGGTTTTGTAGTTATAATATGTTATTTTAAGCTGATAGCAACTAAACTTTGGTTTCATGAAAATATTCTAGATTTTTCCCTCTTTCCAAAAAAAAATTATTAATGTTCCCTTAATTTACTTTTGTATATATTGTGTGGTCCTTATCCATTAACTGTAGCTGATGTTATTTTGACTTGAAAACTTCATAATAGACAGAGAGGGAAATAACAGATAGGAAGCAGGACTAGATTGCAGCTCCCACTAAGACAGACAGAACAGCATGTGGAGACTCGCATTGTGAACTTTTGCTCCAGAACTACTGCAGGAACACATCAGGAAAGCTGAGAGAATCCACAGACCCTCTGAAGGAAGTGGATTACTCCTGTAGGACCTGGGAGACAACCCAAACACCGTGAGCGCCCAAGCTGTGAAAGTGGGAAAGGGGGACTGTCCACCCCAGAACACACACCCTCACTGGGGAACCTGAAGATCTAGATCATGGGAGAAGGATTTGACCTTACCTGGAGTTGAGTCAATTTATAACAATTCCAAACAAACCTGAAGTCTCCTGGCCAGAACTTGGGGGAAGGCATAAATCTGGTGTGCAGACTCTACAGGTGGGGAGGCACAAAAGACCTGCTTGCTCTCTAAGCTGAGAGGCTGGTAGCCTGGGGCAAGTTCTCAGCCCTGCTCACCCACTACCTGGAAACGAACTTGGTGCTGTTGGAGGGGTGGGCACAGTGGAAGTGAGACCAGCCTTTTGGGCTGTGTGGGAGCTGGGTGAGGCCTATAACTGCCGGCTTCCCCCCACTTCCCTGAAAACCCACATGACACAGCAGCAGCAGCCGTAATCCTCCTGAGAACATAACTCCATTGACCTGGGAACCACACCCCCATCCCCCACAGCAGCCTCAGCAAGCCCCACCCAAGGAGATTCTGAGCTCAGACATTCCTAATCCTGCCCCCACCTGATGGTCCTTCCCTGCCCACTCTGGTAGCTGAAGACAAAGGGCATATTCTCTTGGGAGTTCTAGGGCTTGTCCACTGCCTGATCCATACTACCACAGCTGATGCTCTCTTGAAATTGCCACCTCCTGGCAGGAAACCAACCGCAAAAAAATCGTGCATTAAATAACCAAAACTAAGGACAGAGTCCATTTCACTCCCCTGCCACCTCTACCGGAGCAGGTTCAGGTATCCATGGCTGAGAGATATAAAGATAGTTCATATCACAGGACTCTGTGCAGACAACCCCCGGTACCAGCTTGGAGCCTGGTGGCCCTGCGGGGTGGCTAGATCCAGAAGAGAGATAACAATCACTACAGCTTGTCTCTCAGGAAGCCACATCCCTAGGAAAAAGGGGGAGAGCACTACATCAAGGAAACACCCCATGGGACAAAAGAATCTGAACAGCAGCCTTGGCCGGGTGGGGTGGCTCATGCCTGTAATCCCAGCACTTGGGGAGGCCAAGGAGGGTGGATCATGAGGTCAGGAGATCGAGACCATCCTGGCTAACACAGTGAAACCCTGTCTCTACTAAAAATACAAAAAATTAGCCGAGCGCAGTGGTGGGTACCTGTAGTCCCAGCTACTTGGGAGGCCGAGGGAGGAGAATGGCATGGACCCAGGAGGTGGAGCTTGCAATGAGCTGAGATCATGCCACTGCACTCCAGCCTGGACAACAGAGCGAGGCTCCATCAAAAAAAAAAAAAAAAAGAGAATCTGAACTGCAGCCTTCTGGAGCTCCAGATCCTCCCTGTGACATAGCCTATCCAAATGAGAAGGAACCAGAAAAACACTTCTGGTAATATGACAAAACAAGGTCTTTAACACCCCCCAAAAAATCACACTAGCTCACCAGCAATGGATCCAAACCAAGAAGAAATCCCTGATTTACCTGAAAAAGAATTGAGAAGGTTGATTGTTAAGCTAATGAGGAGACATGAGAGAAAGGAGAAGTCCAATTTAAGGGGAAAAAAATGATACAAGAAATGAGGGGAGAAGTATTCAGAGAAATAGACAGCATAAATAAAAAACAGTCACAACTTCAGGAAATAAAGGACACAGAGAAATGCAAAACTCTCTGCAAAGTCTCAGCCATCGAATCGAACAAGCAGAAGAAAGAACTTCAGAGCTCAAATACAAGGTTTTAAAATTCACCCAATCCAACAAGGATAAAGAAAAAAGAATTTAAAAAATGAACAAAGCCTTGAAGAAGTTTAGGATTATGTTAAATGACCAAACCCAAGAATAATTGGTGTTCCTGAGGAAAAAGAGAAATCTAAAAGTTTGGAAAACATATTTGGAGAAATAATCAAGGAAAACTTCCCAGTCTTGCTAGAGACCAAGACATCCAAATACAAGAAGCTCAAAAAACACCTGGGAGATTCATCACAAAAAGATCATTGCCTAGGTACATTGTCAACAGATTATCTATAGTCAAGATGAAGGAAAGAATCTTAAGAGCTGGGAGGCAAAAACACCAGGTAACCTATAAAGGAAAACCTATCAGATTAACAGCAGATTTATCAGCAGAAATCCTACAAGCTAGAAGGGATTGGGGCCTTATATTCAACCTCCTTAAACAAAACAATTATCAGCCAAGAATTTTGTAGCCAGAGAAACAAAGCTTCATAGATGAAGGAAAGATAGGGTCTTTTTCAGATAAACAAATGCTAAGAGAATTCGCCCCTAACAAGCTAGCACTACAAGAACTGCTAAAAGGAGCTCTAAATCTTGAATCAAATCCTGGAAACACATGAAGACAGAACCTCTTTAAAGCATGACTCTCACAGGACATATAAAATACAGAAAACAAACAAACAAACAAAACCTAAGCTTTACAGGCAACAAATAGCACAATGAATGAAATAATACATCTCAATACTAATGTTGAATGTAAATGGCCTAAATGCACCAGAATCTACAAGGAACTCAAACAAATTAGAAAAAAGAAAACATCAAAAATGGGCTAAGAGCATGAATAGACAATTCCCAAAAGGATATATACAAATGGCCAACAAACATATGAAAAAATGCTCAACATCACTAATGATCAGAAAAATGCAAATTAAAACCACAATGTGATACCACCTTACTTCTGCAAGAACACCCATAATAAAAAAATAACAGATGTTGGTGTGAATGTAGTGAAAAGAAAACACTTCTACACTGCTGGTTGGAATGTAAACAAGTACAACTACTATGGAAAACAATGTTGAGATTCCCTAAAGAACTAAAAGTAGACCTACCATTTGATCCAGCCATTCCACTACTATCTACCTAGAAGAAAAGAAGTCATTATAAGAAAAAGATACATGCACATGCATGTTTATAGCAGCACAATTTGCAATTGCAAAAAATGTGGAACCACCCCAAATGCCCATCAATCAATGAGTGGATAAAGAAACTGTGGTGGTACATATACACAATGGAATACTACTCAGCCATAGAAAGAAATGAATTAATGGCATTTGCAGCAATCTTGATGGGACTGGAGACTATTATTCTTTTTTTTGAGACAGAGTTTCACTCTTGTTGCCCAGGCTGGAGTGTAATGGTACGATCTTGACTCACTACAACCTTTACCTCCTAGGTTCAAGCAATTCTCCTGCCTCAGCCTCCCAAGTAGTGAGGATTACAGGCATGCACCACCATACCTGGCTAATTTTGTATTTTCAGTAGAGACAGGGTTTCACCATATTGGCCAGGTTGGTCTCGAACTCCTGACCTTAGGTGATCCATCCACCTTGGCCTCCCAAAATGCTTGGATTACAGGCACAAGCCACCACACCCAGCCCAGGAGACTATTATTCTAAGTGAAGTGAATCAGGAACAGAAAGCCAAGCATCATATGTTCTCACTCATAAGTGGGAGCTAAACCATGAGGATGCAAAGACATAAGAATGATACAGTGGGCTTTAGGGACTAAGGGGAAAAGGATGGGAAGGGGGTGAGGGATACATGACTACAAATTTGGTTCATGGTATCACTCAGGTGATAGGTGCACCACAATCTCACAAATCACCACTAAAGAACTTACTCATGTAAGTAAACACCATCTGTTCCCAAAAAAACCTATGGAAATAAAAAAAATTAAAAAAAAACTTTATAATGGCACCCAGCGCATTATAGCACTGGGGTATTCTGAGTATGATTATGAATGTATTTATAGCAGTGAGTTATATGCTTTCATATTTTTTCATAATGGTAATTATCACTTTTGTTTCCAGTTGTAGCACTGTCTTAAGCATTTCTTGTAAGACCAGTCTAGCGGTAATAAATTCTCTCAGCTTTTGCTTGTCTAAGGTCTTTACATCTCCTGCATTTCTAAAGGATAGCTTTGCTGGATATAGTAATTTCGTCTGACAGGCTTTTTTTTTTTCTTTCAGCACTATGAATATCTCATTCTCTCCTGCCCTGAAAGGTTTCTGCTGAGAAATCTCTTAATAATCTAAAGAGGATTCCCTTATATGTGACTTGATGCTTTTCTCTTGTTGCTTTTAGAATTCTCTCTTTGTCTTTAAAGAGTTTGATTATAATATGCCTCTGAGAGAGTCATTTTGGGCAGAATCTAATTCGGGACTGTTGAACTTTTTGCATCTGGATGTCCATATTTCTCCTGATATGTGAGAAGTTTTTAGCTATTATTTTGTTAAATAAATTTACTGTACCTTTCTTCATTCTTTTTCTCTCACATTCTTATATCATGAATATGTGTTTGCTTAGTTGTTGTTTCATAAGTCCTGTAGGCTTTCTTCATTCTTTTTTATTCTTACTTATTTTTGTCCCCTCCGACTGGGTTATTTCAAATGCCTTGTTCTTCAGTTCTGAAATTCTTTTGTCTGCTTGATCTGCTCTGTTGTTGAAAATCCCAATTGTATTTTTAACTTCATTTATTGAATTATTCAGCTCCAAGATTTCTATATGGTTATTTTTATGTTATCTGTGTTTTTATTGAATTTCTCATTCCAATCATGAAATTGTAAAAACTATTTTATTGATTTGTCTGTGTTCCCTTGTAGCTCACTGAGTTTCCTTAAGATCACTATTTTACATTCTTTTTAAGCATTTCACAAATGTCCTTATCTTTGGAGTCTGCTAATGGAGATTTATTGTGTTCCTTTGGGGGTGCCATGCTTTCTTGCTTTTTCATGTTTCTACATTGATATTTGTGCATCTAGTGGAATAGCCACTTTTTCCAATTTTATGGAGTAGGTTTCATAGGGAAAGACATTTTCCTGTAGATATGTCCTAGGATGTTGGCTTTGGTTCTGGGTGGACTCAGTAGTGCAGCTGTCATATAGTTTCCTCATATCATATAATAATCTTCATCATCAAGGTCTGTGATTGCCTCAGTGGTGTAGGGTATGGGAGTTTGTGATGGTAGTGGTGTGGTTTTGCTGGGGGAGGGAGTGCTGAGCTGGTTGTTGGGCTGGGCACATACGGATATGGAGGGCCAAAAAGCTGTCCATTGGGTTCTCTGGAAGCAAGAAAAGGTGAATTAAATGCAAGACTCAGGCATGCGTGGGCATGGCTGGCCAGGAAACTGTGTATGTACTGTCTCTTTAGGGAAACAGGGCTGCTGGTGGACTGGATATTGGGACAGGTACATGTGGATGCAGTAGGGCTAGGTGGCTTTATAGCAATCTACCCAGCAGGGCAAGGTCATCACAGGGCTGGCTGTTGATCTATGCAGAGACATGCATAAGCTCAGAGGGCTGACTGGCTAAGCATTTCAGGTGCATGTAGGTGAGGTGACCAGCCAGCTGTTGGGTGACTGCTCTGCTGTGCAGGCCCACCTGTTCCCTGGGTGGGGGGGTGGTGGGGATGGTGTGCCACATGGGTTCAGATGCTGGGTGGGGTCTCAGGTGTTCTGTCTGGGCTAGGCTCTGGGAAGTTGGGTTCAAGGTACTGCAGGCACCTGTGTGAACATGGTAGTGACAGTAGGGCCTGAAGGATGGATATAGTTGGTTGCTACTCATCCCCAGGACAGGGCATACCCTATTAGTAGGTTCAGTTTCAAAATGGTGTTGAGTTGCAGCAGCTTAGGTAACAGGGTTGGGGGCACTCAGTTCAGGCTCCTACTCAGGTAATATAACTGCAACAAGTCCCAGCTACTCTCCAAACTGGATTTGGGGCCTGTGAGGACTGGGGGCCCTTCCCGTAGCAAGGATTGCTGGTGTTTGTGAAAGCAATGAGGAGTGCTGTGGATCTCCATTACCCGTAAGAAGAAATCGGCCCTGACTCTGAGCCAGTCCTGGGCGGGGGACACAGTGTGGCAGAAGCAGGATGCCTTGCTCTCGTCTTTACGGTGCTATCCTGGGCTTCTGTGCTCCACAGACTGTGCCACGGCCCTGGTGCTCTCCAGTGTACATCCTCAGTCATGCTGGTTGAAATACAGTTGCTTATTTGTTGTTTTGGTACTTTTTGTGTGTGTTGTGGGGCAGGGGATGCTGCAGGTAACTCTGATCAGCCATCTTGCTGACATCCTCTGAAAACTCTTTTTTTTCTATTACATTTTTGCGATTTTGATTAGATTTGCATTGATTTTATAAGTTAATTTGGGGTGAACTGATACGTTTACAACAAGGAGTCTTTCCCTCCTATGACATGGCATCCTTCTCGATTTTTTCTTGTCCTCTTGTCTGTCAGGAAATCTGTATGACTTTCTCCATAAAACAATTCTCAGGCATGTTTCTAAGGACATATTTTTGTAGGGATTTGAAACACAATCTGTTTTTGTACTATAATTTTTTAATTGATGTCTACTGGTGCATAGGCAAGATTTGGATTTTCACACAGAGAGCTCATGTCAGCTACACCGCTGAACTCTGATTAATTTCATATTTGTCAAACAATTAGCACAAACACTTTTGAAAAATAAAATCTGATTGGGAATCCCAGTAGCAAAATGGATAAAAGTGTCAAGCAGGCCTCTCATGCTGCCTTACTTTCTTCACCATCCGGCTGAGGAACAGGCCATTCCTTGCTGACCCAGCTCCTTCCAGCTCAGTATGAGGATGAGAATCCTGCAGCCTCCTCCCCTGATCAGGCGGAGCCTGGCTCCACCTGGGGAGAGTCTGGGACCTCGGCACCTGCAGATCAGAGGCCCTCCCGCTCCAGTCCACCAGCACACAGGGAAGGGAAGGGAGACCCGGGGAAGCCACGTGCCTTCCCCATGTTGCCCAGCGGTTAAAAAGGGCGCAGGGACTACCCAGGGACTTTGGCTTCCAGGCATGACACAACCTTGCCTTCCAGGCTGGTCTCACTTATAGGCATCCCTGTCAACCAAGAACATTCTGTTCAGAAAAAGTTATTTTTTCCTACTTTTTTGGTCCTGAAAATTAATGTGGTCTCTTTTCTGATTTTTACCTCGGGCTCTCCTTCATCTAAGAATCAAACCAGAGCTAGATTCCCAACTGTCTATCAATCTAGTCTGATTTTTCCCTTGAAGAAGAGAGGTCCTTTCGCACAAGTTGCTCTTTGATCTTATGATAATTTTACCATTTTCCATGACTAGATGTCCCCGTTCTGAACAGGCTCTGGGTGGCAAAAGGGATCTTAGGTTCCCTTGACAACCTAAGCCCATACTGATCCCATTGAGTTTGATGTCAACTACACTGGTACCCGAGCAAAATGTCCTGCTGTGTTAGGCTCACAGCTGGCTCTGTTTCCCTTGCCTTGAAAAGGAAATTGGCAAAGGAAGTACAAGGCTGACAGTTTTATTCCAGTGTACATGAAAAACGTTTACTTGCAGCCTTCCACTGCCCTGGTGTTTTGTCACCAGACCTGAGGCCATTTCTCCACCTCCTCCTGCTGTTTGGCCTGTGAGCTGGGACCCCTCCAAGGTGCAGGTGCATCCAGTATTAGAGAAGCCAGGCATGTGTGTGCACACACCCCACGCTCATTTTTGACCCCAGAGCCTTAAAGCTCATCGGCAGCATCAAACTCCTTTATATGCCCACCTATATGTAGCCCCTCCCTTTGCTGTGTCTCTGAGGGAGAATCCAGGCTCCCATGAGGGTGGCCGAGCCTGCTTTATCCCCTTCGGCACACCCAGAAGTGAACCCTGAGCCTCGCTCCTGGGTGGACTCAGGAATGTTCACAGTAATGGACTATGCAGCACCAACATCAGCATGACCCACCTATTGGGCCTCAGCAGAGGGACCATGAGAGTTGCAGCATCTCCGACTTTCACAAAAGATGGTTTTACAAAAATGCTGACAGAGGTTAGGTCAGAGACCCAGACTTAGCTCACAGGGGACCGGCAACAAGGACAGGAATGGATCCCTGGGTCTACAGCTCACCCAGGAGAGGATGCCTGGAGGGAGTGAGGCAACCTGACCAGCTCCTATCAGCGTGGCAAGGGTGGGAGGCACCTGCCCCTTATGCTCCAACTGCCTGGGTCACCTGGTGGCCCTGTGCTGCAGGGTCTTTGCACATTAGAGTCCTGGGGCTGACATAACAAAGTTCCATAAACTGGATGTCTCATATAATAGAAATTTACTGCCTCACAGCTCTGGAGGCGGAAGTCCAAGATCAGCGTGTCGGCAGGGTTGGTTCCTTCTGAGGCTGTCGGGAAGAATCTGTTACCAGCCTCTCTCCTAGGTTCTGGCAGCTTGCTGGTCCCTTTTGGCATTCCTGGCTTATAAACACATCATCACCCAGAATTCTGCCTTCATTTTTACATGGCATTCGCCCTGTGTGTGTTATCTCTGTGTCCAAATTTTTCTTTTCATAAAGTCATTAGTCATATTAGATTAGGGACCACCCTAATGACCTCATCTTAACTTTGTGAAAATTGTCAGAATCCAAATGGGTCACTTGTGTCAAGCCCTGACAAATGGACGTGGGTGGGACATGAAGGCAGGGTTCTCATGCACGTATGCTTGAAGACAAGAACTATCAAAAATACTCTGCAAAAAACACAGCCTTGCATGCACATATGCTTGAAGAGAACTACCAAAAATACTCTGCAAAAGGGCCTGGCGTGGTGGCTCACACCCGTAATCCCAGCACTTTGGGAGGCCGACGTGGGCGGATCACGAGGTCAGGAGATCGAGACCATCCTGGCTAATATGGTGAAACCCCGTATCTACTAAAACTACAAAAAATTAGCCGGGCGTGGTTGCAGGCGCCTGTAGCCCCAGCTACTCAGGAGGCTGAGGCAGGAGAATGGCCTGAACCCAGGAGGCGGAGCTTGCAGTGAGCCAAGATCACGCCACTGCACTCCAGCCTGGGAGGCAGAGCGAGACTCCGTCTCAAAAAAAAAAAAAAAAAAAAATACTCTGCAAAAAACATAGCCTTGCACAAAGGCCATAGCAACCACACAGAGAAAAATCTTCTGCAAGGACATCTGGCCAGCAACTGCCTGTCCACCCTTGTTATTGATCTTTGGAGCCAAGGATAATTGTTTCAAAACAATTAGGTAATCCTCCTCATTTCTCCTCTTAAAACTCTTGTCTTACTTTTCCTCCCTGAAAATGCCCACCATGTACCTATTGCAAAACTTACTCCTGAATAAATATCATTTTCGTTTAGAGATACTCTCTGTCTGCTATTTAGGCTGACAACTGGATCATCTGCAAAGATCCTACTTCCAAAAAAAGGTCACATTCACAGATACCAGAGATCAGGGCACATAAATTTGGGGGGAAGGGACATAATTTAACCCACAACTGTCTGTCAAATGGGGATGGCATGAGCCGGCAGGGCTGTTTGGGATCGTAGGTGTCATTCCATCCTAGTGCTGAGAGCTGGGTGGACACAGGCTGAGTCTCCACGGGCTGGCTCCCCCTCCGACTGGCCCTATCTGCCAGGAGGTGGTGTGACCTGGACTCTGGCCTGCAATTCTAGAGCACCCGCCCTGTGGCTTCGGGAACCCAGGAGCCTCTGGCTGGTTCCAGCCCTGCTTGGCTGGATTTCCTGCATCTCTGAAGCTAGAGGACTCCCTGACACTCTGGTCAGCTCCAATTTTCATGTTCACGACCTTGTGGTTAAGGAGGAAAAAGGAAAGTCCAGCTTCCTCAGCCTCTCAATTCATGTACCATGTTGTTGATGTAATATGAGATGTTGGTTTAGTCCAGTGATTGCATGAGGGCTGAGCGGTCTCACTTTAGGTCCTCACTACTCCCCAGCTGATCCTATGGCCTCCAAGATCCAGGATCACTGGCAAGTGAAGTGGAGCCAAGGTTCATGCCTGAGTGGGAAGGGCTCCAGGCAAGGAGGGAGAGCCCTATGGTGGTTTGAGTCGAGCCCAGCGGAGAACTCCATGGCCTTGAACAAGTGAAGCTTCCTGCTTGCAGGGTCCATGGAGGTGGGCAGGGGCAAGACAAGGATGTTAACTGGGAGGCTTGCACTGTGAAGAATGGGCAGGGCAGCTGCTGAAAAGAGTGGCAGGAGCCAGTTGTAAGTCACACTTCTAATGTTCATCCGTCATGTTCCAGAGAAGGATGGGATACTAGAGAGAGGAACTGACTTTCTGGGGCATGAAGCCAGGTAATGCTAGGGCCCAACCAGAAGCAGCTCTACCATGGAGCCTCATGGCACATGGAGGCCAGCACCCCCTCGTCTTACTCAGTAGCTGGTAAAAGACGTCACCTCCAGGGGGCTTCACTTGTGAACGGCCTCGCCGCCAGGGACATCAACTCCAGTGGGGAGACACCTTCAGGGACCTCAACTCTGATGGGGGGCATCATCTCCAAGGGAACATCATCTCCAAGGGACATCAACTCCAGAAGACATCACCTCCAGGGGGACATCACCTCTGGGGGAATCACCTCCAGGGGGAATCATCTCCAAGGAATATCACTTCCAGGACATCAACTTCAGGGGGAGATTACCACCAGGGACATCAACACTGAGGGGGCATCACCTCCAGGAGGAATCATCACCGAGGAACATCATTTCCAGGGACATCAACTCCAGGGGGAATCATCTCCAAGGAACAGCACTTCCAGTGGACATCACCTCTGGGGGGACATTCCCTCTAAGGAACATCGCCTCCAGGGGGCATCACCTCCAGGTGGAATCATCTCTAAGGAACATCATTTTCAAGGACATCATCTCCAAGGGGACATCATCTCCAAGGGACATCATCGCCAAGGAACATCACCTCTAATGGACATCACCTCCAAGGTGACATCACCTGTAAGGAACATCAACTCCAGGAGGCATCACCTCCATGGGGAATCATCTCTAAGGAACATCACTTGCAGGGACATCAACTCCAGGAGGACATCATCTCCAAGGAACATCACTTCCAGGGACATCAACTCCAGGGTGACATCACCTTCAGGGACATCAACTCTGAGGGGGCATCATCTCCAGGGGGACATCATCTCCATGGGACATCACTTCCATGGACATCAAGTTGAGGGAAGATCATTTCCAGGGACATCAACTCTGGGGGAGCCATCACTTCCAGGGGGCATCAACTCCAACAGGATATCACCTACAAGGAGCATCACCTCCAGGGAATATCAACTCTGAGGGATGGGGGCATCACCTCCAAGAGTCATCACCTTCATGGGTATATCACCTACAAGGAGCATCACCTGCAGGGGATATCAACTCTGAGAGATGGAGGCATCACCTCCAGGAGTCATCACCTCCTGGAACATCACCTCCAGGTCATTAACTTGGGTGGCAGGGAGTCATCACCTCCAGGAGTCATCGCCTCCTGGAACATCACCTCCAGGTCATTAACTTGGGTGGCAGGGAGTCATCACCTCCAGGGGTCTTGCTAGGGTCATCCCACCTAACACAGACCAGATGCTGCAATCCTCTGCAACATTTGGGCAAAATGTTCCTTTTCCTTCAAATGTCAATAACTTTCTTGTATTTTTATTTTTCTTATATTTTGTCTCACAACAAAATTGTACTGTTGTTCTTGACCCTGAACACTGCTCCTTTCGTATCTTTTGAAAGTTCTGTCCTCTCTGTAAGAAATTTATATGCAGAGCTGGGTGGATGGGAAGGAGGATGAAGAGGTTCCTTGGCCTTTCACAGGTGGTTCTGTTTTGTTCCTCCTCTATCTCTCTTCCCCAGACATCCTCTGTATGTCCCAGCGCCTCCTCCCATTGTATCTCCCTGGCACTTTTCTTGTTCTCTGAGTCCTTTCATTTCCCCATCTGTTTCCTCTGCCTTGCAACTCCCCCTCTAATCTCAGTTGACAAGCCTCTTTCAGCGTCAGCAGCAAGAGTGGTGAATGCGCCTTTGTTTGCCTTTCTTGAATCCTAATCGTGGAGACATCTGGACACAGCTAGAGAGAGTAAATGATGGATGCCCTTGTCAGTGCCGATAAGGAGACAAATAAGGAGGGGAGTAATGAACTTAATTCTTTTGTCTCCCCATCAAAACTGGCTTCATGTAAACCTGTATGGCTTGGTATGCCTCAGACTGACCCAAGAAAGGAAAGTCAGGATGAATCCTGTGGAAAGGAAGTGTCTTTCCTTGCCTGTCCCTGCACCCACTGCCTTTGGAGGTGCCTCCTTGCATCGTGTCTTAGGATGTGAATTAATGCTGAGGTTTAGAATACACATTTACATGATGACCCACCTGAAGTGACCACAATCAGAGCAAGTACAGTCTTTGGAAGCATGTACTGTGTGCTGAAGCCCTCCAATGTGGAAGGGCTTAGTTAGGTATGTAGTTAGGTTTTGATGTTGGAGAAGAGATAATGGACACAGAAGTTGTTCCAAAAGGAGAATGAGTGCATTGCTGATGGTGCCGGTGACTTTTTGCCTCCCAACAGTTGTCCCCCAACCCCATTTCTTCTTCCCTCCTAGAGATGGTCAATTGGGTCAGGAGGCAGAAAGAGATCCCATGTACTTAGGGAGAGTACATTGTTCTGCCAATTTCAGTTGATACATTATAATGCTTTTTAACTGATCTTGAAAATCTTAATCCCCTTTATCAGATACTCATTCTTGTACAAGGATTGGGCCTATGACACTGACATCCCTATGCCAAAAAAGATGTAAGCAGAGAACTGCAGGAAGACTTCTGGCAAAGATTTTTTCCTCCTAAAAAAAGGATAGATGTGAGGGGAGAGCTCCCTAGTGCTGCTCTTCTCCCTTTGTTTGGATGTGGAATGGAGACATGATTTCTGGACCAGTGCGATGTAGGCATAAGGCTGAGAATTTTCATAGCAGAAGAAAGAAAGAGACAGTGCCTGATGGCATTACTGAGCTGAAAGAACAATCCTGAGACTACCTAACTTTGGAATTCTTGTCAACATAATGATAAATATCCTGATGATTCGAATCATGTCGGTGGATTTTCTGTTACTTGAGGTTGTAAAGATCCTAACTGATATGTCATTTATGAAATAAATTTCTACACATCAGGTACTACCACTGACACAGAGAGGTACCATCAAAGATCTAGTGGGGAGCCGGAACTCCAGCTGGCAATACTAAGGCAACCTCTCCATTTCCCCTGCAAAAGAAGTATCACAGTAAGTTAGCTAAGACAGAAGATTTAAATCAAAATTTCCTTAGCATAATGCAAAAAAGTATGAATTTCCATTGAAAATCACTTCCCATAGCAAGACCCAGGAAAATCTCAAACTGAACGATAAAAGAAAATCAAAATATGCCAACAGTGAGATGACATAGGTGTAAGAGTTATCTGACAAATATTTTTAAAGTAGCCATTATGAATATATTCAAAAAACAATTACAAGTATGCTTGAAATAAATTAAAAAATTGTTTTGGCAAACAAAATATGAAGTCCCAGCAATAAAATATAAGATTCAAAGGCTGGGTGTGGTGGCTCACACCTGTAATCCCAGCACTTTGAGAGGCCGTGGCGGGTGAATTGCTTGAGCTCAGGAGTTCAAGGCCAGCCTGGACAACATGACGAAACCCCACCTCTACAAAAAATACAAAAATTAGCTGAATATGGTGGCACATGCCTGTAGTTCCAGCTACCTCAGGGGCTGAGGCAGGAGAATCACTTGAATCCGAGAAGTCAAACCTGCAGTGAGCTGAGATTGTGCCACTGCACTCCAGCCTGGGTGACAAAGCAAGACAATGTCTCAAAAAAAAAAAAAAAAAAAAAAAAAAAAAAAGATTCAAAGAATAACCAAATGAAAATTTTAGAGCTTAAAAATATGCAATAACTAAAATGTTACAAAAATAAGTAGATAAGCCCAACAGAAAATTGGAGGAGACAGGAAGGGAAAATAAATGAACTGGAAACAGGAAAATCTGAACAACAGGAAAAAAATGGACTAAAAAAATAGTAGACCCTCAGGGACCTATGAGACTATAACTAAAGATCTAATGTTTGGGTCACTGGAGTCCCCAGAAAGACAGGATGAAGATGGTGGGACTAAAAAAGGTACTTGAAGAAATAGTGCCCCAAACTTTCCTAACTTAGCAAAAGAGGCTGAAATAATGCCAAAAAGAATAAACTCAAAATAATCCAAACAAAGACACATCATAGTCAAACTTATAAACTCAAGACAAAGAAAAAGTGTGGAAGTTTATAGACAGAAAAAAAGTATTGCCTATAGGAGAAAACAATTCAAGTGAATTTATCATCAAAAATCATGGGGACCAAAAAAAAAAAAAAAAAAAAGAATGGCAAAACATTTTTATATACTGAAAGAAAAGAATACTAATCTAGAGTCCTATATTTGGTAAAAGTAACCTTCAGAGATGAAAGGGAAATCAAGACATCACAGAGGAAGAGCAAACAAGAGAATGTATCACCAGCAGATACATTCTAAAAGAATGACTAAACAAAATTTTCTAAACGGAAATGAAAACATAAAAGAAGGAAATTTGGAGATCAGGAATGAAGAAAGAATAGACAAGCGAAATAAAAAACTGGAGTAAATACATCAGACTTTCCTTTTCTTCTTGAGTTTTCTAAATTATGTTTGGCAATTTGAGAAAAAATTCTAATTCTCTGATATGGTTCTAAATGTATACAGACAGAATACTTAAGACAACTACATTATAAGTGAAAGAGGTTAAAGTGATGTAAAGGGTTAGGAGGCTTCTATATTTTACTTGAAACAATGACACCAGTAGATTGTGACATTATGTATATATAATGCAATGCCCAAAGCATCCTTTAAAAAAGCTATATAAAAATGTACACTCAAAAACACTATACATAAATCAAAATTGAATACTAAAAATGTTTAAGTAACCCATGGAAATACAATAAAAAGAAAACATAGAAGCAAATCAGGATAGATAACAAAAATGGAAATCATAGCCTTCACATATCAATTATTTTACATTAAATGTAGATCGTCTCAAAACACCAATTAAAAGGCAGAGCTTGGAAGTTAAAAAGCTATGACCCAACTATAAGCTGACTATAAAAATTTATATTAATATGGAAAAGTTGAAAATAAAATAATAAAAGCCATGTACCATCTAAACATTGGTTAAAGGTAAGCAGGAGTGACTACATAAATATTAAAGTGGACTTTATAGCAAAGAAACTTCAAAAGACAGAGAGACACAGAGGGACCTTAAATAATGATAAAAAGTCAGTTGCTCAAGAAAACAGCAATTCCAAATGTGTATGAGCCAAAAACAAGGCTATAACATACATTAAACAAAAACTGATAGAAATGAAAGAAGAAATAGACTCTCAATTAGAGTTGGGGACTTTAGAACCTCTCTCTCAAGTATTGATAGACAAATGAGACAAAAAGCAAGAGTATGGAAGAACTCAAAACGCCATTAATCAGTAAGATATAATCGACACTTACAGAACACTCCACTCAATCACGACAGAATATACTTTCAAGTGTCCAAGGATCACATAGTAAGAACAGACCATATCCTGTACCATAAAACAAATCTCACCAAAAGTAAGAGAATTGATCATGCAGAATGTGTTCTCCCACCACAGTGGTATCAAACTCAAGATCAGTAATGCAAAGATAACAGGAAATTCTCCAGACAGTTGAAAACTAAACAGCACCCTCAAAAATAGTTCATAGGTCAAAAAGGGAGTCTCAAAGGAAATAAAAAAAAAATCCAAATAAATAAAGCTGAAAATACAACATATCAAAATGTTTGTGACAGAGCTAAAGCCACATGAGAGGGAAATTTATAGCACTGAATGCATACATTAGAAAAGAAGCAAAGTATCCATTTAAAAATCTAATCTCCTCCCTCAGGAACCTATAAAAGAGGAGAGCAAACTAAACTCAAAAAAGGAGAAGAAAGAAAATAACGAAGAACTGAATTCAGTAAAATTGAAATCAGGAAAGCAGTAGAGAAAATCAAAGAGATGTTTGGCAAGATTAAAAATATGACAAACCTCTAGAAAGACTGACCATGATGTACAGAATAATGCCACCCCAATGATACTACATCTTAATTCTCAACACCTGTGACTATACTAGTGTACCTGGAGAAGAGGAATTCAGTTTGCAGATGGAATTAAGGTTGCCAACAGATGACCTTAAATAAAGGAGAGTATCTGGGAATATTCAGGTGGGTCCAATGCAATCACAAGCCTCCTCACAACTGAAAGAGGGAATTGGAAGAAACAACCAGTGAAGCGGCATTGCGAGAAAGACTTAGCCTAAGGTTGCTGGTTTCGAAGATGGGGGAAGGGCAGCAGGATCCAAGCAATGTGGGAGAAGCTGGAAAAGTCGAGGCAACAGATTCCCCCAGAACATATAAAAAGCAGTGCATCCTGCTGACGCCTTGATCTGAGCCCGGTGAGATGCATGTTAAGTTTCTGACTTACATAGCTGTAATATAATAAACGTGTGGGGTTTCTTAAAGTCACTAAGTTTGTGGTCACTTGTCATAGTAGAAAACAAAATATATTCTGCAATTATACATGCAATAGAAAAACGTATATGGAAAATATTATCAGCTGGTAACTTAAATCTACACAGAGGAATAAAAAATGGTGACTATTGGGAAATTAAGAATTTTTTCTTAAATTTTTTTATAATACAATTGACAATTTAAATAATAATAGTAATATACTGTGGGGTTTATGACACAGGTAGAAGTAAAATGAAGGATGATGACAGCACAGAAGATGAGACAGAGAAATGGACACATTTTGTAAGGATCTTACGGTATGCATGGAATTGTATGATACTATCTGAAGGTAGAATGCGACCACTTAAACAGTTTATATAAACCCTACGTCAACTACTAAACAACCAACTAACTCAAATGAAGGCAAAAAAGAGAGGAAAAGGAAAAAAGGATAAAAAACGAATGATATCAAGTACAACAGTCACATAACACAATCCTTTGCAAATAGTATGCCTCAACAAGTTCTTGTTTGCTTTGTTTGTTTGTTTGTTTTTACCAGCTTTATCTATCTCCACGGGTGTTGTGTATCCTAGAGGATACAGTGGGGTTGGTAGGAGAAAGTATTCTAGGTTGTATTTACTGTGAATTAATCCACAGTGACTTCAACCTGTCTCCCTTGCTAATAACTTGGTTTTTTTTTTTTTTTTTTTTTTGAGGCCATGAACATTTTCTTAATAATCTTTATATGCCAGGCAAAGAGAAAAGGCTCAATAAATATTGATTGGATATGAAATAAATATGGGGAGGAGAAAGAGCATTCAAGGGAGAAGAAATACACCTTAGAAATAAATTTTGCTTTGAAAAAATGTATCAAAGATGGTAAGAAAAGAGGAAAATAAAATCCTGTTAGCTTTTAAGTAAAAAGAATTCATGGCCGGGCATGGTGACTCATGCCTGTAATACCAGCACTTTGGGAGGCCAAGGCGTGTGTATCACCTGACGTCAGGAGTTCGAGACCAGCCTTACCAATATGATGAAACCCCGTCTCTACTAAAAACACAAAAATTAGCCAGGCGTGGCGGCATGTGCCTGTAATCCCAGCTATCTGGGAGGCTGAGACTGGAGAATCGCTTGAACCCGGGAGGCAGAGGTTGCAGTGAGCCAAGATCGTGCCATTGCACTCCAGCCTAGGCAACAAGAGCAAAACTCCATCTCAAAAAAAAAAAAAAAAAAAAAAATGCACTCAACAGCAAATGAAAGAAACTGGAGAGAGGTTTTGCAAAGCTCCTCGGACCTGAGCCAGCTCCTTGGTGGCCTAGCTGAGCCTCTATCCTGCTGCCCCTGGGCTGGAGGGCTGCTCTTTTCACACACACTGAGGTAACGGAACCTGGGAGGTGCCCCGAGGGGAGCAGTATGCAGGCCATCTGCGCCAAGCGCAGAGGAGGAGCAGTAGGACTGGAGACCATGTCCTCACTCTGCTCCCGGAGGCTGGCATCCAGGGCGACCAGCGAGTGCTGCAGCTATGGAGGGTAGGGGGAGCTCAGAGGAAGAGGCCTGAAGGGCAGGCCGACTTCAAGAAGATGGAGACCCAGAGCGCTTTGAGGACGTCTCCAGGGTCACCTGGGGAAGAACCAAGACTCCCCTGTGGTCTCCTGCCTCTTAGTCAAGTGATCTTCCCTGGGTCCTCCCATATTCATAAGTTGAAACCCAACCCCAAGGTGATGGTGTCAGGATGGGGTGGCCTCCGGGAGGTGGTGAGGTCAGGGTGGAGCCCTCGTGTTGGGCTGGACCCTGGAGAGCCGCCTTACTCTCTGCCCGCCATGCGGGAGTGCGGTAAAGATGGCACCAGAGCCCAAGTCCCAGAGCCCGTCTAAGCTGCCACCCTGATCCTGGACTTCCAGCCTCCAGGCTGATTAATGAATGCCTGGTGTTTTCAGCTCCTCTGAGTTCCATTCTCATGGCGGCCGGGGCTGACCGGGACCTCCAGCCCCGGCACACAGCCTTACCTGGGACGCCTGTCATTCCACTGGAGAATCCTGGACACGCAGCCTCGCCCGGGACACCTGTCACTCCACTGGAGAATCCTGGACACGCAGCCTTGCCCGGGACACCTGTCACTCCGATGGAGAATCCTGGAGTCGCATCTTTCTCTCATATCTCTGATCCAATCCGCCCAGAGATCCTGATGCCTCACCTTCAAATCCACCCTGAATCCCGCCGCCTCACCCTCGCTGCGCTTACATGAGGCTCACCTGGAGGGATGATTCGGCCCAGCCAACCTCTGCTTCCCGCTCATCGCACCCAGGGCGCAGCCCTGAGCCCCAGAAGCGGCCTCGCCCTCAACCACGCAGGCCCCGGGCCCGGCTCCCACAGAACCCCGCTCAGCTCTCACGGGGGCCACCCCGAGGTCTTGAACTAAGCAGAGCCTCTCCCTTCCCCCTCCCTCCCCATCCCTCAGCTCAGCCCCCAGCAAACTCACCCTCAGCACCTGCTCACCTGGGGCTGCTCCCCGTCACCGTCTCCGCGCACTCCGCCCCTCACCACGGATCCCGAGCGCCGGGAAGACGGCCGGGCGCCCAGGAGCGCTCGGGGCCCGCCTGCTGCCCACGCACGGTCCAGCACCCGGCTCGGAGGGCACCTCCCGGAGCTTCAGCTGGACTCGGGCAGGGAGGGAGAAACTCGCCATCCTCAATCCATCCCTCCCTCCTTCCTCTGTCTCTCTGCTCGTGTGATCACTGCCAGCGCCCCGTGAGCCTCAGTGGCAACAGGGACATTTCCTGTTTAAAATAAAAGTAAAGGTTTGAAGCCCACTCTCCTTAGTTGTGTGGATCCAGAACACGGGGGAGCCCTTGCACCCCTGACACACAAACATCACACACACCACACACATCACACCCCACACAGATACACACACGCCACACACAGATACACACCACACACATCACACAGATACACACCACACACATCACACACACACCACACACATCACACAGATACATACCACACACGTCACACACCACACACGTCACACATACCACACACATCACACAGATACTCACCACACACATCACACACACACCACACACATCACAGATACATACCACACACATCACACACCACACACGTCACACATACCACACACATCACACAGATACACACCACACACATCACACACACACCACACACATCACAGATACCACACACATCACACACCACACACGTCACACATACCACACATATCACACACCACACATGTCACACATTACACATACACACCACACATCACACAGATACACCACACACAACACAGATGCACACAMCACACATCACACCTACATACAACATACACACATACACCTACATACATTACACACACCACACACATCACACAGATACACAGCAAACACATCACACCTACACACCACACACATCACACACAGATACCACACACATCACGCCTACACACCACATACACACACATCACAGATACACAACACACACATCACACCTACACACCACATACACACACACCACATAGATACACACAGATACACACCACATGCATCAGGCCTACACACCACACACCACATACACACAGATACACACCACATGCATCAGGCCTACACAACACACACACATCACACCTACCACACACATCACACACACCACACAGATACACACCACACATACACACATGACACACCTACATACATCACACACATCACACAGATACACACCTACCACACACATCACACATACCACATAGACACACACCTACATATATCATATGCACCACACATATACACACATCACACATACTCACCAGATACACACATCACACATACCCACCACATGACACATACACTTACATACATCACACACATCACACATACACAACCAACACACACACCACACATACACACCACATACATATATACATACACATCCTACATACATCATACGCACCACACATAAGCACACCCACCACACACATCACACATACACACAACATACACCTACATACGTCACACACATCACACAGATACACACCCACCACACACATCACACACACACCACATACACACATCACACATACACACCACATACACAAATACACCTACATACATCACACACATCACATAGATACCCACCACACACATCACACATACCACATGCACACACACCTACATACATACGCACCACACATATACACAGACATTACACACCCACCACACACCACACATACACACCCACCACACACATCACACATACACACGACACATACACCTACATACATTATACACATCACACAGATACACACCCACCACACACATCACACACATCCACCACACACATCACACATACACAACCAACACACACGCCACTCATACATACTACATACCCATCACTTACACACACCACACAAACCACATACACACACTCCTACATACATCATATGCACCACACATATACACACCCACCACACACATTGCACATACTCACATATACATCAGACACAAAACACAGATACACACCCACCACACACATCACACATACACACCACATACACACGCACGTACATACACCATACGCACCACACATATACACACACCACACACCCACCACACACATCACACATACCACATACACACATGCACTCACATACATCATATGCACCACACGTATACACACACATCACACATATACATACATCACGCATACACACCACATACACACATACACCTACATATATCATACACACCACACATGTGCACACACACCACGTACATCACATATACCACATACACCACATAAACACACATCACACATACCACATACACCACATACACACACATCACACATACACACCACCCCTACACACCACAAGCACAGCACACTACACACACCACACATATACACACCACATACAGTATACACACCATCACATACACACCCACCACACATATCACACATACACACCACATATACACATCACACATACCACATACATACACCTACATATATCCTATGCACCACACATATACACACACATCACTTACCCACTGTACACATCACACATACACAAACATCACACAAACACACCACCCATACACACCACACACAAACACACCACCCATACACACCACATATACACCTACATACATCATACACACCACACAGACATCACATATACACACAGCACACTACACATACACACCACATATATACACAACATATACATCATACACACCATGCACACACAAACACCACACATGCACACAAACACCACACATACCACACACAATACATCATACACACCACACAGATGCACACACACCACATACATCACATATACCACATACATCACACATATCACATACAACTACATACATCATACATACACCACATATATATGCACACACATACACACCACACATATACACACCACATACATTATAAACACCACACACACCACACATACCACACACAAACCTGCATACATCATACACACCACACAGACGCACATACCACATACATCACATATACCACACACATCACACATACACCACACACATCACACACCTACATACATCATAGACACCACATACACACACACTACATACATCACACACACACCACACACATCACACGAACACACCAGTACACACATCACACACACCACACACACACACCTCCACACACACCAGACACATCACACACATCTACATGCATACATGACACACCACACACATTGCACATACACACTTGCACACACCACATCCACACATACACTTACACACCCACAACACACATCACACACACACCAGACATATTACATGCATACACACACCACACACATGCACACATGACACACACCATGCACATTGCATGTACACACCTACATACACCACATACATACACACCAGCCATACACACACACACGCACCATACACATTCATATACACCACACACATACATAACCTACACACTACACACATCACACACACCTACACACATTCACACATAATACATACACATACATACCACACACATGCATTACACATACCTACACACCACACACAAGCACAACACACCACACGCATATGTACACATACATATACCTACACACACCACACAAATCACACACACCACACGTATACCTACACATGCACACACATGAACCTACATGTTCACTGCACACATGCATACACATACCATATGCACAAATACACACACCACACACTTAGATGCTGACCAAACACACACATCTCTACATACCACATCATACACACATCCCTCCTCACACACACCACAGACACACACACACACCCACACTCGCAGGCACACACATGTGCACACACAGGCCCCTGCTGCTCCAAAGCTGCTCTCCAGGACCTCAGGGCTCCCTGGAAGGCCCTCGTCCTCAATTTATGCCCTCCAGTCTGGGCCGTGTTCTGTCCTGGGGACTTAAGCTGGCCCCAAACTCAGGCCACTCGTACCAGCCCCAGACCCAAGCGGTTGCTCTGATCAGGGGCCCCCGCCTCCATAGCAGTGGGGTGCAGGCATCCTCCACCTTCACCCCCTCAACCCCCAACACAGGTTGTCCATCGCCAGGGGCGTCTGAGGCTCTGGCCTTTCCTGGGTACCCCAGATGTGCAGAGTCCACCTCAGGCCTGTCCAGCCCCTCCCTGTCTCTGACACCTGGACCTCCACTGTGCTGCGGGAAACCACCGGTCCATGGGGCCTCAGGACCTAGGAGGGTCACGGAGCCCGTGATGCTTGGGGTCACCCTGGTCCTGGGAGTGTGCTGCCGGGTGTTGGCCATGCTGCCAAGGGACCTGAGGGCACCGGGGATGGCATCGTTAATGGCGATTGTTGGTCTGTTTGCTGGCGAGATCTGACTAGGTTCACACAGAGGCAAACAGGCCACGGAGTGTCCGCCTTTCTGGAGGAAAGACGACATGCCTCTGAGCAGCCCAGGCTCACTGAAAACACACTTGCAGGATATGCATCACCTTCAGGGCAGCACGCAGCCTCACCCGGGACACCTGTCACTTCGACGGAGAATCCTGGACATGCAGCCTCACCCGGGACACCTGTCACTCCGATGGAGAATCCTGGACACGCAGCCTCACCTGGGACACCTGTCACTCCGACGGAGAATCCTGGACAGGCAGCCTCACCCGGGACACCTGTCATTCCGAAGGAGAATCCTGGACATGCAGCCTCACCTGGGACACCTGTCACTCCGATGGAGAATCCTGGACACGCAGCCTCACCTGGGACACCTGTCACTCCGATGGAGAATCCTGGACACGCAGCCTCACCTGGGACACCTGTCACTCCGAAGGAGAATCCTGGACATGCAGCCTTACCTGGGACACCTGTCACTCTGATGGAGAATCCTGGACAGGCAGCCTTACCCGGGACACCTGTCACTCCGACGGAGAATCCTGGACACGCAGCCTTACCTCGGACACCTGTCACTCTGATGGAGAATCCTGAACGCATAGGCTTACCTGGGACACCAGTCACTCCGATAGAGCATCCTGGAGTCAGCATCCTTCTCTCACATCTCTGATCCAATCCACCCAGAGATCCTGATGCCCTACCTTCAAATACACCCAGAATCCCGCCATCTCACCCTTGCTGTGCTTACCTGAGGCTCGCCTGGAGGGACAACTCGGCCCAGCCAGGCCCTGCTCCCTAGCTCATCACACCCAGGTTAGAGAAGCCAGCATCAAACTATGAAAACTGGAGGCTTTCATCCAGGAGCCAGAAAGGTCCAGCTTGCCCCTCGGGCACAAAATGGATGCCTTCCACAAAGGAAAACGAGAAGACAATTCTCAACATTTAGGGCAACCCGCACTGATGGCTGACATTTCCAGAAAGATCCAATGTGGCCAGACCCATGAGAATCAAGTAGCTGACACCATAGCATCCTTGAAGATCGGTCACAAGAATGAGGAACAGTTTCAGGCAGCTCTGCCCGTCGCTTTAGGAGAAAATCCCCCTCTTCAGGGAAGCCTGAAGCTGCTTCCCTGGGGGGGCTGAAGGAGCGGAGGGGAGAGGGAGTAAATGTGCTGTGTGGTGGAGAGAACACTGGAACCTCTAAAGCGGACAGAGCAAGCCCTGGGTGCACACCGAGGGAAGACGAGAGACAGAGGGGACCTCGTGGGCTGGGGACGGGAGCTCAGGATGGCACGGAACAAATTCATGGGAACAGAGACCACGTGGAAGATAAATCAAAAGGAGTTCCGAAGACACAGTTGGTGCAGCTGAGCTAAATACTGATTTGAAACTCTCGAGGAAGAAAGAATTAACCGTAGAAAATAAAATCGACGTCCTTAGAAGATCACATGAGAAATCCCCATGCTTCTGACTGCTTTGCCACACTCAGAAAATCACTGTCAGAAGGGAGAGGCTCAGCTCCCGGGAAGACTCATGTCCCCATCCCCCCATCCCCCCATCCCCCTCCCCATCCCCGACCTGCACCAAGGAAAACCCATCCCCCCATCCCCCCATCTCCCTCCCCGACCCCCAACCTGCACCAAGGAAAAGAGTGTTTGGCAGATACTGATGGAGAGCGTCTGCCCTGTGAGGACAGAGGGGACTCTCCAGGGCACATGGCAAGATCACCGCACTGGGAAAAGCTGGATGCATAACATGCCATCCAAATCCTCCAGAAACCCTAGAGAGAATCCCTGGCCATCATGGAAGGCAGATTACTTTCCCTGCGAGAAAAGCTCATGCGAATGAGTTGAGAGCACTTTTGGCTGAGACACACCTGCACAGCCTAAGAAAGAGAATGCGCTCTGAAATACATTATGGAGGAAGGATCGAGGGGCTCCTGAGGCATCCTCACATCCCTGATGCTGCTGTGGGGCTTTCAGCAGAGAACCATGGGGAAGATAGGACCCAGAGGAGCAGGAGCACCAGGCCCCAGTGGGTGGGGGGTCAGGGCCCAGGGCTCAAGGTGTAGCCCCTCACAGGATCAGGCCCAAGAACAAGAGCCTCCACCAGAACCCCCCCAGCCCTACTCAGAGCCTGCACCAGATGGCAAGCCTCAGCTCCCATGCCCCTCAGCTAGGCTGCCCTGACCCAACCCTCCCACAGGACCGGGGTGTCTCTGGGCTGCCCTGATCCAACGCCTCCCATGGGATTGGGGGTTGCCCTGGGCTGCTCTGATCCAACTGTCCTGCAGGAAAGGGGTGCCACTGACCCAGCTCCATCCTCTCTTGTCAGATATCAGAGCGTCCTGAGAGTCCCCGGGGGGCAGCTCTTGGGAAGAAGACTCTATCCTTCCCCCGATTCCAGAAGACAGGGAAGACACCCACCACGAGTATCTCCCCGAAAGGATGTCCTTGGCCCAGAACCTCCTCCACTGGGGAGCAGAGAAATGTGTCTCAGCAGAGGTGAGTCACCTTCCAGTGACCCCACTTCCAGCGTGCCCACTTCTAAGATCCAGAACTATGGCAAGACGCGTTGCTCTCTGTAAAGTAATTCTTATTTTTCCTCTTGTGTTTTTTTTTTCTTTTTTTTTTTTTTGAGATAGGGTCTTGCTCTCCTTCCCAGGTTGGAGCACAGTGGCACAATCATGGCTCACTGCAGCCTTTGACTTCCTGAGCTCAAGCAATCCTCCCACCTCTGCCTCCTGAGTAGCTGGGACGACAGGTGTGCAACACTACACACAGCTAATTTTTAAAAATGTTTTTGGAAAGATGAGGTCTGGCTGTGTTGCCCAGGCTGGTCTCTAACTCCTGGGTTCAAGGGATCCTCTCATCTCAGCCTCCCAAAGTGCTGGGATTATAGGAGGGAGCCACTGCCACACCCAGCCTGTTTTTGTTTGTTTGTTTGTTGTTTTTGAGACGGAGTCTCGCTCTGTCGCCCAGGCTGGAGTGCAGTGGCCCGATCTCGGCTCACTGCAAGCTCCGCCTCCCGGGTTCACGCCATTCTCCTGCCTCAGTCTCCGGAGCAGCTGGGACTACAGGCGCCTGCCACCATGCCCAGCTGATTTTTTTGTATTTTTTTTTAGTAGAGACGGGGTCTCACGGTGTTAGCCAGGATGGTCTCGATCTCCTGACCTTGTGATCCGCCCGCCTCAGCCTCCCAAAGTGCTGGGATTATAGGCGTGAGCCACCGCCCCCGGCTGTTTTTTTTTTCTTTTTTAATTTTATTGCTATTAAGTGACTATTCAATGGCTAAAGTGGAAACTGCTCATATTCTAATTCCGAGATAATGTTCTATAACTTCAGAGTATTTAAATAACTTATGTGAGTTACTTACATTTTATCCTATTTATAACTAGCGTAATTATGGTATCTTTATTATTGCTAATAAACTCACTAAAATAACCCAGTAACATAGCCAGAATTTTGACTTCTAAATTTGATTTTTTTGTCTTTTAGTTCTATTCCTATTATGTAAGTGATTACACAATATCTCAAATGGAGACTTAATAAGATTATGATTTTTAGGACAGTGTTTTATAAATGTATATTATATCATATGTGAATCTTATTACTAAATTGTCACATCTTATTTGATTTCCAGACAGTGCAAGTAGAATATTTTTGTCACTGTGATTTAAAGAGTGTCTCCTATTGATCCAGAAACCCAATTTCCATCTCTCTTAAGAGCTAATATTGAATTTTCTCTCATTTGATTTCACTGCTGTAGTTAAGTGATTACACAATTGCTCGAATTGAAGCTGGAGAGAATTCCAGTTTTTAGCACAGTGAGTTATAAATGAAGCTCATTTGGAAGATTTCCTGGGTGTGCTGTTTCCTTCTGTTCTGGACAGCACAGGGAAAGGATGGTGGGACCACAGCAGGTGCCGTGTGTGTGGGTGGCTTTGGGTGTGGCCGGCTGTCTAGGTCGGCAGCAGGAACTTCAGAGAGGGTTTTCGATGCGCTGTCTGGAACCTGGAGAGATGTAAAAGCGAGGTTTCTTCTGTGGCCATGAGACAGGTTCACTCTAGTTATGAGACTAATATGTTCAACTCACTTCATTTTCATTACGAAAGAGTTTGGGAAACAGTGTCAGAACAAAGCACCCGTCCCCTCTGTTGCATCAGGTATGTGAGGGTGCCCCTCTCTCTGCCTCGTCTCCCCTGGTAACCTTGCAGCCACAGCGAACTTTTAAAACCATGAACGACAGCATGCGACCTCGCTGCTCACAGAGCCCCCAGGGCCTCCAACCACCCTGAGCCTCAGGTCTCTGCTCCCTCCTGCTGACCCACCTGCCTCTGCCTGGGCCCTCCCGTCTGGCCACAGAACTTCCTTCTGTCCCATCACCATCTTGGTCTCACTCCTGACTCTTCGCATTGCTCCTCCCTCTGCCCGGAAGGCTTTTCCCACAGCCGTGTGCAGCTGCCTCCTCCCCGCCATTTGGATTCGGACTCGGGTCCCCTGTCAGTGGCCTCTCCTGGCCACTGCAGCTGCATGGTGTGCTCCCTGCCTGCCTCCCCGCCCCACTGCCCTCCTTCCTGCTTCACGGCACTCAGTTCTAGAGTCATTTTATTTCCTATGCGCTCCTGTGTTTTGTCTGCATGACCCTCTGCAACGCAAGGTCTCAGGCGCAGAGGTTTCTCTCTTCCCTACTGACCCCTCTCTTGCCTAGCACGTGACAGTCGCTCATCAAGGATTTGGGGAATGAGGGAATGAACAGGGGAACCAGGGGAAGGCCCCTGAGCTCTCAGACCTGCCCACGCCCGAGTGCGGCTCTCCAGGCCTCCTGTGCAGCCCCTCACCCTGTGATCCATGGAGCCCACCTTGGGCCCACTTGCTCCCCTTGCCGGCATGTTCCCTGAGGACCACGACTGTCCTAGCTTCCACGCCAGCCTCTTGTCTGGGTTCTGTCTATGGCAGTGAGTCTCAAGTCTCCCGTTGATGGAGGTCATTAACACTGCTGGAGAAGCCAAGGTTGTAGCAAGAGGCGGGGGATGCAGGAAGAGAACTGGCTGCTGCCCACGGTGGGAAGCAGCAAGGATTGGAGGCTGTTGTGTTGAAGGAAATGCTGCTGGACCTCGTGGACCTGGGTCACTTCAGTGGCCTGGATGATCCCCAGTGGAGGCAGGAATGTACAAACCCATCCCCAGGTGTGGTCACTGGTTTTTGTGGGGTCTGCAACCCACAAAACAGAGTTCCACATAAATGCCACACCATCTCTGGTCCATCCCAGTGAATCCTCTACGGCTGCCCTCCAGGGCAGGCTTACATTTAGAGATGGGGAAACTGAAGCCCAAAGTCCCACCCTAGAGAGGGTGGTTGACAGCCCAGGACCGAATCTCAGGTCTGATGCTTCCCAGCTGTGTGCCTCTGATATTTAGCCCTTCATCCCCTGACACCCTTGTCCAGAGCACAGATGAGGGTTGTTGCACAGATTATATGAAACGAAGTCATGGTAAGCCCATGGGGTGCCTTTTTAACTCACCACCCACTAAGTTAATGACATTGATTCTAGGACCTCTGCCCCCAAATCCCACTCACTTTCCCATCTCTGAAAACTGTTCTGCCTGGGTTTGATCTGCTGACTGCTTCACACTGCTCAGAGTGCAAGGACTCTTCATGGAGTGAAAGGGTAAGCATCTCTCGCTGAGAAGGGCTGTCCCCAGTGGGCACAGCCAGGGCCAGGTGTGTGCAGGTCTGAGGCACGCCATCGTCCCATTCAAGAGACAGAGCAGCCAGGCGCGGTGGCTCACGCCTGTAATCCCAGCACTCTGGGAGGCCAAGGCAGGCAGATCACCTGAGGTCAGGAGTTCGAGACCAGCCTGGCCAACATGGGGAAACCCCGTCTCTACTAAAAATACAAAAATTAGCCAAGCGTGATGGTGGGCGCCTGTAATCCCAGTTACTCGGGAGGCTGATGCAGGAGAATCACTTGAACCCAGGAAGTGGAGGTTGCAGTGAGCCGAGATCATGCCACTGCACTCCAGCTTGGGCAACAGAGCGAGACTTCAGCTCAAAAAAAAAAAAAGAAAGAAAAGAAAAGAAAAAAGAGAGAGAGACAGATCAGGACATAGGTCGGTGCAGGGCTGAGGAGGGGCTGGGCAGCAACGCCTGGAGTGTGGATGACAGGGCAGCCCTGCGGAGGAGGCAGGGAAGGGTGGGGAGGCTTTGGGCTAACTATAAGCAGAGAGTGTGACCCCTTGTCAATCCTAGGAGGAGGATTCTTCCTGGAGTTGGAAAAGCATTTTGGAGATCTTGGAGCTCACCTGTAAGAATAAATGTGAGAGGAAAACCGAAGTGTTGTTGGAAATAAAAGCCCCTGGGGACACCTCTGCTGTGATAGCAACTGGGACTCCGGAGGGCTCCCCAAGCCAGTCCCGGTCTGCGCCCCCGTGCAAGGAACTCATCTTACCATCTGGGACCGCCGTTATCAGAGCCGGAGCCACTTCTCACAATCAGCGCAGGCAACTTCCTGCCTCACTCCTGGTCACAGGTGAGGAACGGAGCTTTGCCGAGAACACGGGTTTGTTGATTTGACCTTATAACCCTTAGAGGAGCAAAAACTGAATTTCCAGGCATCGTGGTCAGGTTTCAAAACATGAAGCCTGGTATGAGTCTACCTCTTTCAAAACATATGTCAATATTTCTGCTGTGGCTGAGATGGGATAACAGGAACCTGAGTTACCCGTCTGTCTGAATCAACAACAAAAAAATAGACACAATATAGGCAAGAACACTTTTCAGGACTCTGGATATGAGGAAATTAAGGACGTTATGCTTGAGAAATAGAAAACAAAGATGAGCTGAGCCCCGTCACGGGCCTGCTTACTGCCTGGAGAGGGCCCAGCCTGCAGGACTCCCTGGGTTGAGAAGGCAGAGTCTAACATCTGAGGAGGGGGCTGTATTATGACAGAGGAGAGAGCTGCACAGAGTTCAATGCCAGGTTCCATGAAGGGACCCACTCGAGGGTTCGGTAGTGCAGAGATCAGAGCATGTGTGAACAAACCAATATTTATAGGAATGCAAAAATACCTAGCACCCAACAAGGTAAGATTCATTATGTCTGGATCCAATTAAAAATGCCCAGTCCTGTCAGGAAGAAGGAAAATGTGATCTCTCATGATGAGAAAAGTCAATGGAACCTGACCTTAGTGGGCACGAATCGTGGGGTTGGGATTCAAGGACACTGAGGTAGTTGTACGACGTTGCTCTATTGACAGATTCAAACTCTGTAAGTTGTGAAAAGATTTTTTTCTGAGCTAAATATGAGTGACCAATGGCTGGTGACATGGCACCTGGAGAGCCTGAGAACATGCACCCAAGGTGGTCGGGTCTCAGCTCAGTTTTATACATTTTAGGGAGACATAAGACATCAATTAACACATGTAAGATGTACACTGATTTGGTCTGGAAAGGAGGGATAACTGGAAACAGGGGCAGATTCAAAGATTTTCTGATTGGCAATTGGTTGAGAGTCACTAGCTAAAGACCTGGAATCAATCAAAAGGAATGTCTGGGTTAGGATAAGGGGTTGTGGAGACCAAGGTTGTGTCATGCAGATGAAGCCTCCAGGTAGCAGGCTTCAGAGCTCTTAGCAGACCTAAAACGGTGCCAGCCTGTTGGTTTTCTCCCCGATCAGGGAAAAGACCTAGAAAAGAATGAGGATTCTCTACAGAATGTAGACTTTCCCCACGAGAGACAGCTTTGCAGGGCCGTTTCAAAATATGTCAAAGAAATATATTTTGGGGTAAAATACTTCCATTTCTTCCAGGGCCTGCAATCTGTCAAGTGATGCTATACTAGAGTCGGGCTGGAATTTGGTATCTTACTGCTACAGCGTCTGTTTCGTCTTCAGATCTGAAATCTGAAGGTCTCTGTTTTAATGTTAATGCTGGTCAGCTGTGCCTGAATTAAAACGGGAGGAGGGTAGAAGGAGGCATGCCTGACCCCCACCTTCCCACCACAGCCTGAACTAATTTTTCAGGTTAACTTGGGAATTCCACTGGCCAAGGGGAGGGAGGGTCCATTCGTCAGGTGGGGGGCTTAGAATTTTATATTTTGTTTACAGCTCCATATGTCCAAGGGGTGAGGGGAAAGATGGTTCCATTAAATAGAGCATTAAAGACACCAAAAAGGCCCAAAATCAAAATTCTAGAGATGAAAACTGCAATGTCTGATATGAAAAGTACACAGAACGGGATCCACAGAAGATTTAAGGTTGCAGGTGAAAAGATTACTGCACCTAAAGGCAGCAATAGAAACCATCCACAATGAAACACAAAGATTTTTAAGACTAACAAATAAAGAAAGGCGTGCATGCTGTGTGACTGCACTGATACACAATTCTTGGATGTGCGACCTAATGGATAGTGACAGAAAGATGGACAGGGTGGGAGAAAGAGACTTCAGAGCAGTGTGAGGAGACTTCCTGGGGTGGTGGACATGGTCGTCATCCTGTGCAGTGAAGGCTGCGTGGGTGTAAACACACAGCACATTTACCAAACTGTACAATGCTAAAACATGCAGTTTATTCATGTCAATTGTAGCTCCATAATTCTGTGATACGTAGTGGGGGAGAGAAAATTAAACATACGACATATTTGGAGGACTATTCAGCAAAATATTAACAATAGTCATGTCTAGATGGTTCATTACTAGTGGTTTTCACTTTCTTTCTTTTTTTTTCCTGTCTGATTTTTCTAATTTGGGTGCCATAGATTTGCATTGCTTTTTGTAACAGTTACCCATTACCGAGTGATAAATGGTCACATGCTTAGCATCTTAATCAACACTCATTAGCTCACAGTGTTATGGGTCAGAAATTCTGCACCACATGGCTGGGCTCTCTGCTTAGGGTCTCACAAGGCCAAAATCAAGATGTGGCAGGGCTGCCTTCTGTGAGGAGGTTTGGGGCAGAATCCCTGTCCGTCTCATTAGGGATGTTGGTCATTTGTTGCCTTGCGTCTGTTTGACTGAGGTCCCGTTTCTTGCTTGCTGTCAGCTGGGGCTGCTTCTGATCTGTGGAGGCTGCCTGCAGCTTCTCGGCTCATTGTCTCCTTAGCCAGGTGTTAAAGCAAACTAAATATGGCCTGTGATGGACTCCGTACTTCTATATTTGAGTCCTTGTGAATGAACTGTAACCTGGCTTAAAAGTCAGACAAAAGGCTGGATGCAGTGGCTCAGGCCTGTAATCCCAGCACTTTGGGAGGCCGAGATGGGCAGATCACGAGGTCAAAAGATGGAGAGCATCCTGCCTAACATGGTGAAACCCCATCTCTACTAAAAAATACAAAAATTAGCCGGGCGTGGTGGCAGGTGCCTGTAGTCCCAGCTACTCGGGAGGCTGAGGCAGGAGAATGGCGTGAACCTGGGAGGCAAAGGTTGCCGTGAGCCAAGATCGTGCCACTGCACTGCACTCCAGCCTGGGCGACAGAGCAAGACTCCGTCTCAAAAAAAAAAAAAAAAAAAAAAAAAAAGTCAGACAAGATTGAAAACTTAATTTAGGAGTATGTGCCTGCCTGAAACAATAGCTGAGTCTTGGCCAATCCCAGTGGCCACACTTCATAGACTGCTGAGTGTTCAAACTGTGTTCAAATAATGCAAACAACGAGCTACAACCAGTCCAGCCGTTCTGCACCTCACTACAAATTTCTGTACGTCATTTCCCTTTTTTTATCTATAAATCTTCCACCATGTGGCTGCGCGGGAGTCTGTGAATCTGCTGTGATTCTGGGGGCTGCCCGATCCGCAAATTGTTCATTGCTCAATTAAACTCTTTTAAATTTAATTTGGCTGAAGTTTTTCTTTTATTACAGGCCACAGCGCAGCTTCCTCCAGGCTGCAGGAGCACAGGTCTCTGACCCTGAGTCCCTCCTTTCCCCTGTCTCTCACCCCTCAAATCAGATGTGAAGGGCTCAGGCGATTTCAATCAGCACCCAAATAGTTGCCCTCTTGGTGAACTCGAAGCCAGCTGATTAGTGACTTTAATTACATTTGTGAAAAATCTTCACTGCCATGTCATGTATCACACAGGGTCTGCCACATCCCAGGGGAGGAAATAATCCAAGGCAGGTACAACAGGGGGTGGAAATCCTTGGGCCACTTTAGAATTCTGCGTACCATAAATGTGTAAAAAGATGAAACTTTCTACAAGAGAAAGGAAGGTCACTCTGAGCTGCATTTTTGTTCAGGAACAGAGAACTCATTGAAACCCACAGGCAGAGCTTGTGCAAAGGGAGAGAGCAGAGAGAACGGCCAATCAGTGGAAAGTTACTCTTCCTGCTTGGAGGAGATATTTTCCTCTATTTTAAAGGCAGCTGTGATGTGATAAACACAAGAGAAGAGCAGCCCCACCCCCCCACCCCATGCACTGATTTCCAGGAGTGGGGCCATGAGCTGGGGGCCCCTGCTGCTCCTGCACCCCTCACCTGTGGTCCCCTGGGGGTTAGGTGACCTGCTGGGTCAGACACCAGCTCTCAGGGAGCCGCAACTCCTGGCATAGGTGCAATGTCTTGGAGTGACAGCAGATTTTTTCAGGCCTAGCTCTGAACTCTCCAAACACAAATCCTCCTAGAAGTCAGCACCCCTCAGTGCCTCACCCTGGAGCTTTGCCACATCACCATTTATTAAGAGAGGGATGCATCTGCCCTGCACACCCTGATGGGACAATTTCCACCCCACCAGCAAGGGGACATCAGTGTGTCCCCCCAGGGCCCTACTGGAGCACCCACCAAGAGGCCCCAAGTGCCCCTGGGGAGAGGGACCTTCAGGAACTCGTCACCTCTCACTGTGCCCCTCTGCTACTCACCGGTCACTCCCCAGAGCCCATCACAGTGACCCAGCACTCCTGAAATGTGAGTTCAATGCTTCAAACTTTCTGCAATACTGACTCTTCAGGCGGATGGTTCATGGTCCCTGAATTCATGATCAGTTATTAAAAATAATAAAATACTTCATCTGTAGGGTGCTTGTGGCTCCCAAAGTGTTTCCTAAGGGTGTACTACCCGAAATCAAAACAAGAAGGGCCCAAATCGTGGGCTCTAATGCTTCCCCAGTGCCCACCCCCCAGCATTCCAACCAGACACAGAAGCCACCAGAAGCATGATCTTAACAAGCAGCATGCCAGCAGGGTTCCCCTAGCTCACAGAGCCCTGCAACCCCAGAACCTGCTTGGAGACCCAGAGGGCAGCCCAGACGCCACCTCCAGCTTTCCCACCTCCATCTGGGCCGCCCTCCCAGCAATCTCGAGTCCTGGGGATCAGGGACCATCTTATTCCTCTTTGCAGGCCCAGGACCTGCCTGTGCCCAGCACAGTACATCTTTGTGGGATAAATGACAGGAGTAATGCATTCACTCTCAAAGCCTGAAGATTATCGAAACAGCCAGGGTCGGGAAGAGAAAAAGGTGAGCACGCAACGCATGGAGGGAGGGAAGCCAGGGCTGAGGGACACCTGGCGTGGACCCTGGGGAACCCGGCCTCCCTCCTGCCCACTGCCCTGCCCCACCAGGGCCTTGCACTTGAGGGTCCGGGGTCTCTCAAGCCCTGTGACCCTGTGCGGGAGCACTCTGTTCCTGTCTTCAATCTTTTTGTGTTTTTAATGCATATCTCTCTCATTCAGTCTCTTGTTTTCTTTTCCCCTAAACCCAGTGGTACAAAAACCAAGGGGGGTGAGATTGTATCTCTGTTTGTTTTGATGGATTGAACATTTTCTTTCCTTGTTCTACATTTTTCAGATTTCTGGGGATTGTTTTCCACCTCTTGATGTTATCTGGGCTCTGGCCAACAGCAACACACACTCTGCCGGTGCCTGAGGGCGGAGTGCGGAAGCAGGGGGCTCAACTTTTGGCTAAATTTAGCTTCTCTTGGGCAGATTTATCTCCATTAATCATAACCAAGCGGAGTTGCTGGAAACTGTGCTTCCCTCGATCCAGCCGCCTGCGTGAATAAGTACTTCCATCCCAGAGAGGATTTCCTGGAGCGAATGCCAATAGTCTCCCTAAACAGCCAGGCAAGCCACAGCAAACAAACAAAAACAACCAAAAACAAAAGGAGCAGCAGCAGCTGGCACAGAGGCGGGTGCTCAGCCTTGTTTTATCCGCAGGTCCCGCACCAAGCAAGTGGAGAAACACACGAGGCTCCCTCAGGCTGGATCCCTGTGTCCCAAGACAGCCAGAGAAGGGGACGGGGACACTGCCCAGCTGTGGGCACCTGCACTTGGAGGTCACCCCACCACCGCCTGGGAAAGCCTCGAAGCCTCATAGCACAGGGGTGGCCAGAGTACTCCCTGAACTGCGAGTCTGGTTAGTTCTTGGTGGTGGGCACAGGTGAGTGACATCTACCTTCCGCACTTGTCTCTGTGTGTGAGATACTTGGTTATTGGAAAAAAATGAAATCTGTGAGTCTTTGGATCCCTGTTTGGCCCAGGAACAGGCCACCCTCTTCTTTACTGAGTCAATGCTAAAGTCACTGTTGACCCAAAGCATAGGGATGAGCGGGAGACGTTTCAGACTCCAACAGGTGCTCCATCTGGTGGCGACTTCAGGAACATCTTCCAAGTCAAGGTGGCAGGTGTGCACCTGTGGGCTCCTTCTTGAAGGCCCGTCCTGCAGGCACCCATCCAGGAAGGAAGGCTGAGGAACTGCAGGGAGCTGAGGGCTGGGCATGACCACAGACCATGATGGTTTTTCTGGGTGCATCATTCAACCACTATTTCCGAGAGCCTGCCCTGGTCCAGGCACTATGTGCTGGCAATCCAAAGAGGGGCTGTGGGCTGGGGTCTGAGTGTCAGACAGCAGCTGAGTAGAAGGTTTTAATCAGCGTTTTCCAGCACGTGAACTGTAAGACTTGCAGGCAGAGAGCTTCCTGTCTCCTGAAGGATTGAAACAAGAGCTTGGGGTCAATTGGAAGAGGGTGGGAGGTGGCTCTGCTATCCTGGGAGCCCACAATATCCAGTCTGGACCACTGGGTCCTCTGAGGTCCAGGAAAGATGGCATCGAGCCAAGCTCTGTTTCTCATACTCTATGGAGGACCACTGGATGAGCAGATTGTGACAAGGGCTGGCAGGAGGCCCACTAAGTGCTGGTGGGACTGGGGGAGGTCAACTCTGCCCTCAGGCTGGGGCCTTATCTGAGGAGCAGGTGCTGCTGGTGATGCCTGGAGCCCACCAACATACCTGGTACCCGGGATCAACGTCCTCTCACCTGAGTCACTCTGAGGTGCACGTCCCTGTGCTGAGCCTCAGTATCCTCAGCTGCAGAAGGGGCAGATAGACAAGAAGAACTCTAGGGCCCTCCTCCCCAGCTCTGTGACTCCATGAGTAACACACATGTATGACAGACGCATGACAGGCCTGACACTGCTGCCCCCTCCATATGGCACACAAACCTACCTCTCGGGCATCCCAGGGCTTCCTGGCAATGCCCTTCCGTGTGCAGCCAGGAACAAAGAGGCTCAGGACCTGGGTGGGACAGAGCCCAGGGGACAAGCAGATGCTCGGTGCTCCATGGATTGTGGGGCCAGCAAGGTGTGGCAACCGACAGAGGGGCTCCTGCCACTGTGTCTGTTCCCTGATAGTCCAGTTCCTCCCTGGTCAGCAGCCCTGGATCGGGGGCATCTGAAGTAGGATGGACACCCAGTACCCGGTCACATTTACTGTCCAATTTGCCAGGGCAAGCTGTTTGCCTGGGAGTCCATCCCTGCTTTGGGAGCCTCCCCAGAGCTGGACACACAGCCCCAACCCAGGACCCCAACCCCACTGAGGGTGGCAGCCACACAGAGGACCAGGCAGGTTCACAGCAGCACATGCTGGAAGTGAGGAAAGCCCCTTGTGCAGTCATCAAAGCTAAGCAGGGAGGTCGTGCTGGCGTGAAGATGATTTTACAATAAGATCTCTAGGACGATCGCCCACCAGCTGCCCCACCAGGCCGTAAAAACCCACTCCCACTGCAATGCTAAGCAAAAGTATTTCCCCACAATAGAACAGACACCACCCTCTGCCCTGCTGGCAGTCACCAGGAGAGAGGCACTGTCCTGAGCAGGGAGAATTCAGCATGAATAGCCTGGCTTCATCATTACATAGAAAGAGGGGATTCAGGAAGGCCGTGTCCAGACTTGGGGGCCTACCACGGTGATGCCCAGTGTCAGTGCAGTGGATGCAGACAGTGTTCCAAGTGTCCAGTTCCTTCCCTCAGGCACATGGAGACTGAGTCCCTCCGCACCAGCCTCTGCAGACTATGCTGCTGGCTGCTAACCCTGGCCACGGGGCCATGGAAAGGAGAGGCACGTGTGGCTTCTGGGAGAAAGCACTGAGGAGCTGCAGCTCTCCCTCCAGCTGTCTCCTCCCACAGTGATGGGAAGAGGCTCTCCAAAGGCAGGAGCGGAGGAGCCACAGCCTGCAGTGGCCAGGCCCCCACCACGAGGAGCTTCCATGTGGGGACAGAGCCTGGGACCCTCAGCTGGACCAGCAGTAGACTGTGTGCCTGCAAATATTACACTGCATGCTAAGCTACCAAGATCTGGGGAGTGTACATTACTCCACTTGGTTATTACACATGCACCTGGCCTAGCCTGGGCTAGCTCCCAGGTTGGTGATGAGCAAAAAGAAAATAAAGGTATAAGAACAATGTTGCATTAAAGAGAGAATATCAATAGATAGAAAATTTTTTTAATAAAAGAGCCAAATGGAAATTCTGAAAAGTATAAAAACTGACATTAAAAAAGTCAGTAGAGGGCCTCAACAGTAGATTTAAACTTGGAGAAGAAAAAAATCACAAATTTGAAGAAGATAGGTCTATTGAGATTATGCAAAATGAAGATCAAAGGAAAAAAGAATGAAGTAAAACAGATCCTCAGAGAAATGTATAAGACCATTAGGTGCACCAACATATGCATAATTAGAGTAATAGAAACTGGGGATAGGGCAGAGATAGGGGAAGGAGAGACAGAGAAAGAAAGGAACAGAAAAAAGATTCGAAGAAATAATAACAAAAAAATCCCAAATATATCGACAAACATCAATCTATACATCCAAAAGCTCAATAAACTGCAAGTAAAAGAAACACAAAGAGATCCACAAATGAACACATCATAGTAAAAATGCTGAAAGTCAAAGAAAATAAGACAATCTTGAAAAAGCAACAAGAGAAAAGCCACTTATCACTTACAGAGGAAACACAATAAGACTAACAGCTGACTTCTCATCAGAAACAATGGAGGACTGAAGGTGATGGGATGATATATTTAAAATTCTCAAGGAAATAAACTGTCACCCAGAAATTATATATGCAGCAAAGCTATCTTCCAAAAATTAAAATGAAATAAGGACATTCCCAAATGAGTAAAACTGGAGGAATTTATTGGTAGCATACCCAAGAAATACTAAAGAAAGTTCTTCAGGCTAAAAGCAAGTGACCCCAGTTGGTAATTCAAATTCACATTTTAAAAAAAAGCACCACTAAATACAAGTATGCAACTATAAAAGACAGTAAAATGCATGCTACTTCTCCTTTCTTATCTTAAATGATTTAAAAGGTAATTGTATATTCTTCCTGATAACTTTCTTTAAAAAACAAAAGAGCTATTGTACAAAATGGTATGCATATAATGTATTTTGGGGTGCATAACATATGGAAATGTAATATACTTGTCAATAACAGGACAAAAGAGGTGGGTGGGAACAAAGCTGTATGGGGCTAAAGAAATTACTCCAGAGAGTAACTTGAATCCATAGAAACAAATGAAGAGTACCAGAAATAGTAAATAGAAGTTAATATAACAAAAGCTATAAATACATACTTGCTCTCCTTCCCTCTCAGTTTTATTAAGAAACATAAAATTGTATAAGATAATAACAACAATGCATATCATTGGGTTAGTAACATTTATAGATGTAATCTGCATGAAAATAATACCACAAAAAAGGAAAAATATAATATATATGAGTAGTGTTCTGGCCAAGCACGGTGGCTCTCATCTATAATCCCAGCACTTTGGGAGGCTGAGGCAGGTAATAGCTTGAGCCCAGGAGTTCACGACCAGCCTGGGCAACATGGCAAAAAATCATCTCCACAAAAAATACAAAAATTAGCTGGGCATGATGGCACACACCTGTAGTCCCAGCTACTTGGAAGGCTGATGTGGGAGGATTGCTTGAGCTCAGAAGGTCAAGGCTGCAGTGAGCCATAATTAACCCACTGCACTCCAGCCTGCGTGAAAGAGTGAGATCCTGTCTTAAAAAGAAAAAGAGAGAGAGAGAGAGAAATGTTTCTACATCTAATTGGAATTAAGCTACTGTAAATTTAAAGGTGATTCTGATAAGATGTATATGGTAAGACTTATGGCAACCACTAAGAAAACAACATTTAAAACTATAGAAAAAAAGATTAAAAATGTAAATGTTACATTAGAAAAAAGTCACATATACATAAAGTCACATATGTATGAAAATAGTCACATATATATGAAAAAGAAAGCAGTACAGAGAAAATGAAGAACAAAAAATACATAAAATATACAAAACAAAAATTAAAATGGTAGACATAAATCCAACCATATTAATTACAACAGTAAATTTGAATGAATTAAACAACTCATTCAAAAGGCAGAGATGGTCAGATGATTACAAAAAGAAAAAAAGAGATCTAGCAATGACATGCTGTCCACACAGGGCAGACTTTAGGTCAAGGATATAGGTTGAAAGGAAAAGGATGGAAAAAGACATATTATGCAAACAGCACCACAAGAAAGTTCGAGTGGCTACACTAATATCAGACAAAATAGACTTTAAAACAATAGTGTTTCTAGGGAGAAATAGTAACAATAAAAGGCTCAATCCATTAAGAAGGTACAACAATTATACACGTATATGCACCTAACACTATACCACTAAAATACACAAAGCAAAAACTAACAGGAATGAAGGGCAAATTAGACAATTCAACAATAATAGTTGGATATTTTAGTATCCTCATTTCCAACAATAGATATAACAGCTAGGTAGAAGATAAACAAGGAAATAGGTTTAAATGGCACAATAAACCAACTAGATCTAGCAGACTTCAATATAACACCACACCCAACAACAGTAAACCATACATTCTTCTTGAGTGCACATGGAACATTTTTTAGGAGAGAGTATATGCTAGGCCATAAACAAATGTCAAAGAATTTTAAAGCATGGAAATGATAGTATATTCTGTGATCCTATGGAATTGAAGTCAAGAATGGAGAGAAAACTTGTGAAACTTGCAAATATGTATTAATTAAATAAAACGCTTTTAAACAACTAAAGTGTAAAAGAAGAAATCAAAAGGTAAATTATAAAAATACTTTGAGATAAATGAAAATGAAGACACAACATATCAAAACTAATGGGGTTCAAACAGTTAAAACAGTACTTAGAAATTTATGACTGTGACTGTATTTAAAAAGTAGTAATATCTCGAATTTTTCTAACATCTTAAGACACTGGAAAAAGTACATATAAAACCTATGGAAGCAATGGGAAGGAAATAATACAGACTAGATTGGGATTTAGTGGAATATAAAATTTAAAAATAATAGAAAAAAATCAGTGAAACCAAAACCAGTTTCCTTGCAAAGATCAACAAAAATTACAAACCCTTAGCTAGACTGACCAAAAAAAAAAATATAGAGAGAGAGAAAGAGAAGAGACTCAAACTACTATAATCAGAAATATAAAGGAGACATATTACTACTGATCCTTACAGAAATAAAAAGGATTTATAAAGGATGGCAAGTGTTGGCAAGGATGTGGAGAGACTGGAATCTTTACGATTGCTGGTGGAAATGGACAATGGTGCTGCCACTTTAGCATATAGCACAACACTTCCTCAAACACTTAAACAGAGAATTACCATATGACACAGCAATGTCACTCCTAGGTAAATACCCCAGAGAAATGAGAACATGTCCATGCAGGAACTCATGTATTAATGTTCATAGCAGCATTA